>NC_000005.10:81624958-81927988 GCF_000001405.40 Homo sapiens
ACTATTGGTCCAAAACTAGTGATGAATTCAAAATTGCTCACTTGCTCAAAATTGCTCACTTGCTCAAAATTGCTCACTTCACCTATATATGCTACATAACTTGATGTAAGGTTATATAGTATATATAAAAATTTCACTAATATTTTTAACAAATGCTTTTGGCTGATATTATGACAATGTGATAATTAGTATACAAAAATGTAGACTTATCTCCTAGAGGAAGAAGTAGGACTTTTAGTTTAGGTAAGTTTCATAGCAATACTTGATTTGTGCTTGGGTCGAGGGATTTTTCTGATGTACTTTAGTAAGCTATTCTGATGATCCACTGTACTTGTTCCTTTATCTCCAAGAGGGCCAAGCTCAGAAAATTTTGAACCTCTAAAGATGCAGACTTTGCCCCTCTACAACCTGAGATGCTGGTGACTAAGGAGCTTCTCAGTTCCTCTAATCCTACAACTATTAAACATGAAAGCAAATATTATCCTTGAAATGTAATGGGTTCATCATCATGAATAATACTTTAGAGTTTTATACACTCTTTATTCCCAAGCAGAAACAAGTGAAAATTTTATATTTTACAAATGAAGACACAGACTGAATACAGAGAAGCAAAACTTACAAAGTATTGAAGTCTTTGATCTCATATCATTTATTATTATTAAAATCTTCCCCTCATAAATCAAGAGAAAATACGGCATTCCCAAGTTGAAGATTCTCAACCAAACACTGTATCTCCCTCTATTCCTGAGAATGTAAGTTGAAATGACTTAGGTAGCTTGTTAATATCTCAAGGGAACACAGAAAGCAAAATGGTTGTCAGAGAAGTCTACAAGGGTGAATAAACATGCCAGATGTGTCCCAGAAGATGGAATGCTAACATAATTATACAACTTATGCCACTGGCCAGATCTAGGACTACCCGACAACAAAAATTTTTTAAAAGACAGAACAAAACAATAAAACGCCATGGAAAACATTTTTTCTGAGGAACAAGCCACGTTGTTATAAGCTCAAGTCTTAATAACTAAGGAAGTCATTTGTCTTTGTCCCAAAAATATATCAATGAATGTTAGTTACTGACAATCTCTGTTTAAGAAAACTATCCTATCCATTCATAAGACCAAAAACAGTTTCACATGAAATGTGTATGTACCTGTTCTTCATCTTAGAACTTCCCCATATGTATAACTTGTATTAATATTATTCCCTAGCATTACTTAATACCTTTAAAAATGAAAGCATTAAATTTTGCTTCACTTTTATAAAATTCTCACAATACTCCTGGATTAGAAATCAATTTCTATTTTAAAATATAATGAAGATAGTTACCATTATTGAGTAAGTACTATACAAGCATCATATACGAAGTATCACATATTCAACATCTAATCCTTCTAATTATTATCCCCACTTTGTAGATGAAGGAACTGAAGCTTAGGTTAAATTAGATTAAATAATTTGCCTAAAGTCACACAGTGGCAGAGCTGGGCTTGAGCCTTTTAATTATTACGTTATTTTGTTTCTAACGTGAGTGTGGTTTTAAGAGTTCTTAATGCAAGACTCCTTATTCTGATTATGGGCAGGTTTCTACAGTTCCAGCAGTCTGAGCAGCATCAGCTATTATAAGAGTGGGATGGATATCTGTACCAGATAAGACAGCAAGCACATTGTTAGCCTACCTTTGACCCCATGCACCAACTCATTTCCTGAATATCCTATGGCAACCACCCCCTCACCCTACATGCAGCTGCCAGGGATCCGTGGATGCCTCAATATAGACATGACTCAGAAGAGAAAACTTTTGAGTCCCATTTATATACACTGCCTGGAATTAGCCACTCACAATGCTCAAATGGGAAATGTAATTAATGACTTATTAATAGTGGGACACTGAATTGAGCTCTGTGATTAAGAAATATGTGTTACTGAGATGAGCACTGGTTACAATTCAGGAACTTGAATTCTAACTCTAAATTTGACCTTGGGCAAATAGTTTTTTGATTTATGTAAAAAGAGAAAATAAATGTTATGTATTTTACAGTGTTTTATACAGAGACAAAGAGATGACATACGCAAAAGTAATTTTAAAAGAAGCTTAAAGGTACTAAAAATATTATAGAAAAAGTCTCATATAGCTAGTATAGCGAAATAAAAAGTTTTCTAATTAACTTGAGTAACATTTGCCTCATTTTTCTTTTGAGTCCTTTACATTTAATGAAGATTCCCTCCGTTTTTTACAATGTTCTCTCCCCACCAAATTTTCCTCTGTATTCCACATGCCTTTCCTCTTCTCCCATGCTGAATTTTAGTTTTGTTCTCTATGGCCTATGTTTTTTGCCTTCTCTCTTGCTAACACTTTTTCTCCCTTCTCACTCTTATCAGCCTCCTCCTTCTAGCCCCGTTGTCACCTACACTGTCTTATACGATGCTTAGTTTAACCCAACTCAAATAGTTATTATACCTTGCCTGTTATAGGAAAGACATACCAGATGAGTAAAAACCAGTAAGCCAATTATAAATATTATACCATTCTAGTGAGCTAACTAATGCCATTGCACTTGTTTTCCTGTGGGTATTTGGTTATTCTTAGCTATACCTGATATTATTCATTAGGTTCTAAAATAATTAGAGTGCTAGCATACTACAAGATTGGACTTTCCACCACCAGGTGAAAGAAACAGAATTCTTAGAATAATCTTATATTTTATTTTCTCTACAATGTTATATATATTTGATTTCAGGATATAAATACAGGGGACCAAAGTCACTTTAAAAGGTGCTCTATATTTTTATTTTGTTAAATAAAAATGAGGTATAGGCTGGTTGTGGTGGCTCATGCCTGTAATCCCAGCACTTTGGCAGGCAGAAGCAGAGGCGAGTGAGTCTCGATCCCAGGAGTTTGAGACCAGCCTGAGCAACAACAGCAAAACCTCATCGCTACAAAAAAATATGAAAAAGTAGCTGGGCATGGTGATATGCTCCTTTAGTCCCAGCTACTCAGGAGGCTTAGGTGGGAGGATCACTTAAGCCCGGGAGATGGAGGCTGCAGCGAGCTATGATTGTGCCACTGCACTCCAGCCTGGGTGACCCTGTCTCAAAAAAAGAAAAAAAAAAAAGGTGTACTTGTCTGCTCTCAAGCTGCTAATAAAGACATACCTGAGACTGGGTAATTTATAAAGGAATGAGGTTTAACTGACTCACAGTTCAGCATGGCTGGGGAGGCCTCAGGAAGCTTAGAATCCATGGCAGATTCACATGGCGACAGCATGGAGAAGAATGAAAGCTGAGCGAAGGGGGAAGCCCCTTACAAAACCACCAGATTGTGTGAGAACTTACTATTTCTAGAATAGCATGGGGGAATCGCCCTCATGATTCAATTACCTCTCACCAAGTCCCTCCCACCACACGTGGGGATTATGGGAACTACAATTCAAGATGAGATTTGAGTGGGGACACAGCCAAACTATATCAAGAGATATGAGAGTTATAAAAGGCATCATATCAAGAGCTATAGTTTCTGCAATTAAAACTTTAAATAGAAAGTTTTTAAAAGCCTATGTTTTAAAATTGCACAAGTAAAAAAACACATTAACATCAGAAGAAAGAAGCTTATTGGCATTTTTATTTCTGGAACTAATGTAAGAGTTGGGAATGTTTAACAAAAAGTACAAACAAGAAGCAAGTTTTCAGAGGGGATTTGATTCAGGTAAATGTATTATAAACTGGGATGCTGAGTATGGGGTAAATAAACTAAAAAGGAAAAGAAAAAGTGATTAGGGAAATCACATTAGAAACAAGGGAAAAAAGCTCCAGAAAGTCAATCACACAAATTTCTCTATCCTATATTAAAGACAGAAATTCCCCCTCTTCCATTCTGAGGCCTTTGCCTCTCATCTCGCTGGCACTTTGTTCTGCTTATTTTGCATATGTCATATGTATCTCTTTTTCATACATCTTCAAACACTCCCACTCTTCACCAACTTTTCCCCCGAGTCTACTAGTCTCTGCCTCTTTTCTCAACCCTCTTTAATCCATCTTTTTTTTTTGAGACAAGGTCTTGCTCTGTCACCCAGGCTGGAGTGCAGTGGTGCAATCTCAGCTCACTGCAGCCTCCACCTCCCAGGTTCAAGCGATTCACCCACCTCAGCCTCCCAAGTAGCTGGGATTAGAGGGGAACGCCACCACATCCAGCAAATTGTTGCATTCTTAGTAGATGGGGTTTCACCATGTTGCCCAGGCTGGTCTCAAACTCCTGACCTCAGGTGATCCACCCGCCTTGGCCTCCCAAAGTGCTGGAATTACAGGCGTGAGCCACCACACCTGGACCCTCTTTAATCGATCTTTATGTTGATGCCAACTGAGTGTCTAAAGGCACAAATCTGATCACATCAGGGACCTGGTTTAAAATCTTTGGGATATAGTCCCAAATCCTTAATGTAAGCAGGACTTCATAATCTGTCCCCTGCTTTTGTCTCTTTATATTTTATCACTTCCTAATACTGGACCTATAGATGAACTGGTCCATACCAAATTACCTGTCATTACTTGAGTGTATGATCATCCCTTTTGAGATTTCACATTATTCCTTGCTCCAATTACCCTTCTCTCACTCAACTTTCAGCTCAGCTCAGATTCACTTTCTCTATGATGCCTTTTCTAACTCTCCCAAGCTAAAGTGAGTATTGCTCCTGTGTTGCTATTATAACCAGTACATATTTCTTTTTTAAGTTTATTTCCAGCTTTATAGAGGTATGGTTGACAAATAAAAATTGTATATATTTAAGATGTACAATGTGAAGTTTTGATATACATATACTTTGGAAAATGATTACCAAAATCAAGCTAATTAACATATTCATCACCTCACATAGTACCTTTTGTGTGTCCGTGTGTGTGTCTGGTAAGAACATTTAAGATCTACTCTCTTAGCAAATATCAAGTCTATAATACATTATTATTAAACCAGTACATACTTCTGCTTTAATACTTTTAAATTGTTTATCTTTCCTGCTATTTATTCCCTTGAGGACAACAAGTTTTGCACTCTGTAAATATTTGGTGAAAAGGCTTAAACAACAGAACAATTCTAATTTAAAATATTCTATTAAAAAATGGAAATGAGAAGAAGTCATAAAATTAACAACTGGTCCATCCAGCAGGGACTCTTAGGTTGAGCAAATGAGCAAGCAGTAAGTTCCTGAAGAATGCATGTTATCCTAATCATGTAGACCTCAACAGCAGCAACAGCTTTCCTGGTCAACATAAAAAGGCAACAATTATTAGAGTCCTGAATCCCTAACCTAGGGCACAGATTATGAAGTCCAGGTTGAAAGAGTTAAGGATAAGAAGGTCAGGCATCTGCTGGATTTAAAGCCCATGGTAATGGCTAGCGAAACACAATAATCAGGGAAGCTTAAGATCTGGGCATTTTTCTGAAAGATGAGATCCATAGCTCTCATCAGTTCTCAGAGGACCCCATGACTTCAAAACTATTAAGAATCATTGATTTATATAGATGAAGGAGGCATCTCAAAGAGTATGTCAGTAGCTTTAGGGGAAAAAATATAAAACATTAAAAAACTGTACCTATATATTTAGCATGTACTAGATTTAAACTGAACAAATATAATCTAAAAATATTTATGTGCCCATTACTTACTTATTTGGTATCTACAGCTGAGTAAAAATTAAGTTATTTAAAATACCAACGCCATGGAAGAAGGGATCCCCTGAATCTAAGAGCCACAGAAAAAGGAAAAAAATGGCACATTTAAAAGCTGCACCGTCTGACAGCTAAGGTTAAAAAAAAAAAAAAAGCTACAGAAGCAAAAAGCCAAAGTATTGAGTAAGTTATTACCAAACATCTACAGTGTAGGAATAAGTTAAATTCATGAGAAAGCATGTAAAAGAGAAAGAGGTGTAAGAAACAAAATTAATGCTACAATAGAACACTCTTAAAATCGTCACTTTGTTAACCCACTGATCCAAGTCAGACTCCTAAAATGGTCTCTTATGCCATTTGTAGACTTCACTGGAAACACACAAAATGAAAAGGTGTCAACAGGTGAGGACACTCAATTACATTTGGAAAAAAAATTAAGTATTGACAGGCTAGATCTGGATATCATAAATACTATATAAAAAGAAAATTTGAATTTTATACTATTTACAAAATGCCAGTCTTAAACCCCAGGAAAACAGCATAATGATGGTGCTTAACTGTAGTGAACCGTTGGAACAACTCTGAACCAAAAGACCGCACCTGTTCCTGCCCTACATATGTGAGACAAACAGGGGAAACCCACAACCACAACTGACCAAGTGCGGTTCCACTCACCATAGGACTTCTAGTATGGCATGCTTTCAGGAGAAAGATTAAAAACATGATGGCATTAAATAACGTTCCAAGGAAACCACGTGCATGGCACTCAAAGAGAGCTTTTGTTTTTTCCTCTTAAAGATGCTAAGAGACGAGTGTAAACCGTACTGAGTAAGAAATTCTTTTAATAGAAGAAATGGAAAAAAAAAAAAAACACCCCACCTAGCTTGTCCATGTAAATACATGGACTACCAATTGCTGCTGCAGAAAAGTCACATTCCTGGGCATACTGGCATCACAATGCATTCATAAGCTACAATATTAACTAGGATTTAAACACTGCCTGGCAATATTTTGTGTGTGCGCCTACTCAGTTCTTTCTCTGGGTCTACTTAGAATTATTTCAAACTTTTCTTTAAAGACTATCCTTCACTCTCTTAAAAATTCATCATCATCATCACCACCACCACCACCCTCAGTACCCTCACATCCTATTTTGCAGAGGAAAAAGAAAAGCTATCAGAATAAGAACTAATTTTTTGAACCCTAGATCAATTTGACTCATCATCATTTTACAGATGGTAAAACTGAGACTGAAAACAACAAAACCTTGCTGAAATGATAAGTAGTGGAGCTGAGACACTGAATCCACATGTTTTCCTTTCTCCTTGCCTCACCCTGCAACTCCACACACACCATGATCATACTGTAGAAAATTGGGAAGATAGAGGGGAAACCTCTACTTATAAGTAATGGAAATATTTGCAGAAAGAAAATCTCATCTGTAATCCAACCATATTAAAACAAATTATTTTTTTTCTCTTAATACCCATTTATGCTACACTGTACATGCAACACTATGTCCTGCTTTGTTAAAATGTCTTACGCATTTCTTTTGTCATTATATAGTGTTCATCATTATTAAATGTGTAATAACAGCCCAAGAACAAATGTACTATAATTTTTACAACGCTTCCTTTTATTTGCACATTCCCTAAACTTTTCTTTCGTTTCTATTCTGTCTTCTATTCCAACCTCTCTTCCAGTCAAATGCAAAATACTCCATGGGAAATTCCTCATGCATTTAGACAGTTAGTGGCAGGCTTGAGGAAGATACGATATTAGGGGTAAGGACCTTAATCTAGGTTCCAAAAATTGTTAAATTCAGAAGGAAAGCCCTATGCATATATTCCAGATTGGCAGGAGGCAGGGACATATAAGGAACAGTATTTTATTAGGAATAGAAGAAATGAACTTCTTGACATCAAACCTACAAACATTCCTGCATCTCCTCTTGCCACAAGGGTAGAGATGGTCCTCTCCCCTCTCACTTCCCAGCATTTGTGCTTTGGACCTCCTTCTCTCAGGCCTTGTATGGGGTTTTAAACCATTAAAATCTCCTCTCTCCCTGTATCTTCAGACTCTGCCCCTCTACTGTCTCCTTCTCTTAAACACTAAACATGCTAATGTCTCTCCCATCTAAAATGAAAAACTTCTTTTTCTAACCTACACTATTCCTCCAGGTATCATTTCTCATCATAGATGAACCATTTTAAAGAGTTGACTATATACCATTTCCCACTTCCTACCTTCACAGTCACTTCTGAATCTGAAACATTCTTGTTTCCTAGCCCATTACTCAGCTTTATAAGTCATTGATGGCCTTTCCCTAAATCCTAAAAGGACATATGCATTCTGATTACTTTACCTTGCAGTCACAGTTGTCACTACTGACCTTTCTTCTTCCTTCAGAAAACCCTCACTTATTCTTGTTTTCTATTATGCTACACTCTCCTGATTTTCCTCCTACCTTTTTAGCTGAGCCTCTGTCTTTTTTTTTTTTTTTTTTTTTTTTTTTGAGAGAGTCTCACTCTGTCACCTAGGCTGGAGTGCAGTGGCATGATCTCAGCTCACTGTAACCTCCGTCTCCCAGGTTCAAGCTATTCATCTGCCTCAACCTCCTGAGTAGCTGGGATTACAGGTGCCTGCCACCAGTGCCTGGCTTATTTTGTATTTTTAGTAGCGACAGGGTTTCACCATGTTGGCCAGGCTGGTCTCGAACTCCTGATCTCAAGTGATCCACCCGCCTCAGCCTCCCAAAGTGCTGGGATTACAGGCATGAGCCACCATACCTGGCCACCTTCTTTCTCCTTTACAGCCTCTTCTTCCTCCTCATTCCTTGGATGTTAATATTGCAAGGTTTCTGTACAAGGCTCATTTCCCTCCCCACTCATGGGTAATACCATTCAACCATCTCTCTCTCTCTTTCTTTTTTTAGAGATGAGGTATCGCTATGTTTCTCAGGCTGGATTCAAACACCTGGGTTCAAGTGATCCTCCCACCTCAGCCTCCTGAGTAGCTGTTACTATAGACACGCACCACTGCACCCAGCTTCATTTCCCTCTCCTTTAAACATCAGACCCATGTAACCAGATGCCTGCTCAACATCTCCACTTGGATGGTATGTATTTCAGTTTCAGCACAGGGCCTTAACAGCTGAACTCTTCACCAAATCCTACCATTTCTACTTCAAGCTTATATCCCTCAAATCCTTCTACTTCTCTTGCTCCGCAATGATTATACACTAGTTCAAGTAACCATTCTCTACTCCTTACTGCACGAGCCTTCTAAGTGCTCCTCTATTTCTGGACTTATTCGTGTTCCATCCATTATCTATTCTATAGAACTAGAGTGACATGGCTAAGATTGTAAACCTAAAATAAAATTGTAAGGTCCCCCAACCATCTAAATGGACTTCCTCCTTGGCCAGGGCACTCTTAAGATTTAACCTGAAAGACTGGTTCAGGCCATGACAGGAAGTGGGAGTGGGACTTGCCTCATTATATTCTCCAGTGTTAACATCAACACAGACTTTAAATCTGATAAGAAGCATTTACAAGCTATTCTCGCTGAAGCCTGCTACAGGCTTCATCTGCGTAATAAGAAATTTGCTTTCCATAATTGCTTATCTTAATCCAGACAGTTCTTTTCCATTGATCCCAGGTCTTCAGATAAACTCAACCAATTGCCAATCAGAAAATTTTTAAATCTACTATAACCTGGAAGCCCCTGCTTTGAGTAGTCTTGTCTTTCTAGATTGAACCAATGTATTTCTTAAATGTATTTGATTGAAGTCTCGTGTCTCCCTAAGATGTACGAAATCAAGCTGCACCCTGACCACCTTGGGAACATGTTCTCAGGACCTCCCAAGGGCTGTGTCAAGGGCCACGGTCATTTATATTTGGCTCAGAATAAATCTTTTCAAATTTTTTACAGAGTTTTACTCTTTTCTTTGACAAGATGTAAATAAACAGTATTACTCTCCTGCTTAAAAACTGCATTGTATTCTCTTTATATTTCAATTCAAATTCACAGTTTACAAATTCAGCCTCATCCCTAATCACTCTATCACCTCAATTTCCAACATAATGAATTTCTTTCTTTTCTTCCCATGTGCTATACTCTCTCTGCCTTTCACCTCTAAGTCTCTGCACATGGTATGGTTGATCCAAAACATCCCCCTTCTCTATCTCTCCATGCTTTTCTGGCCAACTCTTATATCTACTTAATGCCTTGGCTTAGATATCAGCTCTTCCAGGTGAAATGTATTTGGCATGTGCCTATATGGCACTCTGCATATCCCCTTCAAATACGTCTCTCTCACTGCTTACTTCGTTATTTGTTTTCCCTATAGACTGTTATCAACAAGAGGGTAGGGATGTGTGTGTGTTTTATTCACTGGTGTGTCCACAGTATCAAGCATAGTATCTGGCCCATACAAGACACTGAGTAAGTATTTGTTGAGAGAATGCAATAAACCTTCTAGGTTTGCATGGAGAAACAGGCTCAAAGCCTATGAATAAATGAAACTTTAAAAGATACCACTACCATGTGGCAGAAATACAAAGAAATATAAAGGTATGAACATAACTTCTTCGAGGCAAAAAAAAAAAAATCCATTTGATTAGTTCAGTATCTGTTGAGCACTGTATCAGGTCACTATTTCTCATGAATATGCTTTTCCAGTACAAGAAAATGAAGATAAACTTATTTCACTAACTGCTTATTTGTAACTTATTCCCCCCTTGTTCTTGGGAGTTTTGAGTTTGATGAGTAGCTGTTATTTTGGAACAAGATTGACCTATTACATAAAAGATGCCAATCAGATTATTATCTCCCATTCCCAATCTCCCCAAGAGGAAAAGTGAGGGTTTGAAGAAGCTATAATGGCATGCCAACGCTTATAATTACCTATACAGAAGTCTAACATTGACAACTTGATAACCCACTTTGTAGAAAGCAATTTTTTTTTTTTTTTTTTTTTGAGACATTGTCTCGCTCTGTGGCCCAGGCTGGAGTGCAGTGGTGCAATCTCGGCTCACTGCAAGCTCCGCCTCCCGGGTTCACGCCATTCTCCTGCCTTAGCCTCCTGGGTACCTGGGACTACAGGTGCCCGCCACCACGCCTGGCTAATTTTTTCTATTTTTTAGTAGAGACGGGGTTTCGCTGTGTTAGCCAGGATGGTCTCGATCTCCTGACCTTGTGATCCACCCGCCTCGGCCTCCCAAAGTGCTGGGATTACAGGCGTGAGCCCAGCCTGAAAGCAATCTTATAACTAGTTTGACAATCAGAGAGTCAAGGCTACCAAGCCCTGCTCTCTCCCAAATTCATATATTGAAATGAAGGGTTGAGTTTTTAAATAAATTCCTGATTTGAGGGGGTGGGCATTACCAATGTGATGGTATTTGGAGATGGGGTCTTTGGGAAATCCTTAGGTTTAGATGAGATCATGAAAGTGGGACCATCATGATGGGACTAGTTCCCTTATAAGCAAAGACACAAACAGCTTGCTCTCCCCAATATGTAAGGACACAGTGAAAAGGTGACTGTCTACAAGTCAGGAAGACAGCCCTCACCAGAAACTGATCATCCTGGTATTTATCTTGTACTTCTAGCCTCTAGAATTGTGAAAAGTAAAATTCTGCTGTTTAAGCCACCTATTCTACGGTATTTTGTTATGGCATCCCAAGCCGTTACAGAATTGTACTTACAGTTGGAGATTCCACACACTGGTTCCAATTCCAGTTGAACTCAATAGTAGTATATTTAAGTTAAATTACACTAGTGCTGGTTTTTAAGGGTTTTTTAAAAAGTGCTACCTTCCAGAAAATTTTAGAAAATGAAAAAATAAAAAGGAAGCATGAAATCATAAACAGGTATAGTACAGGCCTATTGAAATGCATCATCAAGCCAGTAAAAATGGAATAAAGGATACTTACCACCACCAAGAATGTAAGAATCCTGGTGGTTCCCCCAATGTGATGTTTTTTTCCCATCTTATCTAAAATGAATAAAAGAGATATTACTTTCCTAATAATACTTTTTTCCACACATATTACAAAGTAATAATATCCCCATTTAAAATACTATAGTAATATTTGAATTTTTCATCATTTTCATGATATTTTTTACCCAAGTTTTGCAAGTACTCATTTTACAAGTGATTTGTTGACTGGATTAGTCTCAGAGAGATGTCACCACTATTTTCCTGAATTTGCTTCATACTGTGCCAGTTATAAAGCTCTAGTCTTTCAGTTTTAAATCCATCTTTCTGTGGTCTTTCAGATGCTGAGACTGGAGATCCATACACTACCTTTGTCCTTCATTAAATGGCTTCCTGTTAGGTCCCATAAACTAAGAGATGCTCTAGAGGGAGACTGGAAGTAAGAAGAGGGGAAATGGATTTGTTTTCTGTTAGCTTACTATTCCTGTGAGGGTGACCCCAGCAGCAGTTCATCCAGTGATAATAGCTGTGACAATAGCTGGTTCCATTCTAGCTTTATCCCACACAACCAGAACCAGTCTCTTTGTGCCACTCAGAAGTATCAGCACAGCTGGGCAATATCTCTCTTCAGAGGTTAAAGGTAAATTTGAGCTCTTCAAGTAACAGCAGTCCCACACTCCCTCTCCTTAGAGGTCTAAGATTCAGCTCCCTGAGATTTCTCCTCCAATTTTTTTGATAACCACAAGCTCTTCCTTTTGGTGCCTCAGCCCTAGTGATTGCTCACTGAAATTATTGATTTTATGTAACTTCTGTGTGCTGTTGTTGCTTTCTTTAAAATCTGTTTAGCTATTTCCACATATTACATTCTCTGTTGAAACACTCAGCGTGCTTTTAATTGGTGTGGCTGTATTCTCACTGATACATCACTTCAAATATCCTTTCATAAGGTAAAAATATTAAAAATATCTTCATTTTAAGCAGAATGGGATATGGGCATAAACTTTAACTTTCCTACATACTAGCTGTGTGAAGTTGCGAAAGTTACTTAAATCTTCTGTGACTCAGTTTCCTCATCTATAAAATGTGGTTAATAATAGTCACCTATATCACAAGGTTGTTGTGAGGAAAAAACTGGTTAGTACATGAAAATCACTTAAAAGAGTAATTGAGACCCAGCCATCCCATTACTGGGTATATACCCAAAGGACTATAAATCATGCTGCTATAAAGACACATGCACACGTATGTTTATTACGGCGATATTCACAATAGCAAAGACTTGGAACCAACCCGAATGTCCAACAATGATAGACTGGATTAAGAAACTGTGGCACATATACACCATGGAATACTATGCAGCCATAAAAAATGATGAGTTCACGTCCTTTGTAGGGACATGGATGAAATTGGAAATCATCATTCTCAGCAAACTTTCGCAAGAACAAAAAACCAAACACCGCATGTTCTCACTTACAGGTGGGAATTGAACAATGAGAACACATGGACACAGGAAGGGGAAAATCACACTCTGGGGACTGTTGTGGGGTGGGGGGAGGGGGGAGAGATAGCATTGGGAGATATACCTAATGCTAGATGACGAGTTAGTGGGTGCAGCACACCAGCATGGCACATGTATACATATGTAACTAACATGCACATTGTGCACATGTACCCTAAAACTTAAAGTATAATAATAATAAATTTGAAAAAAAAGGATCCAAAGTATATAAGGAACTCAGTCAACTCAACAGCAAAAAATAAATAACCTGATTTAAAAAATAAAAAAATAAAATAAATAAAAAATAAAAAATAAAAAGAGTAATTGACAGGCCGGGCTCAGTGGCCCAGCTACTCTGGAGGCTGAGGCAGGAGAATCGCTTGAACCCAGGAGGCAGAGGTTGCAGTGAGCTAAGATCCCACCACTGCACTCCAGCCTGACAGAGCAAGACTCCGTCTCAGAGGGAAAAAAAAAAAAGGAGTAACTGACATGCAGTAAGTGCCTGGTAACTGTTAGGTGCTATTATTTTTTTTTTCTTTTACCTAGGAGGGTATCCCTGTAAAAACTTTATTACATCATCATTGTCACCAGCACCCACAAAATTCCAGTGATATTCTATATAAAAATATTCAAAGTATTTAGGGTTGTGCCAAACAATTTTAACTTACTAATCAGAATAGTTTTCATCTTGCTGGAAACCATACATGTAACTAGGAAAAAGGAACAATCAGAGTTGGAACTAAGCAACAATTGTCTATGCTCCTAGCATAAATGGAAAAAGTAAAAATGAATCATTTAAACAGAAAATTAAGCTTCTATTTAAAATCATTTCAGAATTAGTGCCCTGTTACACTGAGTTATCATGTATACCAAATTCAGATCACCATTAAAATATCATTCTAAAGCTAACTCCATTTTTGAGGTTTTTCTTTTCTTTCTTTCTGTTTCTTTTATTGAATCAGAAGGTATTTCAGGATCTTAAGGCACAAAAAACCACCATTATTACTGTCAATATGAACATCAATTATCACCACTCACCCAGAAACTTGCAAGAGATTAGGCTTAATATTTTGACTTCAAATTATACCTTAAGGGTTGAGTTTTTAAATAAATTCGTGATTTGAGGGTGTGGGCAGAAGAAGACATAAGTCTCTCATAAAATAAGAGTTTTTAAAAGTTGCTGATATTAACTTTCTAATTGTTTACATTTCAGCTAAGTTAGAGTTTACTATAATAAAAATTTAAAACAAGGTCAATATCTCTAAAAAAGTAAAAGTTCTGACTAAATACTTTTGCATGGATGTCTGAATAAGTATTCATACAGTGCCTTTTCTAAGCACTGGATAGCAGTAAACACAAAAGACAGAAATCCCTTCCTTTAGGGAAATTACACCTCAGTAAGGAAGATAGACCCAAACAAAGAAACAAACAAAAAAGTAAATTATGTTTATATGAGAAGGTGACAAATGCAGTGAAGGAAAACTAAGCAGAGAAGGGGGATAGAAAGAGCAGGAAAACAGTAAAGTGGAATTACAACTTTAAATACGGAGATCCAGAAAGATCTCAAAAAAAAAAAACTCTATGCATAAGTATATGCCTTAGTTTTTTTAGCTTAAATCATAAAAATTATGTAACAATACCCCAATCAGTAAAATATGCCCAGAGGCCCTTAATACTACTAAGAAGTGAACAACTGTAATTACAGATTTCAAAAAAATTCAAGGAATTCTTTCCATCATCTACTATGTAAGAAGTTAGGAATTCTTATCCCAAAAGGACTTTTTAAAAGTTTTAAAACAGGAACTCAGAAAGTGGTCCTAAATGTAGAAACAACCAAAAATCCTCTTTAATAAAAAGATGAAAAAAGTTAAGTGTCATTAAAATCACTGAAATTGGTTGCATTTTCAGAGTTCTTAAGTACATAAAGTATAAATAAATGGGAACCTTGAAGTAAAACAAGTAATTTGTTCTCAAAAAATAAGAGAAATTTTTTGAAGATTAGAAATGGGGCCAGGCGCAGTGGCTCACGCCTGTAATCCCAGCACTCTGGGAGGCAAAGGCAGGTGGATCACCTGAGGTCAGGAGTTTAAGCCAAAATGGTGAAACCCCATCTCTACTAAAAATACAAAAATTAGCCAGGCATGGTGGTGTGCGCCTGTAGTCCCAGCTACTCAGGAGGCGGAGGCAGAAGAATCACTTGAACCCAGGAGGCGGAGATTGCAGTGAGCCGAGATAGCACCACGGCACTCCAGCCTGGGCGACAGAGTGAGACTCTGTCTCAAAAATAATAATATTGATAATAATAATAATGTAATAGCCATTTTGAGGTGCTAAAAGGAAAAATTCCAGGGATTAAGGAACTTGAAGTTAGAAAAACTACATATGAACAATAAACCAGAACACATCATATAAATATAGGCCAGATCCTAATTTTAATTATCCTAAGTGGTAATACAAATAATTTGTATATGTATGCCATCTTTTATCTGATAATTTCAGTTCATCGACATTTTATATTATCTTGGTTCATAAAAAATAAGAAATAATATTTAATGAGATTTATGAGAAACAAAACTCTGATGTCCTGCTAAAATTATAATTTAGTCAAAAACCTATGTCTCATCCTTCTCTCAAAAACTCTGATGTCCTGCTAAAATTATAATTTAGTCAAAAACCTACGTCTCGTCCTTCTCTCAAAAACTCTGATGTCCTGCTAAAATTATAATTTAGTCAAAAACCTATGTCTCATCCTTCTCTCAAACTTTTCTCTTACCACTTTTTCACTAGTTGGTATCTTCTTGAAAGAACATAAGAATAAATAAACCCTCACCAACGTACTCAGACACACTAATATTCCTAATCACTAGAACCATCCTAATCATATGACCAGCAAATTTTTCAAAGTACTGTCCTTATGTTTCATCTCAGTTCATCTTGACTTTACATAATATGACTGTGAAATAAATAGATTTTACTATACTCAGTTAAAAGAACAATGTGACATAGCTTATGGAGGAGTGAAAATGGCATGACTAGGTTTCAATGCCAGGGTGTGCGGGAGGTAGGATTAGACTCACAGTCTATGAGACCCACTGCCCCTCATCCTTACTAAGCAGCCTCCCCTCATGCACTTCCACAACTTCCACAGTCCATCTCCAGCTGTCTCGGGAGATAAAGGACTAAAGGAAACTACCTATATGGTTTGTATTTGATATGGTCTTTTATGAGAAGAAGCCTGAGGTAATACATTTGTATTTTAAACAGTTTTACATCATATTATTCCTCAGAGAAACTAAAAAAGCATCACATATATCATCATTTCATGCTCACAATATTTTTTACTACATAGTATTCATCCTTCTCTCCTTAAATTACAAGTCTGTGCCAGAAGCAGGTAAAACTTCCGTCCATCATACTGAAGTTAACATAAAATCCACCCTTTTATAGTTATTGAATGAACCACACTTAAAGCTATGTTTTAGGTATGTCCACAGAAGAGATGGTCTGTGTTTACACAGTGAATATTGCTAAGTCCAAATGGATCACTATTCTAGATACCACTTGTTTAAAAAAAGCATAAAATGGTGCTCAAGAAGAGCCAAAATAGAATCCTGACCTGTAGAAAACTAAACCACATTCACTGTAGTATTGTTAGAAAAAAATGAAAATTAGAAACAGCCTGAGAAACATTCACTAGTGGTGACTGTAAAATAAATCTTGATACTTACATACTACAGAACAGTGTGCTATCATTAAAAAGAATGAAATACAGCTACCTGGAAAGAGAATCATGCTCTACTGGTTTTTCAAGATGGAAATTTGGAAGGTTGGAGAATATTATGTATAGCATAAAACCTTTCTGCTTGGAAAAAAAAAAGTATGTATACATACATATGTGTGCTTGTAGGTGTGTGTGCATTTTTAAAAATCACATCAAGCCTACAACTATTATCTGGAATAGGGAAAAGGAGGACTTTCATTTTAAATTATATTCTACGTAGTTTAATTTTGTTTTTTAGCAAATATGAATTAATGATGGGTGGTATTGAGGAATGGCCAGAAAATATTCCTAAATGTCAGCAGTCATGTTAAAAACAAATTTTCTGCTGTTTCTGAAGAGGTATTTTCTGTTGTATTGAGTTTCGTGGGCTTCAGGCCTATTTAGGTTTTTGGGTGGCATCTTTGCCAATAACATTTTCTCTTTATTCTGTTTCTTTTTCTTCCATTATCCCAGCATCAATGTGTATTTGCCCAGTCCTAAGGCTTTTTGCTGCTTAATTATCTACCTCACTTCCTTCTGTCATTTGACCAGCCAGGGGCTGTATTCTCCTTTAACTTTCATGTAAATCTCAAGGCCCATTCCTAATGCCATATTCTGCACTTCATGGCCTTGTCTATGAATATGCTGTTTTTATCATATGATCTAACATTTTCAGCATTTCTTCATAAATGTAAAACCAAACATTGAATCATGAACAAAAGGTATATCAATAGGAAAAAGACATGTCTTGTGGTTTAATTATAAAATACATACTATCTGATGGTCACATGTGGGAAATTTTACATATATGTAACAATTTTCATTGAAGCATTGTTTTAATTGAAAGAGACTGGAAACACCTAAATGTCCATCAGTACAGGGCTAGTGAACTATATCATGGCACATTTCATAGAATGAAATATGCTACAACCATAAAAAGAGAATTATGACATTTCATGAACCAATATAACACAATTTCCAAAATCTAACAAGTGAAACAAAAATTAAAGCACAGAATGGTGTATAAGCTAACATTTGTACAAAAAAGAAAAAATGATATAGATGTACATACATAAATATATACAGGTATACACACACACATTTGCTTAATTTTTCATTCTTATTTGCTTCTGGCAAGGTATACTGGTCATTTACCTATTATCTCTCAGCCCTACACCCACCCTTCTATACTCCATTCTATACTTGGGGCTGGGATTCTGAAAATCACATTTCCTAACCTCCTTGCCATTTGGCTTCCTGTTAAGTTCTGCCATCAGGAGACACTAGCAGGAGATCAAAAAACAGGAAAAAGAGAAGCTTCCTGCCTCTGGCTCCAAAAGTGAAGCCGGGATAGCACGATTCTGGATGCCGGCAGTACCTTTTTGGGGGTTCTAGTCTTGTCAATGTGGGACCTCTTCAGCAGATCCAGACCCACTTCCACAGCATCTCCAACAATGCAGCAGCAGGTTTGAAGGTGATGGGTTCCAAACTTTTCATAGTACCCATAAATCCTTTCATAATTTTTAATTTAAACCAATATCCAAAGAATAACTTTTAATACCATAAAACAATAAAACCAATTCCTGTGTTAAGAAAATAACCTGTATACCTATGTGTAAGTTTCTTTCTAGACTAAATTCCTGAGACTTCTAATTTAGACATAACCTACTGTTCCCACCAATTTTCTAAAATCTCTCATGTATAGAAGCATGAGTATATCTATATACTAAACCAAATGTAAAAAAAGTTGAAATTGAAGTAAACATTTTTCCTTTCTTTTTTTTTTTTTTTTTTTTTTTTTGAGATGGAGTCTTGCTTTGTCACCCAGGCTGGAGTACAGTGGTGCGATCTGGGCTCACTGCAACCTCCACTGCCCAGGCTCAAGCGATTCTCCTGCCTCAGCCTCCCGAGTAGCTGGGATTACAGGAGCCCACCACCATACTCGGCTAATTTTCGTATTTTTAGTAGAGACGGGATTTCACCATGTTGGCCAGGCTGGTCTCAAACTCCTGACCTCATGCAATCTGCCCGCGTCAGCCTCCCAAAGTGCTGGGATTACATGCGTGAGCCACCGCGCCTGGCCCAAATTTTTACATTTTAATTCAAAAAATTAAAGGCAATAGATGTTTAACAGGAAGAAAAAGCTGACTATACTTTGAAGCAGATCATCTAAAACTGTGCTGTTCAACATGATA
Source organism: Homo sapiens (assembly GCF_000001405.40). Classification (NCBI taxonomy): domain Eukaryota; kingdom Metazoa; phylum Chordata; class Mammalia; order Primates; family Hominidae; genus Homo; species Homo sapiens. The sequence continues at coordinate 81,644,015 of NC_000005.10, forward strand.
CTCGGTAGTCACGTGTGGCTATTTCAGTTTAAAATTAAGTTAACTGAATGTTCCTCAGTTGCACTAGCCATATTTAAAGCTCATAATAGTCACACATAATTAGTGGCTACCTTATTTAACAGCAAAGATTAGAGACCATTTCTATAATCACAGAAAGTTTTATTGAGTAGTGCTGCTTTCTTTTAGAAGAATGAAAGAAGTCTTCCTAAAGAGGACTACCTCTTATTGGGAAAACTCCTTAATGGATCCTTTCTATTTTTGTTTTTATTTTTTTGACACAGAAAGACAGAAGCCACTAGGAATGGTGCAAAAGGAAGAATGCAGAGAGGAAAACAAATACTTGACTTTCTATGTAACAAGAATTTAGGAAGTTGCTCATGGTCTCTTAGGAAGAAGCTCGGGGGTCTGGAAGGATTCAGAAAAGGAAAAATGAGAGAGGTTATGAGAAGTCAACAAGATAGAAGGCAAAGGCATGCTGAGGAAAACAGCTTAGTGAAAAATTCCCTGTAGCAAGGAGACCACAGAATTTAAGGTAGCTTATGTCTAGTATTCAAGTTAATGTTGGTGCCTATACTGTACAATGCCTAATCTTTTTGGCTATCCCTCAACCTTAAGTGAGAATCTTTCATACAAAAGAGCAATGAGTTAGTGGACCTCTGAAATCATGAGAAAAACAGAAAACTTCAGGCATAAAAAAGGGATAGACCATAAGAGGGAGAACCAGAGTGGGGCTATAATCACTCAACAAGAGCAAGAACCTACAGTACAAGAACCCTAAGCACCCAATAAAGGCTCACAGATACTGGAGAAGACTTGCAACAATCTACAATATTAGGGATTAGAGCTGGACCCATTTTTATAGAAAGAGTAACACCAAACAGTAGGATTATGGGCCATCCAAGTGACAGACACTTGGAACGCACATGTACACATCAGGCACATATTTATGCCTCTATTTTTGTTTAAATAAGAAACTATACAAGATAGAAAAAAAGTTGGTCAAGATTTTTTAAAATGACACTTTTGAACACTTACTATAGGCCAGGCACTATTATAAGCAATGTGCATATACTAACTCATTTAAACCACAGCATAACTAAAGTATTGTTACAATTATCATCATCTTATAACTAGGAAACTGAGAAAGTAAATAAGATGTAGAACATAATTTAAACCCAGGATGTCTGGCCCAAAGCAATTGCTTTTACCTCCTATACTATATTGCCTCAAAATTAAAGTTCGAGAGACTGGTTAGGAAATACTAATTAATATTTTCTCTCTTCATATAGGTAAAAGGCAAACAGAACAGAGTTTTGGAGTCTATGATGCTCAATAATTTAGCAATCCTAATAAAATCTGAAGAAGGAATCCCTTAGATGTTTTTAAGCTTCTATTTCAGGCTAACTTGTTGGCTAACTTATGACAAAGAAGGGGTAGTCATAATGCAAAAATTTTAAGAAAGGGAAAAAATCTAGAATCTTTATAAAACTCTAATTCTTAATTTCATTTGTTAAGGGTATTGAGCCTCATTCTGAGACATGAATACCATGCAAAACTTCAAGGAAGAGCAGCCATTATCTTTGTATAACGAAATGATATGACCAGAAAAAGGATAGCTTCTAATGAATCTAAAGTAACAAAAGTTAATGTAGAATTGGAAAGAAGATTCCTTAGCATTCTGTTTGTAATTATTAAATGTTGAAGAATAACAAAGATAAAAGCAGAGGAAGGGCTTTGTATTGAGAATATCTCTAAATAATATTCCATTTTTTCCCCTTGGGAGTAAAAAAAAAATGAAAAGTCACATAAACTACATTTTGGATTCAGGTAGTGGTTTAAAATCTATCATGAATCAGAGGTAACACTGAGCTAGTTGGCACAACCTAGTTAGAGAAATGTTTTTATTTCTATTGTTAGTCCATTTTTTCTTTTAATTAAGAAAAAATGACTGGGTTAATAATAATGTGCCCCACTCTTCTGACTGATAACAAAAGCCATCAAGAGCAGTCCAATTTCTGATAGCCCAGGACAAGGGCATTTTTAGAAAATCAAGATTGGGCAGCTGAGATACACATCTTGCTTGTTCAGATAATGCCTGGAGTTCCAGTTGGCCTTCTCGCAACTTCACCCAAAAGAACAAGCCCATACTAATGAAAGAAGTGACCCAGCACAGTAAAACCTGATTCAGAAGAGCTCATTAACATCACGGTCCTTCTTAGCCTCATCTATCCAGAGGAAGAATGTCAAATTTGGAAGAAGTGGTCTACTTCTCCTTGAACCAGGGTGAGAACATTGGATAATGTTATAATAATTGATAACAATTGGTGCCATTTCAATCATTTCCATTTTATTATAATAACCAACTCAAATAAGTAAGTCTCCCTATTTTACATTCCCATGGAACTATTTTGATTTAGGTAAAAACCTGGGGGTAGACTAGGGAGGATTTAGGTAAGATTGTTTTTTTACTACTCAGACCAGTTAAGAAGTCATTCTACAATAAGCGGCCTCAAATTTTCTGCCTGATCGAAGAGAAACTCAGAGAGAAAGCAACCCTCAACATAAATTATTACATTCTCTAAAATATTACATTCTCCTTTTTTTTTTTTTTTTTACCATCCATGGTTAGGGCAAAAGGGCACCAAGACACCAGAGTACAAACCTGATGATGTCATTTTTTTTTTTTTTTTTTTTTTTTTTACTTTAAAACCTTCAAAGGCTCCCTTTTTCCAAAGATAAAGTCCAACTTCCTGGCATGTATGCAAAGGTCTTCATGTGCAGGTCCCTGTAGATTGTACTATCACCTTAGGTGAAACCCTGGGAAAACCGTTCTAGGAAAAGCTACTTCTAAGGTGGAGAGGGGAGGAGAGTTTTAGGCAGAGGGAATATGCCACTGAGTAAAGCCCAGATGACAGAAGCCCCATGGTATACAGGAAAACCCAAGCAGCTAGATACTGTAGAACATAAAATGTGAGGGAGGAAATAGCAAACTATTGTAATTTAACCAACTGAAATTATCAAGAACTCTAGGATGTACTCAGCAATGGCTTATCACAAATCTATCTCCAGGCTTCCATCTTTTAAGTTCAGATAATTTACGAGAATATATTTTCTCTTCTTTAGTTTTGTTTTTAAATAACTGTACAAATAATATATGTATTCCTTGTTTAAAAGAATTCTGTGACTAAGGATAAAATCCCTTTGAACCCTTTAATGTCCCCACTCCCAAAACAACTAGTCTGGCATGTAAGTTCTTTCAGAACTTTTACTATACTTTATATTCATACTATACTTTATATTCATAAATATGTACCCACAAAAATATATAGTATTACTTTATGTACTAGGGTTTCCAGATACATGGCATACTTTGGCTTTCTTCTCTTACTAGACAATGTTTTGGAAGTCTATCTACATAAGTCCAAATTAATCTAACTTATTATTTTACATTATTAAAAACTTACAGCTCAATTAATTTAGCCATTCCCCTACATTGGTTATTTAGGTATTGATAATGCATTTTTACAGCACCATTCAGAGTTTGGCAGCCTAGATAGTGAAGAATAGTTCTGAAAATCACATACACTTATCTCCAAAGTCTAGAAATAATGTGTCTTCTTGGTGATAATAGTTCGTTTTCAGTTTGACGTCTCGTGTGAAAGTGAGGTAGACTAATAATTAAGAGAAATCCTCAGTTTTTGTATTCAAAATGCAGCCAGAGAAAATGAAATAATGACAAATACTTGTCAATATGTGTGAATCTCTTCTGAAATTCTGATTTCATTTCCACCAAACAGTCCTAGAAATTCTGTATATACATTTTCCACTGAGCTCAAAGCCTAGGAGTCTAGTATCTAGTTATTTGCTTAATCCACATAATGCATTTGAATCCAAATACTTGAACGTCCTTGAATAAGTTAGCAACATTTTTCTTTTTTGATGAGGTTTAATAATCACTGTATCTAATATCTTACAATGTTGGTAAGAAAATATAGTTTTGGGAACCTTCCAGGATTAAGTGAATTGAGCCAATTCAAAATGGTCCTTGATACAAGGAAGGAGATCATTAAATCTTTTAAGTTTCTACTGCATTAAAACAAAAATTTTAAATTTCCAGAGTGCACTATAGATTCCTTTAAGACACTGTAAGTTGACAGTGGTTAAGAATACAAAAAGACATCCTTTTTGCAATCTCAATCACTTCTTCTATAATATCAGTGAATGCGACTTAGAAAGGTCATTGCCCTAAGTCTTCTAACTAATGATTTCATGAAACACAGATACACCAAATTTTTGTTTTGATTTGAATAAACTTTTGAAATCAAATTTTTATTATACTGCATATATTCCTTCTATAGTAAAACAACTGAGTTCTTACATGTTCTGGCTAAACCTCTAAAATTCCTTATCTGCAAATAAGCCCTACCAGTTCACATATACTAGTTAATTAGAAATAAGAGTGAGGGTTGTGTGCGTTTGTTTACTTTGAGCTGCAGCTAAATCTCAAGAAGGCTATACCTCAGGCAGGGAACTATTGGCAATGAGTTGTCTGTTGTGCTCTTGATGTGCTGGGGACCAAACTGGTGAGATCACCAGAGATAATACGATTTCAAGCAGCACTGTCCAACAGAAATAGAAACATGGGCCACAAATAAGAGCCACATGTATAATTTAAAATTTTTTAATTTTTAATTTTTATGGGTACATAGTAGTATATATATTTATGGGGTACATAAGATATTTTGATACAGGCATATAATGTGTTATCTAATTTAAAACTTCTAATAGCCACAAAAACTTTTAATAGCCACATTTAAAAAGAAAAGGTAAAATTAATTTTAGTAATATATTTTATTTTACCTAATATAGGCAAAATATTATCACTTCAATGTATGACCAAAATTTTAAAATTATTAATATTTTATATTCTTTTGTTCACACTGTCTTTAAAATACTGTACTTCACACATATAGCACTTCTTAATTGCATCATATTTCCAGTGCTCAAAAATCTATATATGGCTAGTATTTACCATATTGGACAGCACAGATATAGAGGAAAAACCAAAAGCACTGGGATTAACATAGACCTAAGTCTGAATTCTAGTTCCATAACTCACTAAGCTCTGTGGCCATGAGCCAGTTATATAAACACTCTGAGCCTTGTTGTCCTCATCAGTAAAACGGAAAGAATATAACCTGCTATGCAAATTTCTTATAAGAATTAGAGATAATATATGTAAAATACCTTGGCACATTGTATGCCTGGCACATAACAGAGCTCAATAAAATCCTCATCATCCTCATATACATAGGAGACAAACAAGCACCACTGTAAGAAAGGTCAAATTCCAGCCAACCTAGGTGCCTATCAGTGGTGGATTAGATGAAGATGGGGTACATATACACCATGGAATACTACGCAGCCTAAAAAAGAATGAAATCATGTCTTTTACAGCAAGATGGATTAAGCTGGAGGCCATAATAATAAACAAATTAACACAAGAACAGAAAACCAAATACTGCACATTCTCACTTAGAAGTGGGAGCTACACATTGAGCACACATGGACATAAACACGGGAACACTAGACACTACAGACTACTAGAGGTGAGAGGGAGGGAGGGGAACATGAATGGAAAAACAATCTATTGGCTGCTATGCTTACTACCTGGTGACAGTATCTATACCCTAAATCTCAGCATCACATAATATGCCCATGTAACAAACCTGCACAAGTACCTCCTTATCTAAAATAAAAGTTGAAATTAAAAAAAAAAAGAAAGAAAGTGAAGGTGGAGAAGAGAAAGAGAAGAACTTGAAATAAGGTTATTAAAATGTTTTCTAACTACAATCAATCAGCGATCATCCATACAAAATAAACAAAATCCACATTTTCCAAAATTATGATATTGTTCGAGTGAGAGATATGGTTGAGGGTTTATAACTCTCACAAATTTTTTAGAGTAAATTTTTAAAATTTGCTTTCTTGATTATTGTTGCCATGCTAATATTACTTTCCATTTCTAAAAAGAGAAAATGGCTGGAAAGGTGACTAGAAGATTGAGTGGCACAGAAGTGGCATGGGGATAAAAATGCTTATACATAATCTATAAAAACTATACTATGTATACGGATAACTAGGAATTCACTATATAATACATAACAAACTTTTTTCAAATAATTATTATAGTGTGTTTTCCATTCATTTATATAAGATCAAAATGCAATACAGAAAATATATAAAACATACCTCTGATAAAAATGTTTGAGCTGATTTCTGAGCTCCTACATGGAGCAGATATTCATATACGTAGAGTGCTAACCTGGAAAACAAATAAAATATTTATTGAGAAGAGGAATATTAAAATTCATTCTTTAAATAATGCACATCTTTCCATTGCTGAAATATCTTACACACTAACAGTGACCAAAAATAAACCCTTCCCATACTATTTCAATAGGAATTATTAATAATACATGTATGTTCAGAAAGAACTTAAAGTAATTAAAAGTAGCACATGAAGAAAAAGACAAATGTATTTTTTCTTGGCAAGAAATATATAGAGATTTTTTCTTGAATCATCTCACTTATCATAAGCTCATTCCCATTGCTATATCTATTAATAATCTCTAAATCCCATTTGAAGACATAATAACCTTTCATTAGTAAAAGAAATGAATTAAGTTAGTGAACTTTCCCAATACTTTATGTCCTTCAATCTTTTTGGCGAATGTTAATATAAACTCTAGCTGTTTGTAGAAACATATGCCACAACTTGCGTTGAATATCCATTTTAATATTTGCTCAGCAACTTCTCCTTATTCTTTAGATTTGATTGTTAAGCCAATAATACTTTAGTTTATAAGGCATTCAAATTCACAGCAAACTACAGCATTATGTAAACTTTAAAGATATCAGATCATATTAAGCATATGGGAGCTTACAGTTTAAAGGTTAACAAAATTATGTATAAATTTTTCATTCAAATATAGAATATTCAATGTGTTGTATACACAAACTACTCTCATTATCTTGTGGATTCAGAATTTTGAAGCTACACCATGTGGCTCAATTTCAGTTGAGCTGTTAACAAAATATTATTCATAAACCCAAATTAGTCTGAGGCAGTATTTTTAATGATATCTTGGACCAATGCCCAGATAGCTCACAACAGTTCAGTTTCTGCTACACTATATTTACCAATATTGAACCAGGTTTACAGTAAACAATACAATGTAACAATAACCACAATTCTGTGGTTATAGTTGTACCACTTCTCTTGCCAAGCAGATTTTCGACTGTTAAAGATTGATGGCATTTACAAAAATGAGTATTTTCCTTATTTTCATGAAAACATATCATGCATCTGTCATGAAAAGAGAAAGCTTGTACAAATTCAGTTGCTCTGTCCATTTAATTCTTTCCCCATTCCAAAATTGCCAAATACTTAAAATGAGAGTTATTCTGTAGCTACTAAACACCTTGAGAGAGTAGACCTGTTAAAGTTACTCATAGAAAGTAAGTTATTGACAGTGAGGATGAATGTAATTTAGAAACATCTCCAAACATATTCAAATTGAATGACACTTCCTACATCAGTGCTTCTCAACTCTTTTTCCTACCCTAACACAATAAGCTATATAGCAGGCTCCTTTCAGTAGCAGGATCTCCCTGTGGAAGTGTGGCTTATCACCCAAAGTACATCATAAGGGATACAGGAAATTGGAATATTCCTGTAGTTTCAAACAATCCTGCTGGTGATTCTTATCACACATTCTTCAAACACATACCCCACACCTTGTTCCCTCCACTAGTGACTCTCAACTCTACCGCATGATTCAGTGCCCATGATGGCAAATTGTATCTTGGAAAAGGATAATATTTGTAAAATCTTCTTGGATAGGCTGTGGAACCTCAAAATTGCCTGCCAGTGGCAGTTCTGCCCCACTGCCTGAAAAAAAAACATAGACTCAGGTAATTCCATGTGGCTTCTAAACCCTAAGCCTAGAGCCAAACCAGTGGTTAGCATAGGAAAGAAATCCACACCTAAGTAAAAGGCTGAACAATAAAGCTGGTCCACCAAGCTTGGGGAATTTGAAAGTGAGAGGCAGAGAGTGAATGAAGCAGGGGCACCATGACAGGCCTGGTATGGAGAGAACAGACTTCAGAACGGTCAAGGCCAGGGTACATCTGTGGCTGTGTCCTTTCAATAAACCCCATTCCTTTAAGTGAGTTACCTCCTTGTAACGTCTTCTTTTTCATATTAACGGGGGTAATATAGTTAGAAGCTTCTAAGTTTTCTTTAGTACCTAAGAAACAAAAAGTTTACCTATTTACAAGTAAAATTAAGTGACAGTCCTCACTTTCTCTCTCTATAAGTCTAAAACAGTGATTCTAAAAAATGTATTGGAAGGAACTGAGAATAACAGGGGGTAAGGGTTTCAACTGGAGATTCTGAAGTATCTTCTAAGGGTGTGAGCCCATCCTCCTACCATTAGAATCTGCTGTGGCAGCTCATTGTTACCAACAGGGTGATGAAGTGGGATCCGGCTGAGAAAACCTATCTATAATGCTACCTCATATATTCATGTTCTGCAATCTCCTTTGAACAAAATTAATGGTTCTCAGGCAATCAGAATCTATGCTCCAAAAAGGGTGTCAGGGAGCAATGCATGGGTGAACAACTAATTAAGTCTACTGCCATGATGACTCCATAATACATGATCAGCAATCTCCAATTTTTTTTTTTCATAGAATTTTTGGGAACGAGCTGTGTTTGATTACATGAGTAAGTTCTTTAGTGGTGATTTGTGAGATTTTGGTGCACCCATCACCCGAGTAGCATACACTGTACCCAATTTGTAGTCTTTTATCCCTCACCCCCCTCCCACCCTTTCCCCCAAGTCCCCAAAGTTCACTGTATCACTTTTTTTTTTTTCATTATACTTTAAGTTCTGGGATACATGTGCGGAACGTGCAAGTTTGTTACATAGGTATGTATACACATGCCACGGTGGTTTGCTGCACTCATCAACCCCTCATCTACATTAGGTATTTCTCCTAATGCTATCCCTCCCTTACCCCCTCACCCACCGACAGGCCCCAGTGTGTGATGTTCCCCTCCCTGTGTCCATGTGTTCTCATTGTTCAACTCCCACTTATGACTGAGAACATGTGGTGTTTGGTTTTCTGTTCCTGTGTTAGTTTGCTGAGAATGATGGCTTCCAGCTTCAACCATGTCCCTGCAAAAGACATGAACTCATCCATTTTTATGGCTTCATAGTATTCCACAGTGTATATGTGCCACATTTTCTTTATCCAGTCTATCACTGATGGGCACTTGGGTTGGCTCCAAGTCTTCGCTATTGTGAATAGTGTTGCAATAAACATATGTGTGCATGTGTCTTTTTAGTAGAATGATTCATAATCCTTTGGATATATACTCAGTAATGGGATTGCTGGGTCAAATGGTATTTCCAGTTCCAGATCCTTGAGGAATCGCCACACTGTCTTCCACAATGGTTGAACTAATTTACACTCCCACCAACAGTGTAAAAGTGTTCCTATTTCTCCACATCCTCTCCAGCATCTGTTGTTTCCTGTCTTTTTAATGATCACCATTCTAACTGGCATCAGATGGTATCTCATTGTGGTTTTGATTTGCATTTCTCTAATGTCCAGTGATAATGAGCTTTTTTTCATGTTTGTTGGCTGCATAAATGTCTTCTTTTGAGAAGTAACTGTTCATATCCTGGACCCACTTTTTGATGGAGTTTTTTCTTGTAAATTTATTTAAGTTCTTTGTAGATTCTATATATTAGCCCTTTGTCAGATGGATAGAACCAATCTCCAATATTTTAATTATCACCTCTGTGTATAGGATTTTCCAAACCTATCCCTGTAGTGACATCTTCCGTCCCAAGCTCCAAACCTACTTCTCCAAACTAAACTACTGTTTTAAGTTTGGTGTTTTTTGTTTTGTTTTTTTTTTTGAGACAGGGTCTTGCTCTATCATCTGGCTGGAGTGCAGTGGTGTGATCATAGCCATCTTCCTGCCTGCCTCAGCCTCCCGAGCAGCTTGGACTACAGTCACACACCACCACATCTGACTAATTTTTAATTTTTTTGGTAAAGACAGGGTCTTGCTATGTTGCCAAGGCTGGTCCCGAACTCCTGAACTCAAGAGATCCTCCTGCCTAGGCTTCCCAAAGTGCTGGGATTACAGGCATGAGCGACTGGACCTAGTCAGTTTGTTTCTAAAAATATGTTTCTCTCTTAAATTGACCACGTCCAAAGTTAAATTCACCTTCTCCATCTGTTTTCATAGTACCTTTTGCTCACCTTGAATGGAACACAATTTCCCTGAAAGTCAGTTTTCTCATGTGTCAAATAGGAAGAATAGTATTTTGCTTGTATTGTCAAAAGGATTAGAAAGCACAGTAAGTAATAACAATTGTTATAATTTTGGCCAATTACCAAATCATGTATTGGATTCTAAGGACACTATCTCTCCCACATTTGCCACTCCTTTCTTTCCTCCTTCCTGCTCTGGAGGAACCACCAGGAGTCACAGCAAGAGCAGGAGCTATAATATTTGCTGTAGCTTCAGATTATGTATTTCCCATTAGCTCCCGACAAAAGGACACTGATTCACCAGAAATAAGAATGTCCAGAAAGTTCTGGGGGAACAGCCCGGAACAGTAATAAAAGATACTGTTTGAACACAAATGATTCCGGCAGAGGGGAGTGACATTGTCCATCCATGCAGGTAAATCACAGCTTGGTGCCATGTCTAGTAACGTGAGATCACCAAACAGAAGAACTCAACATTTTGAGCAGGGCATAGTGGCTCATGCCTGGGAGTAATCCCAGGAAGTGGAAGGCTGAGGCAGGAGGATAGCTTGAGCCCTGGAGTTTGAGACCAGCCTGGGCAACACAGCAAAACCCCATCTCTAATATATATATATACTTATATATATTTTAAAAATTAGCCTGTATGGCTCACACCTGCAGTCCCACTGATTTGGGAGGCTGAGGCAGGAGGATCACCTGAGCCCAGGAGTTCAAGGCTGCAGTGAGCTATGATCCATCATCGTCCTCCAGCATGAACAATAAAGCCAGATCTTATGTCTTAAAAATATACATATAAAGAAAAAGGCAACATTTTATTTGGATTACTAGACAGTGAAAATTTAAAGATAAATATTGAATATACAAATATTTGAACAGTAATACTTTTGAATTAACATCTTCCTTTTCCTTTTTTTCATCTTTAAGAAATTTAAGTACTTTATTAAAATACAGAGTGGCTATTTAGCAGAGTAGCTAATGTGATCTAAATACATAGAAACAAATTAACAAATACAGTAAGAGTCAGCTGCAAAAAGTAGAACCAGTCGTTTTTAAAAAACATTGATTAATGAAAAAGCCTATCAATGATTAATGGATCATACATCTTTAAATTATCTTCATTTCATTCTAATTTTAAACTGGATATCAGTGACCAAGTTATCAAAATGATGACCAACAATTCTAGAGAGGGAGCCAAAGCCCGAAATGCAAAATATATCTGGTACAGCTCAGCACCTTCTTTACTCCTTGGTCACCACAGGCGCCTAAACTTTAAAAATAAGAACAGAGGTAGAGATTAAGATGGGAAGAACACAGAGAAAAGCCAAAGCCTGAGGTCATCATATAACACCCACACATGTGATGGATACTAGACTCACTGTCCCTCAACTACACACACGTGTACTCACAAATGCAGAGGGAGGCAGACTGGAAACATCAACCAACATTGACAAAATTCCAGAATTGGAATTGTATCGGTCTCCAGTTCTGACAGTCAAATATTCCTTCAACTAGGCTTCATGAATTCAATATCTATAGTAATTTGGATTAGAACAGGTCTTCAGTTTAATCTTCTATTTTTTAAGAGTAGGAGGACCCCACTTACTCTTTACTTTGCATGATTCTAACAAAAGGGGTTTTTTTTATTTAAAAATTATACAATTAGAAGGGAATTAAAGATATATAATTTTTTTTATGAGACGGAGTCTTGCTCTGTCACCAGGCTGTGCCAGGAGTGCAGTGGCGCGATCTTGGCTCACTGCAACCTCTGCCTCCCAGGTTCAAGTGAATCACCTACCTCAGCCTCCGGAGTAGCTGGGACTACAGGTGTGCACCACCACGCCCAGCTAATTTTTGTATTTTTATTAGAGACAGGGTTTCACCATGTTGGCCAGGATGGTCTCAATCTCTTGACCTGGTAATCCGCCCACCTCAGCCTCCCAAAGTGCTGGGATTACAGGCATGAGCCATCACGCCTGGCCAGATATATAAAAATTTAAAAAATACATAAAAGTGTTCAACTGTTGACTGTCCCTACAAAAATTAAATAAAATTAAAAAGCAATAAAGGACATAACATATAGCCTTATGTCAAGGCTAATATGTTTAATATATAAAGAGGTTTCTGGGGGAACAGGTGGTATTTGGTTACATGAGTAAGTTCTTTAGCGGTGATTTGTGAGATCTGTGACATAACATATAGCCTTATGTCAAGCTAATATGTTTAATATATAAAGAGCACAAATAAAATGACATGTATATGAAGACCTATGAAGATCTTAATTTTTAAATAATGAGCAAGGTAAGAAAATGGAAATTCAAATAGGAAGAATGGTTACACATGGCCTGTAAGTAACTCCAAAAAAAAAAAAAACTGTTCAACCTCCTAGTCATAAGCATTTCAAAATTTCACTAATGAATGTAGCAAAAACTTTAAAAACATTAAAGTATTCAATGCCTATAAGGGTGAAATGTGAACGTGTAAATGGTGCAGCTTTTCAGGAAAATAACATGGCAAAATGAAAAAGTCATAAGTTTTTTTTTTAAGTGCAGAACAGTTTGTATAGTATGCTCTCATCTGTATTACAGAAATATTGTATGTACATACAAGCACTGGAACAAGTCACTCCCATGCTTCCCACGCTCATGGAATCATTTGAGTTCAAACAGTATCTTTTATTGCAGGCCTTTTTTCCTAGAGACTGGGGGCCTGGAATAAGAGGGAGAATTTTTTACCGCATAACTTTTCTTTTGTTTGATTACTTCCCCTGAGCTTATATTTCCTATTTAGAAAGAAATAAACAAGCAATAAAAAATTAAATACTAAACCTTTATATCCTTTTATATCCCAGCAATTTTTATTCTAAAATACTATTGTAAAGAATCAGAAAGCCAAACAATTTATAATAATGCCTGGGGCAAAATTATAGCAGTGAAAAACTGGCAATCTAAATATCTGAGAAAGAAGAAATAATTAGATTATGATAAATACATGTGATGGGGAAATATATTTTTGCAAAATGTTTAATGATATTAAGAAATGTTCATAATTCATTGCTAAAATTAAAACTCCCCAAATATATACAATGTGTGTAGAAAAAGAGTATAAGGAAATAAGAGTAATGGCTACTGGTAGAAACATTAACAAAAATAAGAAGTAACAGATGAAGTCCAACAAGTAGGAATGGGGCAGAAAAACTAAGTAAACCAGTGAAACTAGTATGGCCAACTTGGAGTTGGGCCAAATATCCCTGTGCCTCCCTCAGAAGGCCTAAGGGCAACTCTTATTACAGTACTGTCCTCTAATCAACAATCATAATGGTAGCTTTATGTCACCAGTAAAAGATTAAACTTTGTGGCACTCTAAACAAATATCGAAGGTATTCAGCTATATAAAAATATTAAATCTCTGGTTTATTTTCTGCAAATTCTTTTCCTAGTTTGTTGTGTGACTTAATTTTAGTCAGGTTTTTTAGAGGGAAGGAGGATTTAGCTATTTAAAATAAAATTTTGACAACAGAACAGAAACTTTATTTTTTAATTGATAAATAAAAATTGTATAAAATTTTGTCATATAAATATTCATAATATACAACATGATGTCTTGATACATGTATATATTGTGGAATGACCAAATCAAGCTAATTAACATATCCATTGCCTCAAATATTTATCTTTTCTGTGTGTGGTGAGAACACTTAAAATCTACTCTCTCAGCAACTTTCAAATATATAAAACATTGTTATTAATAACAACTATAGTCACCACATTACCACATTGTACAATAGATCTCTTGAATGTATTCCTAATCTAAATGAACTTTTGTTATTTTAGACAAACATCTCCAAAATCCTCCCTACTGCCAGCCCGATGACCACCATTCTATGCTGCTTCTATGGCTTCAATGTTTTTAGATTCCATACAACTGAGCCTCCTTATCTGTGGGTTCCGTGTGGTTGGATTCAACCAACCTGGGATCAAAAATACAAGCATCCCCCAGTATCCACGGGGATTGACTCCAATACCCCCACAGACACCAAAATCCACAGATGCTCAAGTCCCTTATACAAAATGGCATAGTATCTACACATAACCTGCACACATTCTTCTGTACATGTTAAATCATCTCTAGATTACTCTACTACCCAGTACAATGTAAATGCTATACAGTTATACTTTTTTATGTTGTATTATTTTTTATTGTTGATTTTATTTTTTTCCAAATATTTTTTATCCTTGAATGCAGAATCCACAGATACTAACGGCTGACTGTATAAGTGAGATTATATAGTATTTGTCTTCCTCTGCCTCACTCATTTAACTTAACGTAATGTCCTCCAGGTTCATCCATGTTGTCAAAATGACAGGATTTCCCTAATGAACATCGATGCGAAAATCCTCAATAAAACACTGGCAAACCGAATCCAGCAGCACATCAAAAAGCTTATCCACCACGATCAACTTGGCTTCATCACTGTTATGCAAGGCTGGTTCAATAAATGCAAATCAATAAATGTAATCCATCACATAAACAGAACCAATGACTAAAGCCACATGATTATCTCAACAGATGCAGAAAAGGACTTCGATAAAATTCAACATCTCATGTTAAAAACTCTCAATAAACTAGGTATTGATGGAACATATCTCAAAATAATAAGAGTGATTTATGACAAACCCATAGCCAATATCATACTGAATGGGTAAAAGCTGGAAGCATACCCTTTGAAAACTGGCACAAGACAAGGATGCCCTCTCTCACCACTCCTATCCAACATATTATTGGAAGTTCTGGCCAGGGCAATCAGGCAAGAGAAAGAAATAAAGGGTATTAAAATAGGAAGAGAGGAAGTCAAATTGTCTCTGTTCGTAGATGACATGACTCTATATTTAGAAAACTCCAGTGTCTCAGCCCAAAAAATCCTTAAGCTGATAAGCAACTTCAGCAAAGTCTCAGGATACAAAATCAATGTGCAAAAATCACAAGCATTCCTATACATTAACAAAAGACAAGTAGAGAGCCAAATCATGAATGAACTCCCATTCACAACTGCTACAAACAGAATAAAATACCTAGGAATACAACTTACAAGGGATGTGAAGGACCTCTTCAAGGAGAACTACAAACCACTACTCAAGAAAATGAGAGGACACAAACAAATGGAAAAACATTCCATGCTTATGGCTAGAAAGAATCATTATCATGAAAATGGCAATACTGCCCTAAGTAATGTATAGATTTAATGCTATTCCCATCAAGCTACCATTGACTTTCTTCACAGAACTAAAAAAAACTACTTTAAATTTTATATGGAACCAAAAAAAGAGCCTGTATAACCAAGACAATCCTAAGCAAAAAGAACTAAGCTGGAGGCATCATGCTACCTGACTTCAAACTATACTATAACGCTATAGTATAGCAAAACGGCTATAGTATACAAAACAGCATGGTACTGGTACCAAAACAGATATATAGACCAATGGAAAAGAACAGAGACCTCAGAAATAACATCACACATCTACAACCATCTGATCTTTGACAAACCTGACAAAAACAATCAATGGGGATAAAAATGGTGCTGGAAAAATTGGCTAGCCATATGCAGAAAACTGAAACTAGACCCCTTCCTTACACCTTACAAAAAATTAACTCAAGATGAATTAAAGACTTAAATGTAACACCTCAAACCATAAAAACACTAGAAGAAAACCTAGGCAATACCATTCAGGACACAGGCATGAGCAAAAACTCCATGACTAAAACACCAAAAGCAATGGCAACAAAAGCCAAAATAGACAAATGGGATCTAATTAAACTAAAGAGCATCTGCACAGCAAAAGAAACTAGCATGAGAGTGAACAGGCAACCTACAGAATGGGAGAAAATTTTTGCAATCTACCCATCTGACAAAGGTCTACCAGAATCTACAAGAAACTTAAAAAAATGCACAAGAAAAAAACGAACAACCCCATCAAAAAGTGGGCAAAGTATATGAACAGACCCTTCTCAAAGAAGACATTTATGCAGCCAACAAACATATGAGAAAAAGTTCATCATCACTGATTAGAAATGCAAATCACCACAATGAGATACCATCTCATACCAGTCAAAATGGCAATTATTAAAACATCAGGAAACAACAGATGCTGGTGAGGCTGTAGAGAAACAGGAATGCTTTTACACTGTTGGTGGGAATGTAAATTAGTTCAACCATTGTGGAAGACAGTGTGGCAATTCCTCAAGGACCTAGAACCAGAAATACCATGTGACCCAGCAATCCCATTACTGGGTATATACCCAAAGAATTATAAATCATTCTACTATAAAGACATATGCACATGTATGTTTACTGCAACACTGCTTACAATAGCAAAGACCTGGAACAAACCCAAATGACCATCAATGATAGACTGGGTCAAGAAAATGTGGCACATACACACCATGGAATACTATGCAGCCATAAAAAAGAATGAGATCATGTTCTCTGCAGGGACATGGATGAAGCTGGAAGCCATCATTCTCAGCAAACTAGCACAGGAAAAGAAAACCAAACACCACATGTTCTCAGTCATAAGTGGGAGTTGAACAATGAGAACACATGGACACAGGGAGGAGAACAACATAAACCGGAGCCTGTTGAGGGGTGGGGGGTCAGGGGAGGGAGAGCATTAGGACTAATACCTAATGAATGTGGGGCTTAACACCTAGATGACAGGTTGATAGGTACAGCAAACCACAATGGCGCATGTATACTACGTAACAAATCTGAACATTCTGCACATGTATCCTGGAACTTTAAAAAATTGTTTTTTAAAGACAGGATTTCCTTCTTGTTAAAGGTTGAATAGTATTCAATTTTGCATATATAGTCTATTTTCCTTCATCTGTTGATGGACACTAAGGTTGATTCCATATCTTGTCTATTGTGATTAAAGCGGCAATGACTATGGGAATGCAGATATCTCTCTGACATACTGATTTCATTCCCTGTGGATATACAGAGTGGGATTGCGAGATCATATGGTAGTTCTATTTTTAATTTTTTGAGAAACCTCCGTACTGTTTTCCATAATGGCTGTACTAATTTATATTCCCACCAACAGTGTACAATGGTTCCCTTTCATCCACATCCTCAATAACACTTCTCTCTTTTTTTTTTTAATAACAGCCATTCTAACAGGTGTCAAGTGATACCTCATTTTGGTTTTAATTTGCATTTCTCTGATAATTAGTGACACTGAGCATTTTTTCATATACTTGTTGGCCATTGGTATGTTTTATTTTGAGAAATTTCTATTCATGTCCTTTCCCCACTTTGTAATTGGGTTGTTTTCTTGCTATCGAGTTGTCTGAATTCCTTTACATATTTTTGATATTAACCCCTTATCAGGGTTTGGTTCGTAAATATTTTCCCCCATTCCCTAGGTTGTCTCTTCACTCTGGGATTATTTCTCTTGCAGAAGCTTTTTAGTTTGATATTATCCCATTTACCTACTTTTGCTTTTGTTGGCTATGCTTTTGAGGTCATATCCATGAAATCATTGCTAAAAGCAATGTTGTGAAGCTTTTCACCTATGTTTTCTTCTAGTAGCTTTATGGTTTCAAGTCTTATGTTTAAGTCTTCAGTCTATTTTGAGTTTGATTTTTGTCTGCGTTATGAGATGAGGGTCTAATTTCATTCTGCATGCAAATATAATACAGAACTTAGATACATTCATTGAATAAGCACTTAAGTGACTTCTCTCTGCCTAATCTATGAATTTTAAAATCTGAGAAAATGTCATTGCCATATCACCAAATAAAATTATTTCCAATTGGCCAGGTGTGGTGGCTCATGCCTGTAATCCCAGCACTTTGGTAGGCCAAGGTGGGTCAATCACCTGAGGTCAGGAGTTCAAGACCAGCCTGACCAAGATAGTGAAACCCTGTCTCTACTAAAAAGACAAAAAATTAGCCGGGCATGGTGGCAGACGCCCGTAATCCCAGCTACTTGGGAGGCTGAGGCAGAAGAATCGCTTGAACCTGGAAGGCAGAGGTTGCAGTGAGCTGAGATCGTGCCACTGCACTCCAGCTTGGGCAACAAGAGCAAAACTCCGTCTCAAAAACAAACAAAAAAAATTATTTCCAATTTACCTTATGAAAATTACAACTTCTGGCCGGGTGCATTGGCTCACACCTGTAATCCCAACCCTTTGGGAGGCTGAGGCAGGTGAATCACGAGGTCAGGAGTTCAAGACCAGCCTGGCCAAGATGGTGAAACCCCGTCTCTACTAAGAATACAAAAATTAGCTGGGCATGGTGGTGGACATCTGTAATCTCAGCTACTCAGGAGGCTGAGGCAGACAATTGCTTGAACCCTGGAGGCGGAGGTTGCAGCAAGCCAAGATCGAGCCACTACACTCCAGCCTGGGTGACAGAGCAAGACTCAATCTCAAAAACAGAAACAAAAAGAAAAAAAAGAAAATTACAACTTCTAAGAAAGAAACCTGAATTCTTTCCATTCATATGAACAAAATCCATTACATGCTTGCCAACAGGTATCATCTAACAGTACTAGGACAGATGAACTATTTAACTAATTAGGTATCTACAACAGAGACTGTTACTTAAGTGTCTAATTACAGATTCTGAACCATTCTTGTAAACGAATGAATGTACAGTCTGGGAAAGGAGTAAAGATCTTACTTTACTCAATTCTTTCTATGGTCTAGTTATCTAATTTGAGGTTAAATATAATGCTCTAAAATTTAGAATTGGTAGAAAATAAGAAAGATAGGCAAGATATTAAAGGTAAGTTTTCTAAGACAGTATTGTGGATTCACAAACAAGTTTACCAAGAAACACATAAATAAAAGGTAAATACTGCCTTTTAATTACCTATTAGCTCACAGCTAATTCCTAACTCTCTTTCTACATATATACATGTCCGTATGTATGTATGTATATAATACGACTATATATAACAAATCATTATTTAACAGAAGTCAGCTAATAAAATGGTCTTATTTTTAATCCCAATTTATAGAACAATTAAAGTAGATATGACTTTGTATCACAGAAAAGATTTTTTAACTTTGTGAACAGGATTCATCAAGTGTTTCCTTACATTTTATGTGCTAGTTATAAAACCGTATGATTTAATATTCACAAAACTTTTCAGAAAATGTACTATATATAATGTGTGCCAGTTCTAGACAACATTTGATTATGCCTCACAATACTGAAGTACACAGAGTTATGAACTATGCATAAATATCATTAGATAAGTGCCTATACAATGAGAAATCTAACTATCAATAAATGGCCACATCTGTCAACCTGACCATAATATCCTATATCTACTTTTCTACTTAGGTCTGTCTATTACCTATTAAAGAACCTGTCTTTTGCAACCTATCCTTTTAATATTCAAAGAAAGTGTAGGGTTGAAACTGAAAAGTAGCCATTTAATATGGGAAAACATCCAACTTTAGCAATGGGACAAATGATTTTGTTAGCATTTTGCCATTTTCTAACATTGAGCAACTAAAAAGATTCATATAAAAATAAGGCATGCAAATTAATGCATCCCCATTTGTAATTTTAAAATTCTTTGAGTTAATTCACTATATGTGCAAAGGTAGAGAAGAGACAGTAAAATAACAGCTTCCAAAAATGGCTCTTCCTAATTTCTCTTGAAATTAAACTACTATAATGTACATTTTCTGTCTTGTTTATCTCTGTATGTACTTTTTTAACTTTTTTTTTTGTTTTTTGTTTTTGTTTTTTTTTTTGAGACAGAATCTCACTCTATTGCCCAGGCTGGAGTGCAGTGGTGGCATCTCTGCTCACTGCAACCTCTGCCTCCCGGGTTCTAGTGATTCTCATGCTTCAGCCTCCCGAGTAGCTGGGACTATGGGCATTTGCCACCATGCCCGGCTAATTTTTTTTTTTTGTATTTTTAGTAGAGATGGGGTTTCACCATGTTGGCCAGGCTGGTCTTCAACTCCTGACCTCAAGTGATCCGCCCGCCTTGGCCTCCCAAAGTGCTGGGATTACTGGCGTGAGCCACCGCACCCTTTTTGGTCTTGTTAATCTCTGTATCTTCAGCTCCTAAAATAGTAGGTAACTAATAAATATTTTTGAATGCATTAATGACTCTCTCAGACCACACATAGGCATTTGTAGAATCCTTTGGTTTCTTCTATTCAAGGCATTCAAGGAAAAAAGTTTTAAGATCTCCCCTTAGATACCTATCTTAGCACAGCATCCTCTGATTCAGCCTCTCAATTAAATACCATACTGTTCGACAACATGGAAGTTACTAAACAATTCGTTCACACTGATTTCTAATTTCTATACACAAACAGGAATTTTTTAGAAAGAAATAAATTGGCTTGTTTAATTGGGGTGACAGATTTTTGGTGTTTTCTTTGTTGTGTTTTATTAAAAAGATCCTCAAAAGCATCTTTCCTCCTTATTTCCTTTTAAAAGGAAATAAAGGAAGTCTGCCAAAGATCAGATAGTTGTAGCAGTCTTATTTTCGGGTTCTCTGTTCTGTTCCACTGCTCTATGTGTCTCTTTTTGTACCAGTGCCATGCTATTTTGCTTACTGTAGCCTTGTAGTACAGTTTGATGCCAAGTAGCTTGATGGCTCCAGCTTTGTTTTTTGCTTAGGATTGTCTTGGCTATTAGTGCTCTTTTTTGGTTCCATATGAATTTTAAAATAGTTTTCTCTACTTCTGTAAAAAATATCAATGGTAGTTTAATGGGAAAAGCATTTAAATCTATAAATTGCTTTGGGCAGTATGGCCATTTTAATGATACTGATTCTTCCCATCCATGAGCATAGATGGTTTTTCCACTTGTTTTTGTCATCTCTGATTTCTTTGAGCAGTGGTTTGTAGTTTTCCTTGTAAGCAAGGCTAGAGAATAAATAATAAAATGAAGGTAGAGGGCTATGGAAGGGGTATTTTAGAAAGAATGGTCTAGCTGCTGCCACACAGCACTGATGGATGGATATATCTAAAATCCTACATCTGAATTCCACTTCCTATCCTACACCCTTAAATCCCGGTATCAGTCACTAGAGAAGCCTCAGATATAGACAACGTAAAATAGATTAGGTTTTCCTAAAGATCTTCCAGAGTCTTTTCTTTTTAATTGAGACAGAGTCTCACTCTGTCGCCCAGGCTGGAGTGCAGTGGCGCAATCTTGGCTCACTGCAACCTCTGCCTCCCAGGTTCAAGCGATCCTCCTGCTTCAGCCACCTGAGTAGCTAGGATTACAGGCGCCAGGCACCATGTCTGGCTAATTTTTTATTATTATTAGTAGTAGTAGTAGAGACGGAGTTTTACCATGTTGGCCAGGCTGGTCTTGAACTCCTGACCTCAGGTGATCTACCCGCCTTGGCCTCCCAAAGTGCTGGGATTACAGGCGTGAGCTACCAAGCCCAGCCTTGGAGTCATTTTAGATCTAGAAAAGAACCTCTCTTATTCCTGTATAATTCCAGTGTGGACCAATGATACTTATCAATGTCCAAATGTGATTCCTAGGTGACAAAATGCCAATAGTTAGCTGGATCACAGCCAGCTGAAGAGCAGTAAGGAGCATTTGGCAGCTTTTGAAAGGCTGCTCATAAGACTGTGAGTAGTTATAGCAGTGAAACAGGATCAGCCTGATCAAATGTTCAAAGCGCTTGCAACCTGCTGTTAAGGAGGTGTGAAAAATTAGAAATCTGTTTTTAACATTGTCTTTTTTAAGTTCCTCATTATTAACACTTAAGCTAAAAAACAGATTCAGAGTGTCAAAATCTCTGCCAATGGAACCAAATAACATGAATACCCAGCCTTTGTTTTAAACACACTTATAACGTATTTTTTATATTTTCAATGAGTTTTAGAGAAATAGATAACTGACATACTACATACAGATAATGAAGATACTGAACTGAGCATTAGTAATGTTCTAGAACAGGAATAATTGCATTAGTTAACACAGACAGAGACATCAATGAAAAATTTAACAACTAGATGGATAGTTGGGCATAAAAAAGTACTACTTTGCTGATGTTTCATTGATGTCATATATTATAAACAAGTAATACTGAGCATGTAGGTTTGGGATTAAATAATTTGGTGTGGCCAGAAATGTAAACACTTACCTCATATAGAAAGGCAATTTCAAAATTAAAATGACTACTATCAACTTTGGAGAACTGAAAAGGGCAAAGGCATAAAAATGTAAATTTTTAAAAACTAATTAAATCAATGTTATATTATAAATAATTATCTATAGAGTTTAGTAAAAATTTCCATTCAATCTTGCTTAGCAGTATACATTGGTATTACTGTGCTGGGTGCACTTGTTAATATGATTTGCTCTACTTCAATCCAATTTGAAGATCATCCTTTATACACAGGCTCCCACTTTCTATGGAATCTTGATATACACAGATTGTCATAATCTTTACTTTCTGTCTGTGTTATCCTCACAGAGAGCATATTGTCCTTTATATCCTCCCAAGACACTGGTGGCTTCTTAATACTTGTTGACTAACCTTGGAAGTCTTGCTGTACTCTATTTCAATGTTTTCACATAAAAATTAACACCAGAACCAGACTTCCACTCATGCCATGGAGGAGAATGTGGGATTTGACCTCTTGCTGTAAACAACTAAAAACTGGATATAGGAAACAACTGTTTTTAGACACGGGACAAAAGGCAATGCTTCCCAGCAATACCTTGATGAAAGGGGAAAAAATAGGTGGAGTCCTATCATCATCCTAGCTTTTTGCCTCAGGGCAAATTCCAGAACACAGTACAAGGACGGAGACATCCAAATACAGAACAACAGTCTCTTGAGTTGAGACCAAGATTTGGAGGAGGCTGAGGCAGCTGGAATTTATGAGGCAGAGTACCAGACAGAAGGGATACAGATACACACACACACACACACACACACACACACACACACACACACACACGCTCCAACAATCCATATAGGGGTTCCTTTACTAGAGCAGGCAAAGAACCATTGCTCCCACAGGGCTGGAAAACCACTGACTACTCAGTAGAAAGACCTCATTGAACACCAAGAGCATTCAGTAGAGACCAGTGGGTTCATACAGAGGCAGGGCTAACTTAGTCCTAAAGTAAAGCTACTATATGGACTCATTCTAACAATTATGGGTAATTTTAACAACTCAAACCAAGCTTTTAACAACATGTAACTATAGCCAGACTAATGTGGCTAGAAAGTAGCTTAAAGATACTTTACAGTATCATTACTGTAAAGATAAGTTACCTCCCTCAAAAAAAAGGCGATACTAGGAATGAAGTATAACTTTTAAGTGGGTGAAAGACTTGCCCAAATTACTAAAATTGTATTGAATTGTTACCTCTACAGAGAAAACAATATGAAGCACAAAGAAACACCAATATAATAACAAAAATTTTGTCACCATATTTTCTTATTAAGCATTTTTATTCTGTGACACAATGAAGAGTTCACAGTTTTCTAGTAGGTTATAGGTCTAATTTTGAAGTAGGATCAATGGAAAGAGAAACGGTTGACTTATAGAATTCAACTGATGGCAAAATGTCCTAGAACAGTTACTTTTATCAATCAAAGGATACTTGCAGTTATACTTGGAGCCAATCAGACAACCCTAACTTTCCCCACCTGAGAGAATAATGCTGTAACAGGTAATGAGTTACCTTTTCCAAACTGAGAAAATTAGCACTGCTTCGTGCTGGGAGGACACAGTGGGTATCAATACTTAACTAAGATACAATTACTGTTGATAGAAATTTCCTGGGAGCTAAATGCAAACCAATAAATATAATGCATCAATTCAGCACTACCCAGTAGACTTAAAGATAGAGCTTATATGGAAGTTTAAAAAAAAAAAAAAAAAAAAAAAAACAGGAAAAAGGAAAAAAAGTTTTTTCAAATAAATTTTAATTGTTCAGTTTTAACACAGAATTAACATTTCTTCATGCATTCAAATACGAATAGCCAAAACACAGTTACTCTAACCAAATATTCCTAAGTAGCTTAAAAATGACTAGGCTGTAAGATTTTATCCAGCCTACTTATCTCAATCCAAAGTAAATTTTCGTTAAAAAAAGAAACTAAACATAATTATAAAACTGCATTTTTACTTCTGAAATTAACCATGTTAAACTCATGTTTTAATTTATAAACAATTTATTTCATGTTTCTTAATATTCAATGCTGGTTATTTTTAGCCAGTTGAATTACTACTTAAATGGCCTTTCCTCCGTTTAATTGTATAACAGCACTACCACCAGACAATAGGTAAATAAAGCATAAAGTTTACTAAAATCAGTCAATAATATTAAATATTTTTACAAAAAAATTTTGGAATATTCATTTGAAATTAGTGTCTTTAATAAAGGTCTTGTTACATTTTACATTATATTTAGTCAAGGTCCTCATCATTTGTACAGAAAATTTAAAGACAGAAAAGAAAATTATCTTTACAAATTATTTCCCAAAGGAATAATTTTAGCCAAGTTCCAAGTGTTCTTAAATTAAAATTTTGAAACTTAAAAACTGTGTCTCTACCATCTCAGTACAGTTCTACCTCTGGAATTTATTCTAAAGAAAAAAGTATATAAAAAGTTTCATATAAAGGATTTTTATGATAGGGTTTTTTACTGACAGTAAAAGACAAAATGGAAGTAGCCTGTATGTTCAACTAAATAGAAATGATTAAATTATGGTACACTATTTTGCATATATGTAAAAAGTAATGAAAGTATATAGAATAAAACTTTGCAAAGTAATTACAACAAACCCTGACAACAGTAAATTCTGGCAATGATGTAGAGTAACAGAGATTTTCCTTCATTGCTGGTGGGAATGCAAAATGGTCCAGCCACTTTGGAAGACAGTTTGGCAATTTCTTACAAAGCTAAACATACTCTTATCAGGAATTGTACTCCTTGGTATTTACCCAAATGAACTGAAAACTTATGTCCACACAAAAACCTGCACACAGATGTTTGGCAACTTTATTCATAATTGGCAGCACTTGGAATCAAGCAAGATGATTTCAGTAGGTGAATGGAGAAATAAAGTGTAGTACATCCAGAAAATGAAATATTCAGTACTAAAAAGAAATGAGGGGACATGGATGAAGCTGGAAGCCATCATCCTCAGCAAACTAACACAGGAACAGAAAACCAAACGCCACATGTTCTCACTCATAACTGGGAGCTGAACATTGAGAACACATGGACACATGATGGGGAACATCACACACCACGGCCTGTTGGGGGATGGGGGATGAGAGTTGAGGGGAGGGAACTTAGAGGACAGGTCAATATGTGCAGCAAACCACCATGCCACATGCATACCTATGTAACAAACCTGCACGTTCTGCACATGTATCCCCTTTTTTTTGTTTTTAAAGAAGAAATGAAGAAAAAAAGAAGGCAGAAAAAAAAGAAAAAGAAAAAAGAAATGAGCTATCAAGGTATGAAAAGACACGGAGGAAACTTAAATGCTTATGACTAAGAGAAAGAAACCAATCTGAAAAGGCTACATACTGTATGATTCCAACTTTATGACATACTGGAAAAGGCAGAAGTATAGAGAGACAGTAAAAGGATAAGTGGTTACCAGGAGTTAGGGGGTCAGAGGGATGAAAGCCACAGAATGCAGGATTTTTAGGGCAGTGAAACTACCTTGTATGCTACTACAATGGTAAATACATGCCATCATGTGTTTGCCAAAACTCATAGAATGCACACCACCAACAGAGAACCCTAATGTAAACTATGGACTTCGAGTAATAATGAGGCTTCAATGTAGGTTCATCAATTATAACCAAAAGTATCATTATGGTGGGGGATGTTGATAAACGTGGAGGTAACACATGTGTGGGAGCAGAAAGAATATGGGAAATCTCTATATCTTCCACGCAATTTGCTGTGAACCTAAAAGTTAAAATTTATTTTAAAAGTTATTACAATGGGTAATGAAGCTTCCTACTCCTCTATGCTTTTCTATATTTGGCAGTTTTTCTGTATCAAGAAAAAAATTTCTAAACTTAGTAAAGTTCCTATCTCCATCTCCAATCTTACTGTAAATTATCTACATGTAACATTTTCCTCAAGTACAGATGAACAAGTTTACTGTAACAATAAGTTATGTCAACATACTATAACCAAGAAAACATCTTCTTTCTAAATAATGTAAATTTTATATCCCGTGAAAATACTTTAAAGCTTTCTAAAGTTTTTTTCCTCTGACAAGGAAAAGCATTGAAAATAACTTATTTATAATTTCCTCCTCGCTTTACCACTATTTTTTCCTTAATTCCCCCTGTGAATTCTCTTTTGTGATCTTTACACATGCCATTTTGGCATTTAAATCTACTTTGCTTTACATCTGCTTTCCTTTCCCATCCACTTTACCTTCTTCTTTAATGTTTCCCCTATTCCTTCCTTAATTCTAGCCAAATCTCTGTGCTCGTCTAGCTGTGACACATTCGGTGATGTCTTCAGTTATACCTACTTCATCAGTCATATTTAAGTATGCACATTAATATTCACCATTAAGTGATGCCAGTGCTTATAATCCATTTTCTACTTTCTCCAAATGAATTCTGAGTTTTTCTCATTGCTAATTTCAGCAATATATCCGACCTGTACTCCTTAGGACACAGGCAGAACAGAAAAGAAATGCTTCAGATGAATACACCTATAGACACAGGGTCCACAACTCTAATACCACTGAAGGAAGTGGGCAGATGGTCAAAGGAAAATCCCAATTCATGAAAAACCCAGGATAATCTTTTCCCTCTGATTTTAGAGGATAGAAATGTATGGTAATCATTTTTAAAAACCATTATTTGGAGCTATTTTTTAAAGGCTCCAAATAAAATAATCAGAATCACAGGGTATTTTTTTCCTCTGGGCATTAAGCCACTTCTTAGCCCTAGTTTAATATATTAAGATATCAACAACATTTGCTCTTTGAGGCTGTTTATTCCTCTCTTCATTAGTCAACTCTTAAGCATCTACTTTGTGTAAAGTACTGAGAACCAATGAAATGTAATTAATATAAGACCCACTAATTCAGAATTTGTGGCAATATGGTCAGGGGATGCATCATTACTCCAAGAAAGAGTTTAACAATTTAGTACCATAAGGATAATTCTAAACATCAAATGTTTGAAACAAAAACCATTTTCAAACATCCTGAGAAAGTTTATGAATAAACACTTACTATGCTAATCACCATCAACAGTTTAGTAAGCTTCTATTAATGTTCCAGCACTTAAGAAAAAAACAAAATCTTAAGAAAAAAACAAGATGCAAATCTTGCCCTTAAGTAATTTTCAGATTTGCTAATGGGACAAGACATATAATTAAAATTAAGATCAATAATACAAAGGAGCATGTGACAGGTGTACAGGCAATAAAAACATCAAGAATGTTGAATAGGAAGAAACCATGGAAGAGGTTCTTCACAAAAGGGCTTTAACAGGAATTAAGGGAAATGGGATAAGCAGAGAGAAAAGGGGATTTTTAAGGAAAGAATAATAGCATGAAAGAATTATCTACACTATATGTGACA
This sequence comes from Homo sapiens, assembly GCF_000001405.40. Classification (NCBI taxonomy): domain Eukaryota; kingdom Metazoa; phylum Chordata; class Mammalia; order Primates; family Hominidae; genus Homo; species Homo sapiens. Next base: position 81,671,961 of record NC_000005.10, read on the forward strand.
GTGGTTGCCAAAATAAAATTCTCTATGTACTTGAAAGTAATAAAATGGTTTCATAAAATATTCTACTATTGAGCCACATTTCTTCTACACTATCAATATGCAAAAGAAAGATTTTGCTCCATTATATTATTTTTACTACAAAACAGTAATAGCAACTTATATTTATAGTGTTTTATAGCTTATATAATGCTTCCACATATGAAATTATTAATTAGTAGCAGCTTACTAAGAATTTTTCACATAATTCTCTTATTTTTCAACTTACAGTAAAATAAGCCTTATATGCACATATAATTGAAAAGATATTCATCTACATGGCATTTCCTAATTAAAATTTAGGTTACTATGAAAACTGTTGGAACACAAAAACTTAGTAACCAAAATCATAAGCAAATACCCAGAAAATTTTTAAATACAAGAAAATAGTCCATATTTTTCAAATTTAGATAAAATTATTCTGATTCTTCCATTATTTTTGTCTAAAATAAATGTTTAAGATGATCTCCACATATGAAGCCAAAATAATCAACAAATGAAAGAGAAAAATAGACAAGGGAAGAAAAGATTAAACACGACATATGCTTCAACTAAATTAATCTCCAGATACTTTTTCTTTTTTTTTTTTTTTGAGATGGAGTTTCACTCTTGTTGTCCAGGCTGGAGTGTAATGGCACGATCTTGACTCACTGCAACCTCCACCTCCCAGGTACAAGTGATTCTCCTGCCTCGGCATCCTGTGTAGCTGGGATTGCAGGTGCCTGCCACCACATCCAGCTAATTTTTTTGTATTTTTAGTAGAGACGGGATTTCACCATATTGACCAGGCTGATCTCAAACTCCTGACCTCAGGTGATCTGCCTGCCTTGGCCTCCCAAAGTGCTGGGATTACAGGCGTTAGCCACCTCACCTGGCCTCTTTTTTTTTTTTTTAAACAGTCTCGTGCTATCCCTCAGGCAACCTCTGCCTCCCAGGATAAAGCGATTCTCACGCCTCAGCCTCCTGAGTAGCTGGGACTTACAGGCGCCTTGCCACCACGATGGCTAATTTTTGTATTTTTAGTAGAGACGAGGTTTTGCCATGTTGGCCAGGCTGATCTCAAACTTCTGACCTCAGGTAGTGATCTGCCGTCCTCGGCCTCCCAAAGTGCTGGAATTACAGGCATGAGCCACCACACTCGGTCCAGATATTTACTTTCTAATCACTTGCACTAAGAAGCATTTAGCACCCATGGGTGACCAAATAAAAAGACAGTAAGCTAAGACGTCTTGACTTCCCTAAGTCCAGATGAAAATAATCAGACTAACTCTTTGATTTTGGATAAGCAATCACAGCATAATCACCAAATTTGAAAATAAAACTAAGGAGCTAACTAATATATTTATATTCCTGAATTAGGATCCCAAAAGAATAGGGAACTCTGAAATACTGCACTAAATCCATTAAGACTAACTTAACAAAAACCAATGTAAAATCCTGTGCTTGAATCAAAAAAACTTGTAAAGGATGACAAATATGACTTAACAACAGCCCATATGAAAAGACAGGTTTTAGTTGACTGCAAATTCAAGATGAATTAATCGTGTATTTGCCCTGCCAAAAGAGCTAATTTTACCTTAAAATGCATTAATAGACTATAAGAACTAGAAAAAAAGAGGTAATAGTCCTACAAAGATGAGGAGAAAAGAGACAAGTCAAGAGAAATGGCTGAAAGTGTCAGTGATGCATAGCCTGCAAAAAGAAAAGGCCCAAATACTTAATAGGTTGTCAGGTATTAGAGGGCTTGGTCTTATTTCACATGGCTAAAGACGTTGGCACTAAATCAATGAATTAAAATGATAAGAAGGCAATTTTTAACTCAATACTACATACCAAAGACCTTGTCTGTAACCATTAGAGCTATTCAAAAATGTTACAGACTGAGAAATGAACCATTTGGGAGTTGGGATATAGAAGTGTCCAATCAATGAAAGTGTAAAAATACAGGTTGAAGCCAGGCATATTGCAGGAGCTTTATATCCATTGAATAGAGGTTTGAACCAGATAACCTTTAAAATATCTCCTAAGTACAAGATTATTTAATCCTATCATTACTAAAATTTGGCCCAGAGGGAATACATGATTTCAAGAGTAACAGAACTAGTGAGTAGAAGAGTTAAGGATGTATAATTCCTGAAGCTTAGTCTACTATATCTAGAAAAATACTATAAAACATCATGATTCAGTATTTTCCCTCAAAGAAATTATACTGCCCAGGAAATCTCACTTTGGGACCAAGTAAAGGACCAAGAAGTGGCAAGCTCACACGTCAAAGTTAAACCTAAGGCAACTGCTAGCACAACCGCTACCACTCTCACCACATACCCCTCCACTCAAATATTAAGAAGATAAACTCTATTTCTTCACAATATAAGTCTGTGTGGTTCCCCATGGCTCACTGTAGACCAATGTTCCAAAGTTTCCAAGCCAATTTATATCTATGGGAAATATGTGGTCCTACCAGTCAAAGCTTATTCAATTGACTCAATGACAGTTGGTTAAATGAGCAAATTCGGAGCAACTAGATTTAGAATCATTAAACAGTAAGAGGTATATCAGTATAAAACTTTTCTCTAAAATATTATGCAATTTCTAAACATATTTATTCCTTCCTAATTCTCCCAGATGTTAGCTTTTCAAAGAGCAGATAATTTCTACATTTTATATTAATTGAATCCTTTTAACCTAATCTACCCTATAATTTAAAAAAACATACTTTTATTCCAAAACGGTTGAAAGGGATAAATTACACTAATATTGACAATTACAAAGTCATCTAAATAGAAAATGTGTTCTAATAGGCTCATGGTACTAAACCAGACTACTATGCCACTTCAGTGTTTTCTTGGCATATCAAAACGTAATTTATAGACTGTAAGTAAAATATTTTAGTAAAGGCCTACTTTTCTTAATTGACTGCCCTAAATATTTGCATAATTAAATGTATTTGAAGGCAGAATAGATTGCAGATCAAAGTACTGTTGTGCGCAGAATCTATTCCTATATCTTTTAACAGTTCCCTTTTGATTATCCACAGTAATTTCCAAGAGAAATACCATAGAAGCTCCAAAAGAGCAGATTAACCAAAAGCACAGAGCCTTAATAAGGTATTCTCTTCCCCAAACACATATACTGAGCACAAACATATACACATGCATGCACACACACACAATTTTAATCCCTTCTATTGCAGAAACTGGAAGTTGCCTCCAGGGTCTCTCCACTGAGTGGTAAGAAACCAAATTTTTAGCTAGACACATTGTTCCCCAGCTAAAAAATAATAGTCCCCCATCATCTCCCTTAAAACTGGGTACATTCACTTGCCTAAAGTTTGGCCAAAGAGTTGTAGATTGAAGTGGGAAGACTTAAACAGGGTGTATACTCTTCTACATTCCTTCATCCAGCTACCAGTTTGTAAGACAGGTGTGATGTCTAGAGTTTCAGCCTCCATCTTGGGCTACAAGAATATACCATTTTAGGGATGCCAAAATAAAACGGTACAAGTGGAATAGATACCTAGACAGCTTCACGAAACTGCCAGCTTATCTCTGGATTCTCAACCTTCAAACTTCATTTATTTAAGAGGAAATAAATTGTAATCCTGTTACTTTTACGTTTTTTGTTATATGCAACCTAATGAAATCCTAACTAGTAAATGTGTTGATAAATCAGGGGTGCTTGGTAGCCTTCCCATAATACAAGTTCCACACAATTCTGCCCAAACTGATTGCTGTGCAATCCTTGTTTTAGTTTACTTCTTTAGTGTATTTAATCATCATTATGACTCCCTCAAAGTTAAAACATCAAATCACTCCCTACTTGTTCTCCCCCATATCTTAAATCATTCCTTTGTTCTTCCTACATGCTTTTCTCCTCTACGTAGACCTAAAATATCAACATTCCCTAAGGTTACCTCATGGTCTTCTCATTCCACACATTTTCCTCAGACCCACTACGTCAGTCAATAGAAAACAGCCAATCTTTGCACTACTAAACCTCTGTCCAACTCAATGTGCTAAAAGCTGCAGATGTATTTATTCAACTGTTTACTGAGCATATTCACCTGAAAGTCCCTCAGGCAACTTAAATGCCATCGCTTCTCTGTTCTGCCTCTTAGTTAATGACACCATAGCCACTCAGCTGCTCAAACCAAAAACCTGACAGTTACGCTCAATTTCTTACTCTTAACTGATATCCAACCAGTCACTAAGTATTTTGAATTTTATAGTCTATGGCTCATAACCATCTTATTTGGCAATGTCCTCACTGTCACTATTATAATAGTATTTGAAGTGGTCTTCTTTTCTCCTATTCCTGCTCCTTTCCATAGTGAAGTCAAAAGATGATGTGAAAGTGTTATTCTCTTCAAGTTGCTTCCCCATCATCGGTAGACCTTCATATCTACAGGAGAGGGGCCAGATATGTAAATATGCAAGCACGGTCTTCCTAGATTTAGCGATGGCTCTTTCTACAATCTCATTCCGTATCTCAACCCACGTAACACATTCATGTTGAAACCACACCGAACAGTCCCCCAAATGAACAGCATCGTTTCACAGCTAATTACCTTTCCAGATGCTGCTGCCTAGAATTTCCCCTCCTGCTAAACCAGGAAAATGGCTCCTCCTCCTTGAAGAGCCTAATCCAGTATTTCTTAACCGTGAAGCCTTTCCTAACTACCATCCTCTCTTACCCCCTCCTTCCCCTCTTTGTAGAACTACTGTATCTTTGTTATAGAAATTACGCAAATAAATAATTATGACTGAGTATAGTAGCTAGTTATTTTAGAATTTAATACTAGAAAAAAATACAAATTATCTTTGCATCCCTAGCAATTCTCTGACACCTGGTAGATGTTAGTGGAAAGAAGAAAGGAAGGGAAGAAAGGGAAAAGGAAAGAAAAAGAAAAAGATAAAGGAAAGAAAAGGAAAAGAAGGAAGCCTGGCTCTTTAGTCCTCATAACTCTATCAGAAAAATTAAGAGCCAGGAAGATTTCAAAATTTATTCAAGGTCACTCAGTAATTAATACGCAGGGTAAAGTGTTATGATCTTCCATCTGTTTCTCAAGTTTACTTTAGTCTCAGAATAATAATATTCGTTTAAGGCCTACTCTCCTTTTCCCCCAAATTTCAATACTCTTTAAGAGTGGCAGAAAAATTATTTATAAAACTAATGTGCCCCAAAGCATAAAAAGTTGCCTATTGGACATCCAGTTTCTAGTCCAGCATATAAGAAGCTTAGAAATCACCAATCTATCCCAACAACAAGTAAAAAGCTGAACAAACAGAAAAATCAACAGCTATTCTTAGCTCCATAAAATAAGTGAGGTCACAGGGCAAACCACTGCCCTCCAAAACTGAAGAGACAGGCAGGTATAGAGAATCACAGCTTACCATAAGAAACAAACAAACAAACAAACAAAAAACCCTGAGCAGAAATCTCTGCAGGAATCAGCGCCAGGGAAGGAAAATCTAATCTGTAATTGATAAATTGCTGGAGGCTCAGCGTGGACAAGTCCAAGAGTAAAAAAACTCCACGGGGAACCAGTTACTGGAGAGGCCTCCACACTTTTGCAAGTTTTATTTCTAAGAACCCAATCTGGTTCTCACACTAAGTATCAGAGAAAAATACCCTAATGCCTCTATCAAGGGGAGAAATAAAGAAACTATTTTTGAATACACAGTGTATTCTGTTCCTAACCAGGTCTGCTCTCAGGAAGAACTATTTTGCCACAGCATACTCTGGCTGGGTTTTAATCAGAACCTAACTGACCTGAGGAAAAGGACATACCAATTGCAGCCCCCTCCAGACATCTTGTCCCACCTTAAGGGTGAAAAAAAAAAAAAAAAAGCACTGATGAAGCTCAGTCCAGGGGCACCAGCTCACCAAAAGACACAGTCCTTATCACAGGACTATAAAAGGCTTTCCCTCCCCCAACACAACACCACTAAGCTACTAAAGGCCTATTTACAGCAATTGTTTTTATCCAGCACATCATGTCTGGCTTTAAGAAAAAATTACATGGCATATGAAAAGGCAAATGTACAGTTTGAAGAGACTGAACAAGAACCAGAACCAGGGTCTGATATGGCAGGAATGTTAGAATTATCCAATCAGGAATTTTCTTAAAACTATGACTAATATGCTAAGGCTTTAATGAAAAAAGTAGACAATATGCAAGGACAGATGGATAATGTAAGAAGAGAGATGGAAATTCTAAGAATGAATCAAAAAGAAATTCTAGAGACCATAAACACTGTAAAAAAAATGCGGAATGTCTTTGATGGGTCTATTAGTAGACTAGATGTGGCTGAAGGAAGAATCTCTAAACTTGAGGATATCTCAACAAGAACAGTCCCAACTGAAAAGCAGAAGGAAAAAGACTGCAAAAAATAAATAAAAAGAACAGAATATCCAAGAACTGTGGGACAACTATAAAAATTTTAACATACATGTAATGAAAAAAGCAGTAGGAAAGGAAAGAGAAAAAGGAACAGAAGTAGTATCTGAGCAATAATGACTGATAATTTTTCCAAATTAACGTCAAACACCAAACCACAAATCTAGGAAGCTCAGAGAACACCAAGCATGATAAAGGACAAAAAAATCCTACACCTAGGCATATCATATTCAAACTTCAGAAAATCAAAGATAAAGAAAAAAATCTTGAAAAAAGCCAAAGGAATAAAACACTTTATCTACAGAAAAGCTAAGATAAGAATTATATCTGACTTATCCTCGGAAACTATGTACGCAGGAATAAAGTAGAGTTGAGAGGAAAAAAAATAAAAGAACGCCAAACCTAGAATTCTATATCCTGTGAAATTATCTTTCAAAAGTGAAATAAAGACCCATAAAAATTGAAAATTTGTTGCCAGCAGACCTACTTTGAAAGAAATTTTAAAATAAATTTTTCAGAGATAAAGAAATTAACATCTGTCAGACTTGGGTCTACATTTTTAAAAAAGGAAGAGCATTATAGAATGAATAAGTAAAGGTAAAATAAAATTTTTTATTTATTTATTTATTTTGAGATGGAGTCTCACTCTGTCGCCCAGGCTGAAGTGCAAAGGCACAATCTCAGCTAACTGCAGCCTCTGCCTCCCAGGTTCAAGCGATTCTCTGCCTCACCTTCCAGAGTAGGTGGGATTATAGGTACACACCACCACACCCAGCTAATTTTTGTATTTTTAGTAGAGACGGGGTTTTGCCATGTTGGCCAGGCTGGCCTAGAACTCCTTATCTCAAGTGATCCACCCACCTTGGCCTCCCAAAGTGCTGGGATTACAGGCATGTGCCACTGTGCCCAGACTACTTTTCTTATTCTTCATTGACCTAATAGATAGTTGGTTCAAAGTAAAATATCAACAATGTATTTGATTATGTATGCTTATATACGTATCCTTATATGTAAGTAAAATGAATGACAGCAACAATAAAAGGAATGAGAGGAAGGAATTAGTAATATTTTGCTATAATAGGGTACTTACACTAACCATATAGTGGTATAGTGTTATTTGAAAGTGAATTTGGGTTAGTTATAAAAATGTATATTTCAAACTTCAGAGCAAACACTATAAAAGTTTTTTAAAAGCATAATTGATATGCTAAAAAAGGAGAAAAATGGAATCATATACAATGCTCAACTACAAAAGGCAAACAAGTATGTGAGGCAAAAATAAGAACAAAGTACAAGTGCCAACAAATAGAAAACAGTAATAAATATGGTAAATATTAATCCAACTACATCAATAATCACTGTGATGGTTAAGTCTTACAGGTCTAGGGTAAGGGATTCCAGATAGGTGGTAAAACATCATACATTTCTGGTTATGTCTATGGTAGTGTGTCTGGGAGAGACTTGCATTTGAATTGGTAGAGTGAGTAAAAAAGATTGCCCTCACTAATAAGAATGGGCATCATCCAATCTGGTGAAGGCCTCAATAGAATAAAAAGGTGGAAAAAAAAAAAAAAAGCAAATTTTCTCTCTCTGCTTGAGGTGGGCCATCTACCTTCTGTCCTCAGACACTGCTGTTCCTAGTTCTCTGGACATTGAACTCAAACAGAAACCGTTCCCAACACCTGGCCCTGCCACCCCACCCTGTTCTTGGGCCTTTAGACTCAAACTGGGACTTACACCATTAGCTCTCATGGTTTTCAGGCATCTGAGTTTGGACTAGAACTACATCACCAGCTTTCCTGGGCCTCCAGCTTGCAGATGAAGGATTGTGGGACTTAGCCTCCATAATCATATGAGCCAATCCCTCATAATAATAAATATGCATGTATGTATATGTGTATATTATATATAATATATAATTATGTTATAATATATAATTTATTATATATAACTTATAATATAATCTATATAATTATATATAACATAATCTATAGGTTCTGTTTCTTGGAGAACTCAAACTAATGCCATCACATTAAACGTCAGTGGTGTAACTACACCAATTAAAAGAGATTGTCAGAGTGGATCAAAAAAATAAGACTCAGCTGTATGTTGTCTACAAGATACCCATCTTAAATATAAAAGACACCCATAGTTTAAAAGTAAATGGATGGAGAAAGATATACCATGCTAATGCCAATCAAAAGAAAGCCAGAGTAGCTATATTAATTTCAGACAAAGCAGACTTCAGAGTAAGGAGGCCTATCTGGAATAAGAGGGACATTATGTAATGGTAAAGGGGTCACTACTCCAAGAAGACATAAAAAACTTTAATGCGTATGCACTTAACAACAGAGTGACAAAATACATGAGGTAAAAACTGATAGAACTACAAGGAGAAATAGATGAACCTACTATTGTATTATACTTGGAGACTTTAACACTCTTCTATGAGAAATGGACGGTTCCAGCAGGCAGAAAATCCATAAGGACCTACTTGAACTCAACAGCACCATCAATAAACTGGATATAATTGACATCTATAGGCTACTTCTTCCAACAACAACAGATCATACATTTTATTCAAGTTCATATGGAACATTCACTAAGACAAACCACATTTGGGGCCATAAAACACACCTTAGCAAATTTAAAAGGATAGAAATCATATAGTATCTGCTCTCAGACACAAAAGAATTAAACTAGAAATCAATACCATAAAGATAACTGGAAAATCCAAAAATATTTGGAGGTTAAACAATGCACTTCTAAACACACACACAAGTCAAAGAAGAAATCTCAAGATAAATTTATAAATATTTTGAACTAAAAAAATGAAAATATGGTCAGGCGCGGTGGCTCATGCCTGTAATCCCAGCACTTTGGGAGACCGAGGAGGGCAGATCACCTGAGGTCAGGACTTTAGGACCAGCCTGGCCAACGTGGCAAAACCCCATCTCTACTAAAAATGGAAAAATTAGCCGGGTGTGGTGATGAGCACCTGTAATCTCAGCTAGTTGGGAGGCTGAGACGGAAGAATCGCTTGAACCCAACAGGCAGAGGTTGCAGTGAGCCAAGATCGTACCACTGCACTCCAGCCTAGGCAACAGAGCCAGGCTCCACCTCAAAAAAAAAAAAAAAAAGAAAATACAACTTACCAAAATTTGTGAAATGTACCAAATGCAGTGCATAGAGAGAATGTTATAGCATTAAATAAATATATTAGAAAATAAGAAACTTTTTAAATCAATAATCTTAGCTTTCACCTTAGGAAACTAAGGAAAAGAAGGGCAAATTAAATCCAAAATAAGCCAGAGGAAAAAATCTGAGCAGAAATCAATGAAATTGATGAAAAGGAAACCAACAGAGAAAATCAACAAAGCCAAAGGCTGGTTGTTTGAAAAGATAAATAAAATTGATAAGCCTCTAGCAAGCTAACTGACAAAAAAAGAGAAGACAAGTTACTAATATCTGAAATGAAAGATAAGACATCACTACAGATCCCATGGATATTAAAAGAATAATAAATACTATGAACACCTCTATACTCAAAAATTTGATAACCTAGATGAAATAGACCAGTTCCTTGAAAGTCATAATATACCAAACTCACACAGGAAGAAACAGACCACCTGAATAGGCCTATACCTGTATTAGAAACATTGAATCAATAATTAATAATGTTCCAAAAGAGAAAGAGCCAAGCCCAGATGTGTGGGCTGGCGAATTCTCCCAAATATTTAAGGAAGAAATTAGAGTAATTTTCTACAATCTCTCATAAAATAGAAGCCAGGGGAATACCTTCTAACTCATTCTATCAATACCAAAACCAGACAAAGACATTACAAGAAAAGAACATGACAGACCAATATCTCTCATGAACACAGATGCAAAAATCCTCAACAAAATATTCAACAATGTATAGGAGGAATTATACAGCACAGAACCAACTGAGTTTTATTCCAGGTATGCAAAGCTGGTTCAACATTCAAAAATCAAATAGTATAAGTGGTCACATCAACAGGCTGAAGAAAAAAATTACAATTACATCCATACATGTAGCATTTGATAAAATCCAACACCCATTCATGATAAAAAACTCTGAGTAACCTAGAAATAGAGGGGAACTTCCTCAACTTGATGAAGAACATCTAATAACCTACAGATAACATATTTAACGGTGAAAAACCTGAAGTTTTCCCACTAAGGTCATAAAAATGTCAAGGATGTTCCCTCTTACCACTGCTTTTTGGCATTGTACTGGAAGTATCACCTGACACAATAAAACACAAATAGGAAATAAAAGGCAAACAGATTGAAAAGATCAAACTGTCTTTGTTCACAGATGACATAATCATCTATGTAGAAATACAAAAGAATAAACAAAAAAACACCCTTGCTGGAACTAATAAACAATTATAGTAAGTTTGCAGAACACAAGATTAACAGAAAAAATCGCTTCCCTACATACTAGCAATGAACAAGTGGAATTTAAAATTAAAAATACATTACCATTTACATTAGCACCCTAGAAATGAGATACACAGGTATAAATCTAACAAAATATGTACAAGATCTATATGAGGAGAACTTCAAAACTCTGTTGAAAGACATCAAAAAAGAAATAAGTAAATGAGAGCGATACCATGTTCATGGAGAGGAAGACTCAATATCATCAAGATGTCAGCTCTTTCCAACTTAATCTATAGAGTCAATGCAATCCCAATCAAAATCCCAGCAATTATTTTGTGGATATCAAAAAATTAATTCTAAAATTTGTATAAAGAGGCAAAACCCCAGAATAACCAACAATACTGAAAGAAGAATAAAGTCAGAGGACTGACACTATTTGACTACAGTACTAAAGAAGTGTGGTACTGAAGAATAGACAAGTAGATCAGTGGAACAGAATAAAGAGCCCAGAAACAGACCCACATAAATATAGTCAACTGATCTGTGACAAAGGAGTAAAGGCAATACAATGGAGCAAAGATAGTCTTTGAACAAATGGTGTTTGAACAATTGAGCATAGATGTGCAACAAAATAAATCTAGACACATATCTTGTGCCCTTCACAAAAAAATTAACTAAAAATGGATCATATACCTAAATGAAAATGTAAAACAATAAAACTCCTAGAAGATAACATAGGAGAAAACTTAACTGACCTTGGATATGGCAATGACTTTTTAGATTCAACACAAAACATTTTGTGATAGAAATAACTGGTAAGTTTGGCTTCATTAAAATTAAAAACTGTGTGAAAGGCACTGTCAAGAGAATGAGAAGGCACAGAATGAGGGAAAATGTTTGCAAAAAACACATCTGATAAAGGACTGTTGATCCAAAATAAGCAAAGAACTCTTAAAACAACAAGAAAATGAACAACCTGATTAAAAAATGAACAAAAAAGCCTTTCACCAATGAAGATATAGAGATGGCAAGTAAGCATACAAAAAGATGCTCAATATCATACATCATTAGGGAATTTCAAGTTAAAACTAAATACCACTATGCAAATATTTGAATGGCCAAAATTCAAAATACTGACACCACCAAATGCTGACAAAAATGTGAAGCAACAAGAATTTCCATTCATTGCTGGTGGAAATGCAAACTGGGACAGCCACTTTGGAGGACAATTTGGTAGCTTCTTACAAAGCTAAACACATTCTTAACATACAATCCAGCAATTCATCTCCTTAATACTTACTCAAAAAACTGAAAACTTATTTCCTCATGAAAACATGCACACAAATGTTTATGGCAGCTTTACCTACAATTGCCAATACATAGAAGCAACCAAGATTCTTCAGTAGGTAAATGAAGAAATAAATTGTAGTACATCTAGACAATGAAATATTATTCAACACTAGAAAGAAATGAGTTGGTCATGTAAAGACACAGAGGAAACTTAAACACATATTACTAAGTGAAAGAAGCCAATCTGAAAAGGCTATGAACTGCATGGTTCAAATTACATAATAATCTGGAAAAGGCAAAACTATGGATACAGCAAAAAGATCAGTGGTTGCCAGGGGTTCAGAGAGACAGAGGGATGAATGGGCAGAATACAGGGTATTTTTAGGGTAGTAAAACTAGTCTGTATGTGCCCAAGGCCTTGGGACCCACCTCTTGCATCATTGTGCCCTGGTTGTGAGACACGGAGTCAAAGGAGGTTATTTGGGAGCTTTAAGATTTAATGACTGCCCTACTGGGTTTTATACATGCATGGGGCCTATAGTCCTTTTGTTTTAGCCAATTTCTCCCATTTGGAACAGGAGCATTTACCCGATGCTTGTACCCCGACTGCATCTTGGAGTAACTAACTTGTTTTTTATTTCACAGGCTCATGGGCAGAAGGGACTTACTTTGTCTCAGATGAGACTTTGGACTGTGGACTTTTGAGTTAATGCTGAATGAGTTAAGACTTGGGGGACTATTGAGGGGGATTATTGAGAAGGGATAATTGTATTTAGCAATGTGAGAAGGACATAAGATTTGGGAGGGGCCAGGGGCAGAATGATATGGTTTGGATTTGTGTCCCCACACAAATCTCATGGGGAATTGGAGGAGGGGCCTGGTGGGAAGTGATTGGATCATGGGGCTGGATTTCCCCCTTGTTCTTCTTGTGATAGTGAGTTCTCACGAGATCTGATAGTTTAAAAGTGTATGGCACTTCCCCCTTCACTCGCTCTCTCTCTCCTGCTGCATGTGAAGAAGGTGCTTGCTTCCCCTTCACCTTCTGCCATGATTTTAAGTTTCTTGAGGCCTCCCAGTCATGCTTCCTGTTAAGTCTGCAGATCTGTGAGTCAATTAAATCTCTTCTCTTCATAAATTACCCAGTCTCAGGTAGTTCTTTATAGCAGCATAACAATAGACTAATACAGTATGATACTACAATGGTTAATATATAGGATACATTTGTCAAAACTGATAGGATATATAAGAATGAACCCTAATTTGAACTATATATGATAATGATGTCTTAATGTATTCAGCAATTGTAACAAATGTACCACTGTGGCACATGTAAGATATGGATAATCAGGCAGGATGTGTGGAGGGAAAGAAGGAGTATATATGAACTCTCGGTGCTTCACACTCAATTTTGCTCTGAACTTTAAACTGCTTTAAAAAATAAATTTTATTAATTAAAAAGAAGTTGCCCTACTTATAGAACCAGAGAAGGGGAGGCTTATCTGTTAATACTTGTAGCACCTGCAGATGGGCTATATTAACTTCTTTTGTTCTTGCGGTAGGAAGCACAGGTGTTTTCACCACTTAATGGAAAGAGGTTCCAACTTTACTGAATAGACAGCCAATTCCAAAACCCCAACAGATGGGGTTCTAGATACCTAAGCAATAAACAGCCAAGGGCACTTTTAGCCACTGGGTGGTCCACAAAATAGACTATCCAAATCACATTTAATCTGCCTAATCTAAACCTAGAAAACCTTCCATTTATTTTAGAAATAATGCACAAAGAATATCATTATTTGCTTTGTAAATAATTCCCCCAGAATACCCCAAAAGTACATTAACTGGAATCTTCCTCAGTTCGCTATGTAAATAAAATTCTTCAAAGCACATGGGATAAGTCTTGACATTTTTCTCAAAAAATTTCCCAAAAGGTTAGACAGTAAGAAAGGTAGGAATCAACTTCAACAAAAGAAGAAATCAACTTAATCCACTCAGGTTAATTTTTAATTGAATCCAGATAGCCTTACTATTTCACTGAACCAGTTATTCCTTTAAAATAAAGAGCCACATTTATCAACCAAATTCCCATTAAATGTCACCAAAATGATCATCTCATATTGAAATATGTATGCCTTACAGATGAAATGAAAATTAATCCTAGTTACAGTGATCGCAAGTGAAGATCTGTTGGATATTTTTAATGTAAATCAAATTCATATTGTAAATTTACTGAATAAAATGTAATATTTACTAAATTAATGGCCCTTTAACATGTATATGGCTTTTCACTTTATAAACAAATCTAAGACAGAAAGTACTTAAATACCTAAAATCAACTTGCAAAATCTTAGGAAATGTATTTTTTATATTAAGATTTATTCTGAGGTTATAGTTTCATAGGACATAGTGAATTTAAAAAGCCAGTAATTATTGTATTTAGTAAATACAGAACAAGTCACTAAAAAAGTGACAAAATGGGGCCGGGCACGGTAGCTCATGCCTGTAATCTCAGCGCTTTGGGAGGCTGAGGCAGGCAGATCACGAGGTCAGGAGTTCAAAACAAGCCTGGCCAGTATGGTGAAACCCCGTCTCTACTAAAAATACAAAAATTAGCCGGGTGTGGTGGCATGTGCCTATAGTCCTAGCTACTCAGGAGGCTGAGACAGGAGAATCGCTTGAACCCAGGAGGTGAAGGTTGCGGTGAGCCAAGATTGCACCACTGCACTCCAGCCTGGGCAACAGAGCGAGACTTCATCTCAAAAAAAAAAAAAAAAAAGAAAAGAAAAGAAAAGAAAAGAAAAGAAAAGAAAAGAAAAGAAAAAGTGACAAAATGGGAAGTGGAGAAAGATGGCCAAATAGAAGCATCCACCCATTGTCCTCCCAGCAAGAACACCGAAGTGAATGACTATTCACACAAAAAAGGACCTTCCTAAGAACCAAAAATCAGACGAGTCATAACAGTACCTGGTTTTAACTTCGGATCACTGAAAGCAGCACTGAAGAGAGTAGAAAAGACAGTTTTGAATTACTGATGCCACCCTACCCGATCACCCGGCAGCGGCCGCATGGTACGGAGAATCTGTGCCATTGTGGGAGGGAGAGCACAGTGACTGTGGGACTTCGCATTGGAACTCAGTGCTGCATGTCACAGCAGAGAGCAACACCGAACAGAACTCAGTTGGCACTCATGGAGGGAGCATATAGACCAGCCCTAGCCAGAGGGGAATCCCCCAGCCCAGTGGCCAGAACCTGAGTTCTGGCAAGCTTTACCACCATGGGCTAAAGTGTTTGGTGCTAAATAAACATGAAATACAATCTAGAACACAAGTACTACAATTCCTGGGCAAGTCCTGATGCTGTGCTGGACTCAAAGCCAGTGAATGTGCAGGGCATATGACCCAGTGAGACACCAGCCAGGGTGGCCAAGGGAGTACTTGTACCACTCCTCCCTCAATCAACCCCAGGCAGCACAGCTTAAAGCTATAGGAGATACTCCTTCCTTCCACTTGAGGAGAAGAGAGGGAAGAGTAAAGAGGGCTTTGTTTTGCAACTTGAAAACCAGCTCGGTCACAGTAGGATAGGGCACCAGGCAGAGTCGTGAAGTTACCATTCCAGGCCCTAGCTCCCAGAAGACATTTCTAGACACATCCTGGGCCTGTAGGGAACCCACTGTCTTGAAGGGAAGAACCCAGTCTTGGCAGGATTCATTACCTTCTGACTAAAGAGCCCTTGGGGCCTGAATAATCAGCAGTGGTAGCCAGGCAGTACTTGCTATGGGTCTTGGGTAAGACTCAGAGATGTGCTGGCTTCAGGTGCGACCCAGCACATTCCCAGCTGTAGTTGCTACAAGGAGGAACTCCTTCTGATTGAGAAAACGAGAAGGAAGACAAAAGGGTACTTTGTCTTGCAGCTTAGGTACCAGCTTGGCCACAGTAGGGTACCTGCTTGGCCCTGGGTCCAGGCCTTGGCTCTTGGATGGCATTTCTGGACCTGTCCTGGCCCAGAAGGAAGCCCACTGTCCTGAAGGGAGCAGTAGCCAGGCAGTATTCACTGCAGGCCTGGGGTAATAGGAGCCACAGGGAGATTCCTCTGCTCAAGGAAAGGGGAGGGAAGACTGAGAAGGACTTTGTCTTATGATTCGGGTGCCAGCTCAGGCACAGAATAGAATACCAAGTAGATTCCTAAAGTTTCTGACTCCAGGCCCTGGCTGCTGAATGGCATCACTGGATCCGCCCAGGACCAGGGGAAACTTGCCGCCCTGAAACAAAGAACATTAGCTTGGCTGACTTTGCCATCTGCTGATTATAGAGCCCTAGGGCCTTGAGCAACCATAGGTGGTAGCCAGACAGTGGTTACCACAGGCCTTGGGTGTGACCCAGTGCTGGACCAGCTTCATGTCTGACCCAGTGGTTATAGCCACGGGGGTGCTTGTGTCACCCCTCACGCAGCTCCAGGCACCTCAGCACAGACAGAAAGACTGTTTGTTTGGAAGAAAGTAAAGAAAAAGAATAAGAGTTTCCACCAGGTAATCCAGGGAAAGCTTCCAGATCTCATGTAAGACCAACAAGGCAGTACCTCTACAAGTCTGCAAGAACCACAGCTTTATTGGGTTTGGGGCTCAAGTCCCTTCAAATACCTGAAAAGCCTTCCCAATAAGGAAAGGCACAACAAGCCCAAATTGCAAAGATTACAATGCCTAACTCTTCAATGCTCGAACACTGATGAACAACTGCATGCATCAAGGCCATCCAGGAAAACACAACCTCAATAAACAAACTAAATAAGCCTCCAGAGACCAATAATGGAGAGATGGAGATATGTGCACTTCCAGACAGAATTTAAAATAGCTGTTTTTGAGGAAACTCAGCAAAATTAAAGAAAACACAGAGAAGGAACTCAGAATGTTATCAGATAAATTTAACAGAGATTGAAATATTAATAAAAAGAATCAAGCAGAAATTCTGAAGTTGAAAAACGCAACTGACATACTGAAGAATGTATCAGAGTCTCTTAACACCAGAATTGATCAAGCAGAAGAACAAATTAGTGAGCTTGAAGACAAGCTATTTGACAGTATACAGTCAGAGGAGAAAAAAAGAAAAAAGAATAAAGTATGCTTACAGGATGTAGGAAATAGCCTCAAAGGGCAAATCTAAGAGTTATTGGCTGTAAAGAGGTGGTAGAAAAAGAGATAAGGGTAGAGACTATTCAAAGGAATAATAACAGAAATTCTCAAACCTAGAGAAAGGTATTAATATTTAAGTACAATAAAGTTATAGAACACTAAGCATATTTAACCGAAATAAGACTATCTCAAGGCATCTAATAATCAATTCCCAAAGGTCAAGGATAAAGAAAGAATCCTACAAGCAGCAAAAGAGAAACAAATAACATACAATAAAGCTCTAATACATCTGACAGCAGATTTCTCAGCTGAAACCTTACAGGCCAGGAGAGAGTACCTAAAGTGCTAAAGAAAAAAAAAAAACTTCTAGAATAATATATCCAGCAAAAATATCCTTCAAACATGAAGAAGAAATAAAAACTTTCCCAAAAAAGTTGAGTAATTTCATCAACACCAGACCTCCCCTACAAGAAATGCTAAAGGGAGTTATTTAATATGAAAGAAAAGAACATTAGTGAGCAACATAAAATCATTTAAAGGTACAAAACTTACTGGTATGGTAAGTACACAGAAAAACATAGAATATTGTGACACTGTAATTGTGGTGTTTAAACCATTCATATCTGGAGTAGAAAAACTAAAAGATAAACTGATCAAAAATAAAAACTACAACTTCTCAAGATGTAGACAGTACAATAACATATAAATAGAAACAAAAAATGTTTAAAAGTGGGGATGAAGTAAATGTAGAGTTTTTACTAGTTTTCTCTGTTTCTTTATGCAATCAGTGTTAAGTTTCATTAGTTTAAAAATAATGGGTTATAAGATATTATTTGCAAGATTTCTGGTAACCTCAAATCAAAAAGAATACAACAGATAAACAAAAAAATAAAAAGCAAGAAATTAAAACATAATACCAGAGAAAATCACCTTCACTAAAAGGAAGACAGGAAGGAAGAAAAGAAGAAAGAGAAGACCATAAGACAACCAGAAAACAAATAACAAAATGGCAGGAGTAAGTACTTAACTTATCAATAATAACATTGAATGTAAATGGACTAAACTCTCCAGTCAAAAGTCATAGTGTAGCTGAGTGGATATAAAAACAAGATCCAACGATCTGTTGCGTACAATAAACACACTTCACTAAAAAGACACAAAGACTGAAAATAAAGGGATTAAGAAAGATATTCCATGCAAACAGAAACCTAAAAGAACAGAAGTAACTATGCGTATATCAGACAAAACAGATTTCAAGACAAAGAAGGCCATTATATAATGATAAAGTGATCAATTCAGCAAAGAATATAACAATTGTAAATACATATGCATACAACACTGCAGCACCCAAATATATAAAGCAACTATTATTAGAGTTAGAGAGATAAACCCCAATAGAATAATAGCTGGAGACTTCAACAACCCTCTTTGAGCATTTGACAGATCGTTCAGACAAAAAAAGTCAACAAATAGGCCAAATCTTCACTATAGGCCAAATGGACCTAATAGATATTTACAGAACACTTCATCCAATAGCTGCAGAATACACATTCTTCTCCCCACATGGATCATTCAAAACAGACCATATGTTAGGCCACAAAACAAGTCTTAAAATATTCCAAAAAATCTGAAATTATATCAAATAACTTCTTTGACCACAATGAAATAAAACCAGAACTCGGTAACAAGAGGAGTTCTGGGAACTATATAAACACAGGTAAATTGAACAAATGTCCTCCTAAATGACCAGTGGGGTCAGTGAAGAAATTAAGAAGGAAATTTTAAAATGTATTGAAACAAATGATAATGGGAACACAACATACCAAAACCTGTGGGATACAGCGAAAGCCATTCTAAGAGGAAAGTTTATAGCTATAAACACCTACATCAAAAGAGTAGAAAAACTTCAAATAAACAATCTAACAATGCATCTTAAAGAATTAGAAAAGCAAGAGCAAACAAAGCCCAAAATTAGTAGAAGGAAAGAAATAATAAAGATCAAGCAGAAATAAATAAAATTGAAACAAAGCAATACAAAAGATCAATGAAAAAGTTGTTTTTTTCCAAAGATAAACAAAATCAATAAACCTTTACCCAGACTAAGAATAAAAGAGAGAAGACCCAAATAAATGAAATCAGAGATGAAAAACGAGACATTACAATTGTTACCACAGAAATACAAAGGATTATTAGTGGCTACTATGAGCAACTACATGCCAATAAATTGGAAAACCTAGAAATGGCCAAATTCCCCTAGATACACACAAACTACCAAGACTGCACCAAGATGAAATCCAAAACCTGAACAGACCAATAACAAGTAACAAAATTAATGCTGTAATAAAAAAAAAAACTCCCAGCAAAGAAAAGCCCAGGACCCATTAACTTCACTGCTGAATTCTATCAAACATTTAAAGAAGAACTAATACCACCTCTACTCAAATTATTCTGAAATATAGAAGAGGAGGGAAGACTTCCAAACTCGTTTTAGAAGACTGGTATTACTCTGATACCAAAACCAGACAAAGACACATCAAAAAAAGAAAACTACAAGCCAATATCCCTAATGAACACTGATGTAAACATCTTCAACAAAATACTAGCAACCAAATTCAACAACACATTAAAAACATCATTCATCATAACCAAGTAAGATTTATTTCAGGGGTGCAAGGATGGTTCAACAGATGCAAATCAATCAATGTGCCTTTCCTCTAAAATCTGGAACTCAACAAGGATGCCCACTTTCACCACTGTTATTCAACACAGTACTGGAAGTTCCAGCTAGAGCAATCAGACAAGAGAAAGAAATAAAGGCATCCAAACTGGAAAGAAATAAATCAAATTATCCTTGTCTGCAGATGACTTTATCTTATATTTGGTAAAACCCAAAGACTCCACCAAAAGACTATTGGAAGTGACAAACAAATTTGGGAAAGCTGCAGGAAGCAAAACCAACATACAAAAATCAGAAGCATTTCTATATGTCAACAATGAACAATCTGAAAAATAAATCAAGAAAGTAATCCCATTTATAATAACCGAAAATAAAATAAAATACCTAGGAATTAACCAAAGAAGCGAAAGATCTCTGCAATAAAAACTATAAAACACTGATGAAAGAAATTGAAGAGGACAACAAAAAAAATGGAAAGATATTCCATGTTGATGAATTGGAAGAATCAATATTGCTAAAAATGTCCATACTACCCAAAGCAATCTACAGATTCAATGCAATCCATATTAAAATACCAATGACATTTTTTCACAGAAATAGAGAACATTCCTAATATTTATATAGAACCACAAAAGATTCAGAATAGGCAAAGCTATCCTGAGCAGAGAGAACAAAACTGGAGAAATCACATTACCTGACTTCAAATTATACTACACAGCTATAGTAACCCAAACAGCATGGTACTGGCATAAAAACAGACACACAGACCAATGAAACAGAAAAGAGAACACAGAAACAAATCCATACATCTACAGTGAACTCATTTTTGACAAAGATGTCAAGGATATACACCGGAGAAAGGAAAGTATCTTCAATAAATGGCACTGGGAAAACTGGATATTTATATGCAGAAGAATGAAACAAGATCCCTATTTCTCACCATATATAAAAACCAAATCAAAATGGATTACAGACTTAAATCTAAGACCTCAAACTATAAAACTCTTAAAAGAAAATATTGAGGAGGCCAGGTGTGGTGGCTCACGCCTGTAATCCCAGCACTTTGGGAGGCTGAGGTGGGTGGATCACGAGGTCAGGAGATGGAGACCATCCTGGCCAACACAGTGAAAGCTTGTCTCTACTAAAATACAAAAAAATTATCCAGACATGGTGGCACGCGCCTGTAGTCCCAGCTACTCAGGAGGCCGAGGCAGGAGAATCGCTTGAACCTGGAGGCAGAGGTTGCAGCGAGCCTAGATCACGCCACTGCACTCCAGCCTGGCGATGGAGCAAGACTTTGTCTTAAAAAAAAAAAAAAAAAAAAAGAAAGAAAATATTGAGGAAACTCTCCAGGACATTGGACTGGGCAAAGGTTTATTGAGGAATACCCTACAAGCACAAGCAATCAAAGCAAAAATGGTCAAATGGAATTACATCAAGTTAAAAAGCTTCTTCACAGCAAAGGACACACTGAACAAAGTTAAAAGAGACAATCCGCAGAATGGGAGAAAATGTTTGCAAACTATCCACCTAACAGGGATCAATAACCAGAATATATAAGGAGCTCAAACAGCTGTACAGAAAAATAATCTAATAATGTGATTATAAAATGGGCAGAAGATCTGAATAGACATTTCTCAAAAGAAGTCATACAAATGGCAAACAGGCATATGAAAAGGCGCTCAACATCATTGATCATCAGAGAAAAACCAAACAAAAGTTCAATGAGTTATCACCTCACTTCAGTTAAAACAGCTTTTGTCCAAAAGACAGGCAATAACAAATGCTGGAGAGGATGTGGAGAAAAGGGAACCCTCGTACATTGTTGGTGGGAATATAAATTAGTACAACCACTATAGAGAATAGTTTGGAAGTTCCTCAAAAAACTAAAAATAGAACTACCATATGATCCAGCAATCCCATTGCTAGGTATACACCCAAAAGAAAGAAAATCAGTATATTGAAGAGATACCTGCACTCCCATATTTATTGCAGCACCACTCACAATAGCCAAGATTTGGAAGCAATCTTAGCGTCCATCAACAGACAAATGGATAAAGAAAATATGGTGCATATACAGAATGAAGTAGGCCATAAAAAAAAAGAATGAGATCCTGTCATTTCAACAACATGGACAGAACTGGAGGACATTATGTTAAGTGAAATAAGCCAGGCACAGAAAGACAAACTTTGCATGTTCTCAGGTATTTGTGGGAGCTAAAAATTAAAACAATTGAACTCATGGAGACAGAAAGTAGAATGACAGTTATTAGAGTCTAAAGGGTAGTGGGGCGAGGAAAAGTAAGGATGGTTAGTGGGTACAAAAATAGTCAGAATGAATAAGACCCAGCATTTGATAGTACAACAGGGTACCTGCAGTCAACAACAATTTATTGTACATTTTAAAACAACTAAAAAAGTAGAATTGTATTGTGTGTAACAAAATAAAAGAATAAATGCTTGAGGTAACGGATACCCCCATTTACCCTGTGATTATTATGCATTCTATGCCTGTGTCACATTATCTCAAGTATATACACCTACTATGTACCCACAAAAATTAACAATTAGAAATATTGACTAAGTAAATTTGGGGACTGACTTTTCCAGATAAGTCATCCTCATTAATCTGGCTTTAGAAGTTTTTTTTTTCTATCCACAGTAAAAGTACTTTTTATTTCAATTTTTAAAAAGCCTCTGTTCCTTTTTCCTGAGCCCCATTCAGTCTCTATCCTCCACCCTTACCCCACCACCACCAAACTAAAGTGACAGTTCCCTTTCAAAATTCAAAGAAGGCTTGGTGTAGTGGCTCATGCCTCTAATCCTAATGCTTTGGGAGTCCAAGGTGGAGGGATCACTTGAAGCCGGCAGTTCAAAACCAGCCTGGGCAACATAGCAAGACTCTACCTCTACAAAAAAAAATTTTTTTAACTAGCTGGGCATGGTACATTCCTGTACGACTAGAAGTACAAGGCACATTCTTGTACTTCTAGCTACTCAGGAAGGCAGGAGGATTGTTTGAGCCCAGGAGTTGAAGACTGCAGTGAGCTGTGACCACACCACTGAATTCCAGCATGGGCAACAGAGCAAGACTCTGCCTCTAAAAGAAACAAAGAAACAAAACTCAAATAACCAGGTCTAAACCTTGCAATGTAGCTTCAATTACAGATAATGTTCAAAGGAACATATTTTAAATAATCAGGAAAATACTGATAAAATGCCACTGTAACAGATTTCATTCTTGAGTATATACATATAAACCAACTATAAGAAAGAATAAAATTAAGTATCTAAAATCACTTACTAAAACTGAGAAAAAGTATCTGCAATGTTTGTACTTCATGTTGTATTCTTACAATATATCCCAGATTAGGAAACCAGTAATTACATAGCAAATGCAAGACAAATCGCACCAAAAAGTGATTAAGAATTATTCTGGTTTAGTCTTTCAAGGATTTTTTATTATTATACTTTAAGTTCTAGGGTACATGTGCACAACCTGCAGGTTTGTTACATATGTATACATGTGCCATGTTGGTGTGCTGCACCCATTAACTCATCATTTACATTAGGTATTTCTCTTAATGCTATCCCTCCCCCCTCCCCCCACCCCACGACAGGCCCCGGTGTGTGATGTTCCCTGCCCTGTGTCCAAGTGTTCTCATTGTTCAGTTCCCACCTATGAATGAGAACATGCGGTATTTGGTTTTCTGTCCTCAAGGGTGACTTTTAAATCTCTACATTTTATGTTGAAAATAAACTTTGAAAACTTAGATATTACTAATGTCATTTTTCTATATTTGCTTGTAATCCGTAAGTAAATCTTGTTTCCTTTTTAGATTATTATTGCTAGGAACTTCTCTCTTTGCTTTGACTAAATGAGGTTTAATTAGTGGATTTTATTTAATTATGTCTTCTCTCTTTAAGGAATTTTATTTTACATTGATTTTAAATTCTGCTTAATAATATAATTTTTATCTTGAAAAGATTTCAAAGATTCTAATACTTATCAGAAAATTTAATAAAATGCATGAGTAATATTTTAAAAACTGATCCATGTGCTCTATAGACATTCAAATATTTCCTAATGATATTATTGATAAAAAGGAAATGTTAATATAAGGAAACAGAGTACAGGCAGAACCTGACTTGCAAATATCCATCCTGCACATGCAGCATCTGAGAAACTCAAGGCCCCGGTTAGGCTGACTGCAAAGATTCCTGTTCCCTACATGCCACTACGGTTAAACACTCCGCTCTAGTTCCAACCTACCCTTCCCCACTCCTGACTCCACCCCAATACTATTCCATTTACCCTGAACTCCAATCATTCCTTTTCTAGGTGCGAAGGATTCTCCACGCCCAGAATGAGCTTTTATATATACCTGTCTCCAAGTATAACTACTTCAACCCATTTCTTTAACTCCCAGGATCCTGTATCTCCTTCCTGTCACAGATGCAGAGGATACTCTTTTCTCTCTTGTCCTTGCCACTACCATAATACGTAAAGGAAGAAATTCCCTCTCACTGCCGATGAGCTACACGAAGAAATGGAAAAAATCCCTGCTCCTCAAGGGGTATGGAAGTTGGGGGTGGGAGAAAGAACATTCTTCTAGGCATTGGACTTGCCTGTAAAACTAAGCAGATTCTCTAAATTTTAGATTACAGTTGAAACTCATTCTGAAAGACAATGGGAAACCACAGTTGTTAGTTCTGGAGTTCAACTATAACCATCTGGCAATGTAATTACAATTCATAATATTTTCTCTGCCGGGACTATGTTCCCTGTACCAAACAAGCTAATTTACATACCACCTTTTGAAAGGCAACCTATTTACACACTGGGTGGGCAGAGGGGGGCAGCATATAGAGTGATTAATTCATATTTCCTACACTAAGAAACACGAAGTATGAGGAGATGAAACTATAAACTGCTACGGAGCAGGAACCTTGCATGCCTTGTGCAGCACCGTATTCCTCACCTGGCATCTGGCACACTTTAAGCACTTGACAAATACCTGTGGAAATAAAGTGGATGGAGGTTGGGCACAGGGAGAAGTCCAACATCTCCAAGAATCCCCATCCATGATGCACACGTACCTGTCATCAGTTAAGAAAGAATACAGGGCATTTCAGAGATCAGAAAGAAAAGTACCTTCTTTATCCTTCAAGCAATATGAGATGAGTGGGATTTTCTTTTAAAATAATTTTAATTTATCAAAGGCCAAAGATGTTATCTACCCAAGACAGGCTGTCAAAAATTCGGCTGTCCAGTTGAAACTTGAAATGTTACATCATCTTTCACTGGTTTCACTATAAGATAACTTAAAGTGATAAATGCTTTCGACTTAACCAGCCAGAAAAATAAAATGGAGGGCTGAGGACCTTTTTCTGTACAAAACTGAGGAGCAGGGAAAGGAAGACTCACTGTAGTAGAAATGCTTTCAGACTGAATTGTCTAGATTGGTTGTTTTTAGCTGGTGGTTTATTTCATTCACTTAAACAGACATATTCTTAAGTATGCTTTTATCGCAATAGTCTATGATTGCTTGTATTGGAACTTATAACGTAGTATTTATTTATATGGAATGTTTCATTAATATTCCTTACCCAATGTTCTATTTTAACCAGATTAGCATCAACAAAAATAAAACCACTGTTTCAAGAAATAAAGCATAAAAAGGCAAATATAATAGTTAACTACTATGATTACCAGCCCAAATATTCTTAATCTTATCTTTTCTAGAACTACTTAGGACAAAATTTTGAAGAACAAACTAAAACAGGGCCTGGGCTTTCAGCTCTGCTATCTAATTTTCTGGAGACCACAAAAAAACTCTTTAAAAAGGAATAATATTCTCCAAATAGGCAAGGTAAAACACTAAGTAAATATTTTGCTGCTGTAAGTACTAAGCCCCTAAATCCAGTAATAATTACTCAAATATCCAAATGATGCACAAAAGAAGAAACATATCAACTGAATAAATATTGACATTATGAAAATATAAGTATAATTATCTGCCTCTATGGTAAAATAATCTAAAATCTCATCTACATATTCTTTTGAAAAATAACTTCTTTACACTGTGTTTTATATCCCAACTAATTTTATATTCAATTTCTTTTTTTAAGACACTATCTCCTAAAATGTTAAAGATGATACTGGGAAATTTATGTGACCATTTAAAATAATCAGACTATGACTAACATAGAATATAAATGAACTACAAAGAAAATACACTGAAAGTAAAAGATCTGTAATATAAAATGTACCAACCACAAAATCAGATTATAGTAAAAAATAATTTTAAGATTTTTTTGGCATATCAAGCTTAATTCTTCTACATTATGTGTAAACAATAAAATAGGCAACCTAATGTAGATTGTGATGCTATGTGTACTACAAGGATTTAATAAATCATTTTTATCTGAATGTTCTACCTATTTTCATATTTTTTAATTTATACCAGTTGCAAAAAATGGCACAATATAGCACAAAACAAAAAGGTAAGAGGATGAACACCAAAAGTTATCCTATTTTTAACAAATAACTCATTTTCAGCAATAAAGACAGGTTAAGGGGTGGCAAAGAGATGGGTGGAAAAGCAGCATTGATTTTAAACTGCATGTAGGCCACGTGCGGTGGCTCACGCCTATAATCCTAGCACTTTGGGATGCTGTGGTGGGCGGATTACTTGAGGTCAGGAGTTCGAGACCAGCCTGGCCAACAAGGTAAAACCCTGTCTCTACTAAAAATACAAAAATTAACTGTGGTGGTGCATGCCTGTAATCCCAGCTACTCGGGAGGCTGAGGCAGGAGAATTGCTTGAATCTGGGAGGCAGAGGTTCCAGTGAGCCAAGATTGCACCACTGTACTCCAGCCTAGGTGACAGAGCAGGACTCCATCTCAAAAAATAAAAAATACACTGCATACATTTGCCAGGTTCCAATAAATCTAATTCTGAAGTCTTTGTACTTCACTGCCCATCCTTGATCAATCTGAACAAAATTTAAAGAAAGATTTCTTTATTAAGCAACTGCAGGCATACTTCACATATACTGTGGGTTCAGTTCCAGACCACTGCAGTAAAGTGAACACTACAATAAAGTGAGTCACATGAATTTTTTAGCTTCACAACGCATATAAAAGCTATGTTTACACTAGACTGTATTCTGTGTGCAATAGCATTATGTCTAAAAAATGTACATACCTTGTTTAAAAATATTTTATTGCTAAAAATGCTAATGATCATCTGCGCATTCAGCAAGTAGTAATCCTTAGCTGGTGTAGGGTATTGACTTGATGTTGATGGCTATGGGCTGATCGGGGTGGCAGTTGCTGAAGGCAGTGGTGGCTGTGGCAAATAAGACAATGAAGTCTGCTGCATTGATTGACTCTTCCTTGCAGGAAAGATTTCTCTGTAGCATGCTATGCTGTTTGACCCACAGTAGAACTTCTTTCAAAATTGGAGTCAATGCTCTCAAACCCTGCCACTGTTTTATCAACTAAGTTTATGTAATGTTCTAAATCCTTTGTTGTCATTTCAACAATGTTCACAGCATCTTCACCAGAAGCAGATTCTATCTCAAGAAACCACTTTCTTTGCTCATCCATAAGAAATAACTCCTCATCCATTTAAGTTGTATCATGAGATTGCAGCAATTCAGTCACATCTTCAGGCTCCACTTCTAATTCTGGTTCTCTTGCTATTTCTACCACATCTGCAGTGACTTCCTCAACTCCGGTCTTGAAACCCTCCAAGTCATCCACGAGGGTTGGAATCAGCTTCTTCCAAACTCCTGTTCATGTTCATATTTTTACTTCCTCCCATTTGTCGCACATTTTCCTAATGACAACTAGAATGGTGAATCCTTCCAGAAAATTTTAAATTTACTTTGCCCAAATTCAACAGAGGAATCACTATTTATGACAGATAGCTTTACAAAATCAATTTCTTTTTTTTTTTTTTTTTTTTGAGACATGGTCTGCTCTGTCACCCAGGCTGGAGTACGGTGGCACCATCAGGGTGTGCTTCAGCCTCAACCTCCCAGGCTCAGGTAATCTTTCCACCTGAAGTGGCTACAGGCACCTGCCACCACACCTAGCTAAATTTTTTTAATATTTTTTTGTAGTGATGAAGTTTCTCCATGTTGCCCAAGCTAGTTTCAAACTCCTGGACTCAAGTAATCCTCCTACCTTGGCTCCCAAAGTGCTAGGATTACAGGTGTGAGCCACTGTGCCTGGCCATGAAATGTATTTCTTAATTAAGACCTGAAAGTCAAAATTACTGCTTAATCCATAGGTTACAGAATGGATGTTGTATTAGTAGGCAGGGAAACAATATCAATCTCTTTGCACATCTCCAGAACTCTTAGGTGACAAAGTGCACTGTCAAGGAGCAGTGAAAAAGAAAGAAATAGTCTTTCCTGAGCAGTAGGTCTCAACAGTGGGCTTAAAATATCCAGTAAGCCATGCTATAAATAGATGTACTGTCTTCCAGGCTTTGTTGTTCCATTTCATTTATAGTGCACAGGCAGAGTAGATTTAGCATCATTCTTAAGGTTCCTAGGATTTTCAGAATAAGCATTGGCTTCAGCTTAAAGTCACCAGCTGCATTAACCTCTAACAAGAAAGTCAGCCTGTCCTTTGAAGCCAGGCATTGGCTACTTTCTCTAGCTGTGAAGTCCTACATGGCATATTCTTCTAATAGACTGCTGTTTCAACTACACTGAAAATCTCTTGTTTAGGGTAGCCTCACTCATCAATGATCTTAGATCTTCTGGATAATGTGCTGCAGCTTATATATCATCAGCACTTGCTTCTTCACTTTGCACTTTTATATTATGGAGACGGGTTCTTTCCTTACACCTCATGAACCAACCTCTGCTAGCTTCAAAATTTTCTTCTGCAACTTCCTTGCCTCCTAGTCTTCACAAACTGAAGAGTTAGGATCTCCCTCTGGATTTGGCTTTGGTTTAAGGGAATGTTGTGGCCATATCTTCTAACCAAACCACTCAAACTTTCTCCGTATTGACCATAAAGCTATTCTACTTTCTTGTCATTTGTGTGTTCACTGGAGTAGCCCTTTTAATTTCCTTTAGGAAGCTTTTCTTTGCATTCAACTTGGCTGTTTGGCACAAGGGGCCTAGCTTTCAGTCTATCTTGGCTTTTGACATGTCTTCTTCATTAGGCTTAATCGTTTCTAGCTTTTGATTTAAAGCAAAAGACATATGATTCTTCCTTTCACTTGAACACTTAGAGGCCATTGTAGGTTATTAATTGGCCTAATTGTAATACTTTCATGTCTCAGAGACAGGAAGAGAGATGGGAAACAGCTGTTTGGTGGAGCAGTGAGAACACACACAACATTTATCAATTATATTCTCCATCTCCTGTGGGTGAGGTTTGTGGCATCCCAAAACAATTTCAACAGTAGCATCAAAGATCACTGATCATAGAACCTCATAATAGATATAATAATAATAAAAAGTTTGAAATAGAAGAAAAATTACCAAAATGTGATGTGGAGACACAAAGTGAGCCCATGTCCTTGGTAAAATAATACCAACAGACTTGCTCTATGCAGGGTGGCCACAAACCTTCAATTTGTAAAAAATAATATTGTCTACTGAGTATAATAAAGTGGAGCACAATAAAACAAGGTGCACCTGTACTATGTGCCAAGCACCATGCTAAATTATCCCACTAAAGATGTCTCAAATAAAATGAGAACATTTTGAGTAGGCTAATTTTATAAGGCCTTTTATTTTAGTTGTACCAAAACAAGCCCTCCAAAATACAAAAGCACTAAAGGAATAGACATCTTTGTCACTTTGTTCCATCCTTGGCACCTAAAGAAACTCCTGGACTGAACATAATTATTTACTTCAGCAACTCTGAGTCTTTGACATTATAATGTACATTATAAATCTCTAAGAAGAGATATAAGTATGCACCATACCATAAACCTATCTGACCTCAGAACCCTGTTAACCAACGATGCCAATTTATTAATACATAGTAGTTAATGAAAAGTTTAGAAAATATTGCATTAATGTTTTCACAGATTATTAAAATGTATGTTTAACTGTATCATTAATAGGGATTATCTGAAACAAAGTTATATGGGACTAATAAGGTACACACTGAAAGAAATCACTATTGTAATTTTTTTAATTAAAAAAAAGATTCGGCCAGGCACGGCAGCTCACGCCTGTAATCCCAGCACTTTGGGAGGCCGAGGCGGGTAGATCACGAGGTCAGGAGATCAAGACCAGCCTGGCCAACATGATGAAACCACGTCTCTACTAAAATACGAAAAATTAGCTGGGCGTGGTGGCGCACACCTGTAGTCCCAGCTACTCAGGAGGCTGAGGCAGGGGAATCGCTTGAACCCAGGAGTCAGAGGTTCCAGTGAGCCAAGATGGTGCCACTGCACTCCAGTCTGGCAACAGAGCGAGACTCCCATCTCAAAAAAACAAACAAACAAACAAACAAATTCTGTAATATTTAGAAGAGGACAAAAGCTATAGATAGAATCTGCCTACTACTCAATCTCACTTATATAAGGGCTCTCATGCAAAGCAATAGAAACAAAATAATGGAAGCTCCAAAATAGGCATCGGAAAATACAAAGTATATGAAACACAATGCCATAAGTTCTGAAAAAATGCAGGAATGCTATTTTTTTTTGAAACTGAACTTCTCAATTTTACACTTTCATCCAGACATTTGAGTGTGAGCTCTCTGCTAGTGCTCAATCCCAATAGAAAGAATCCCTATTTCAGAGAATCCAAATGCCAGTTTAAACTGGGTCCCTACATTTTTCTGTCATTTTATTTTAGGGGGATAAAATTGAGATTTATTTTTGCCACTTTCCACTATGTCCCCCTGAAGAGCTACATAGTATCTTCATTGCCTTTAGCCAGCTAAGAGATCTGTGACCTACACTAAGTTGCCAATCAAGCCTTATATTGAACTACAGCACAGTAAAAGAACTCTGATTTCTCATGCTGTGGCTCAATCTTAATGTACTCAAGCTCCAACAACTGGGAATAAGAGCAGATATTACACACATTCCCCACTATCTACAACAGACAAGTTGGTCATTTTAATGAGGGATTTTTGTCTGTTTTATTCTTTTTATTCCTTTTTGCCCATATCTTATTCAGTATTCTTTGTGTGGTGGCTACTTTGCTAAAGTGGTTCAATATTTAATCAAGGATTAAATGGTAAAGCAGTTTGCCTATTAAATTATAAAAACCTTTAGTGTTTACATAGCCTTTTCTAATTAATTAAATAACTTAATTGAAATTAAAAATTAGATTTTAAAGTAAGCTTTGAGAATACACAAGTTATTTTGAAGATATTCAGCCATGAATACAACATATATCAGTCATGGTATTACAGGACACACAGACAGTGCCAGCAACCCAGGAAGATCTCCAGAGCTCAGGCAGCCTGAGCTACAGTCTGCAGTGCTTGTTAGATGGACACTCAAAATCGGGCATTGGAATAGTGATTCCCTGAGACAGGAAAAGCACATCAGGTTATCCAAGGAGGTCCAGAGGGAATGGGTGCAGCACACCAGCATGGCACATGTATACATATGTAACTAACCTGCACATTGTGCACATGTACCCTAAAACTTAAAGTATAATAATAATAAAATTTAAAAAAAGAAAAAAAAGAAAAAAGTCAAAACAATTATTTTTTAAATTCAGTTGTTTAAATTCAATTCCTCTACTGAGTTTAAATCTTTGTATTTATTTTCCTAATAGATAACACTGGATTTATTAATGTTCACTAATGATTTCCCTTAAAAGAGAAATGCCAAAAACAAGACTAATAAAGTCAATTTATTTTAGATTATCTTTCAGTTTATTTTAAACTAATGTTTTTCTTTTTTTTAAATGCGCAGATCCAAAATATGGTGACTACTTTTTCATTGTACCCACTAACAAATTCTAGGTTGCTTCCTTACTGTATTTTGTTTTATAGTAAATAGAATGAGGCAGAGCTGAAGATACTTGCTACCTAAAATGGGTAAGTCAAAGACATCTGACTATGGAGCTTTACTGCTGCTTTAGTCCCTTGGACATGACCACAGAACACCAGGAGCTGAGGAAATTGGCCAAGCTGAGCCACGTGGAACAGTCACATCATCATTACTGTCCAGGTTCCACTGGCATTTGTGTTACCCAACCAATGAGGTACAGGGTTGGGGATTCTTCTTAGTTATCTGATGCTCTTTTGTTCTCTTTTTCTCAATCCTTTCACTGAGGCATATAATTAATGATGACATGACTACGATTGGTGAGGAGTATGGCAGGCTTTCACTATCTCTACTTCACTAACGAATATAAAAACTCTAATCTCACATATGCTTTCCAAGTTACCTATGAGTCTTATGAAATAACATCACTGGCTCCCATTTCTCTGACATACTACCAACATCTGTTCAGTTCTACCACTTACATTACATAAAAACCCACTAGTTCCCAAGTTTTGAATGTACATATGCATACAGGCACACATGCTCGCACACATATATACACATGCACACACACATATACACAATATTATACAATTGTTTAGGGATTTAAAAAGCATTCCCTGGCCAGGCATGGTGGCTCGGCCTGTAATCCCAGCACTTTGGGAGGCCAAGGCAGGTGGATCACCAGGTCAGGAGCTCAAGACCAGCCTGGCCAATATGGCGAAACCCCGTCTCTACTAAAAATACAAAAATTAGTTGGGCGTAGTGGCGCGCACCTTTAGTCCCAGCTGCTTGGAAGGCTGAGGCAGGAGAACCGCTTGAACCCAGGAGGCGGAGGTTGCAGTGAGCCGAGATCACACCACTACACTCCAGCCTGGGTGACGGGGAATGATTCCATCTCAAAAAAAAAAAAAAAAAAAAAAAAAAATGCATTCCCTATTCACATTAGTTATTGAAATACTAGGCTAAGTTTAAATGAGTTTCTTTATTTCCAGACCACTCAGAATATTTAACGTGTTAATCTATATTAAGAATTTCTTGACATAAAAATAATATATCACATTTCCAAATCTATTTGGCTATGGAGACCTTTTTGTGCAGAAGGTTTTTATAGCACATACTTTGGAAGCCACTTAACCAAAGTATTCAAAACACACAAAATATATACATATTTGTTTTTATGTATATTACATGTATATAATATACAACAAATCTGAATATATTATTTACTCATCCACTTACCCACCCATTCCAACAGCCATCCAACAAATAGTATATATAGTGCCTATATATGTGAACACTCTTGTGCATAGTGATAGGGGAGAGGAAAACACTTGAAAATATGTTTAACAAATTTTTCTATACTCCTCTTATTAATCTGCAAATAAAATGTTAGAGTTTTTTAAAAGCCAATTAATAGAGTATAATTCTTAAAAATCTAGTAATGGAAAGCAACAGATCCCCCTTAAAAAGTGATAAGTAGCAAACCAAGGAAATGTTATATACTTTACAAAAGTGCTTTAATATTAAAGGACACATATATTTTGAGATATTTTTATTCTACACAATTTTCCAGAAACAACTCAAAGAAAAAATAATTAACTGATCCTTTTAGGTACTTAAATATATACTTTAGGATAAAGAGCCATAAACACACCAAGCCAATTAACTACATCGCAATTAGATGTCAACTAATTAATAATTGTAAAAAACTAATTATTTTAAGCCTTTCTCTTGTATTTCAGAATCTTTGGAAGTCAAGTCCTTCCTTTAGCTCCCTCATCTTATTCCTGACTTTTTATATTGCAAACTCTAGGAAAAATCTAAAATTATTTGACTATGAATACTGGTATTAAGTAAAACTTAAAATGGCAAAACATTTTAAATTGGACAGGTTGGGAACCAAACATACCCACCCTGAGTATGTTATATTAAAAAGTCAAAAAGCAACAGATGCTGGCAAGACTATGGAGGAAAGAGAACACACATACACTGTTGGTGGGAATGTAAATTAGCTCAGCCACTGTGGAAAGCAGTTTGAAGATTTCTCAAATAACTCAAAACACAACTACCAATCAACCCAGCAATCCTATTACTGAATATATATCCAAAAGACAATAAGTCATTCTACCAAAAATACACCTGCACTCATACGCTGATCACAGCATATTCACAGTAGCAAAGACATGGAATCAATCTAGGTGCCCATTAACAGTGGACTGGGGTATATACACCATGGAATACTACACAGCCATAAAAAAAGAGAACGAAATCAAGTCCTTTGCAGCAACATGGATGCAGCTGGAGGCCATTATCCTAAGCAAATTAACACAGGAACAGAAAACCAAATGCTGCATATTCTCATTTAGAAGTGGGAGCTAAACACTGGGTACTCACAGTCATAAAGATAGCAGCAAGAGGCACTGGGGTCTTCTAGAGGGGAGAGGGAAGGATAGAGGAAAGGGCTGAAAAACTGTTAGGTACTAAGCTCACTTCCTGGGTGACAGGTTCAGTCATTGCCCAAACCTCAGCATCACATAATATATCCATGCAACAAATCTGTACATGTACCCTCAAATCTAAAATAAAAGTTTTAATTATTTTTAAAAATTACTGTTTTCTTCAATATTAATCACTGTCCTATCCTGGTGATACATATACATATAAGGGATCTGGTTAAATGCCTACTGACCCAGAAAAGACTATTTTATACAAGTTATTTCTTCCTTTTAAAGTATGATACAAAAAGGAAAATCCAGTTAAACAAGCCAGTTACCCAACAGAATTTAATCTAAATAACAGTAACGAGTTCCTTGTCTACCTCTGAATCTTACTGTTCAGGCAATCTTCTTACCGTTTGTTTATGGACTATGCTCAAAACAAAACAGAGCTAGGTACTTGATAGTCTGATTAATCTCAACTTTCCTTCAGAGACTCTTCTATCATCTGCTGAAGTCCTCTAGGGAAGTGGGCCATTTAGATGCACAGAAAAACAGCTGGAGCATGAGGTGACACACAGACTTACTTGAAGAGATTAGCCCCAAGAGAAGAGCTTAGTTCTCAGTTAATCTTATGTATTCTCATTTAAGAAAATTTCAGGGAAATAAAATTATAAATACGGGTTATTTCCACAAACTAATCATTAGATAACTCTATGGCCCTGAGGAACAAAACAGGAATGATTCTGCCAAAAATGCCTTTCATGGGTATTAAATTAATTTCCTCTGAGAGGTAACAGAGCAGTGAGGATCAAATGAGGAGTTTCTATTAAGTTCTTGGAAAGAAAAGTCAACATCTCCAGTAAGGCTTCATTTACTAAAAGGTAAATGTTATAGGTAAAATTGTGTGTTCCTGCCTCCATCCCCAGAAAGATATGTTAGAGTCCTAGCCCCTCGTACCTCAGAATGTGACCTAATGTGGAAATAAGGTCACTGAAGATGTGATCAGTTAAGATGAGGTCATATAGGAGTAGGGCTGACCTCTAATCAAATATGACTGATGTCCTTATAAAAAGGAGAAATTTGGACACAGAGATACTTACAGAGGGAAGGTGACATGAAGAGACACAGGGTGAGGTTGGTCAGTTCATCTATAAGGCAAGGAGAGAGACCTGGAACAGATCCTTCCCTCACAGTCCTCAGGAGGAACCAATCCCACCAACACCTTGATTTCAGACTTCTTGCCTCCAGAATCATGAGTCAATAAATTTCTGTTGTTTAAGCCACCTACTTGGTAGTACTTTGTTACAGCAGCCCTTGCAAACTAATACAACAGGCAATAAGAAATGACTTCAAAAGTGGCTGTAAGGGAAACACAAAATAGAAACGAACTAGAAATTCAGGAGTCCTAGATTCTAGGCTTTAAACTCATAATCTTTGGCATAAATCTCTTCCTCAGTTTCCTTAACCATACCTCTTTCAGGTTGTTGTGAGGATAGAACTTAACAATGTGTGGGAAAGTGCTTGGAAAAATACAAAATATTAAGCAAATAGGAGATGTTATCACCAAAGATTTGCAATTTACTTAACACACGTTGCTTTAAGAAAAAGAGCATAAAGTACAGAAAAGATATAAGTGATCCTCATGTTTTTCCTCAAAAATGAGAGCTAATGACCAGATGTTAAACACTAAATTAAATACACATACAAGTTAAAGCACCTTATGGTCAATATTTCCTTATCTGTTAATTTTTAAAACTATAACCCCCCGCTAAGACACAGCTATTACTGATAGCTCACATAATAATGAATTCAGCCAATACTTTATATTCCAGAAACTGGCTAAATCTTAAAGATACAGAGCTCAAAGACAGGGTCTCTGCCTTCAAGGAGCTCTCTCTACAGAAAAGGAAATAGGAATTGATTAAATAGAGTCACATAAGCTATGAAAGAGTTATGCATATAGTACAATACAGCAGATACATATCTTTGTACTGGAGTAGAGTTGACTTTAGATTAAATCCTGATATGTATTTGAATAATGTTTAAGTTCTCTGGAATTGATAATTGATAAAGCATTAAACAATATAATATAGAAACACTTTAATGAGTTAATTGAAAAGTTGTTCAATTTTCCTTATTAACTCTTTGCTGACCAATGCGTCATGTTAGAGAGAGAGAAATTCATCTCTCAGATTTTTTTTAAAGCAGGCTTAAACAAAAATTGTTTCGTGTTTTCTTAAATTCACTGCATTTTTATTTTATCATTCCCTTGTGCAGGAGAAGGAATTTTTATTTTCATCAGAGACAACCAGAAAATTAATGTTTCAACTCTCCCTGAAAAATCCTTCTAAAATGTACCCTTTCTTCTTTAGTCTGTATGTATGGGCAATGTGTCCCAATTGAAGCTGTCTTTTTCAGCTAAAGACTTTTCCAAGTCTTTAGGAGTGAGTTGAGTATCAGTGATCCAGGTAAGGTACTATAAATACAGAAGAAACAGTAAAGTGTGTTGATCTTTACTCCCAAGGTAGAGGACACAGGGAGAGGTGGGAGTAAAAGTCAATTTAAAGACAATTAAATCTACTAGAAAAACTCTTATTGTGATTACATTTTTTTACAAGAAAAAATATCTGAGATAACTGATCTATGTTGAATATAGGCTAAAGGTTCACTGAAAGTAGTTTGATGGAAGAGCCAGGCTACACAGGAGTATAAAAGTAAGCATGAAATAGTGAAAAGACTCAAAAAGTCTTTATCATCCTTTGTTTACTTATGCCAATAAGAGCTTGAAAGCTGTATTTGCAAAGGCTAAAACACAAAGCAGATAATCTCTCAATGGATAATTGAGTCGACACTATTAAAGTCTGGGAGTTTTAAAGGCAGCAGATGTAATGGCTTTCATTTCTAGAATTTAAAAACTCAATGAGAAAAGAAGAAGTAAAAATAAATAAATTGAAACAGAAGCCAATATATAACCCACTATAGCTATGCAAATAATTATTTTTCCATTTTCTTCTGATCTCTTTCACCTTTCTTTTCCATATTTTACCCCTTCCCCTTTCCTACTTTCTCTTCTATAATGTCATTAAGCAAATACATAGCTTTTTCCATCTTCTCTACCTATATGCAGTTCCTAATAATTCCTGAATAATATCTTAATCACAATTTATAGCATATCAACAAATCTTAATCTAGCTCACATCTCATAAAAGACACAAACATATAAAAGTGTGACCAAGAAGGAAAAAGAGAAAGCCTAGACACCTGAAATACTCATGTCTAATTTGAGCTCTAAGAATTTAAAGAATCATATATATAGAAAGGAAAAAACAGTGATCTCTAAGAACTTGAGATGTTTTCCCTTTTAATTTAAAAAGAGAATTTTAAAAATATATCAATTTTGGTATTAGTTTCTTTATAAACCTTTATTTTGAAAAGAAAAAAATTTTAAAAGTCCAACGAAAATAAATATATAAAAGCCATCATAGCAGATGTAGAACACTTGCAGAACTATTCCTTTGCATGCTATTTAGAAGTCAGTTTGTCTGGGATGCAGTCTTCCCTCAATTCAATATTTTAAATTTAAAAAATTAGAAGCATATCAGGAGAAGAAAAATAAGCAAATTCTTTTCAATACTTTTGAATATCTGAATTTTTATACTTAACAACTAAAATATTCAACTACAGATGGCTCTTGCCACAGTATCCTCAAATTCAGCAAACTTACTGCTTATTAAATTAGAAGAGAAAAAAAACCAAGAGAGTGAACTCTATTTTAAAAACTCAAACTGTTGATAAAACTTCACTTGGTCCCACTGCCATGAACTGGCAAGCTTATAGGACACAATGGTAACCATGGTCCAATTATAATGGGTGTAAAGGGTAAATTAAGTAATGGTAGTAGACAGACGAGGATTGTCTAATTAGATACCTTGGAAGAAAAATGTGGCTTCCTCGCAAAGGCAGTGTTTTCTGATGTTCTATCCTAATATAAATATGCTTTTGTATCTTGTATCAGTTTTACCTTCCAAATGAATCCCAAAGAAAGAATCTTGTGATAAAGAGTAGCTTTGCTAGTGTTCCTCTTGGTTAGAAATGGGAAGATGATGAATTTTTAAATGTCATGATAAGGACCTATACAGTTACAACATTTAGTCACATTTTTCTATGGAATTACTGTGTCCAATATATACTGGTCTTTTAGAAGCCAAAGTATAATATGAGGGGCTGATAGGTAGAAATAACTAGAGGGGACTTCAACTGAAAACAACTTATTCTTAACTGACAAGCACAAACCTACAAATAGGAAACTAAAAAGCACATTTCCATAGAAACAAAACATTACCTCCAATATAATACGAATGAATACATGAGGGCTGAGGGGATCACAAGCATCACCCTTACAAGAGTGAACTGGAATAAGGCACAGATGAATTCTAAAAAGAAGTGAGATAATATGTTTTAATATAAGGAATAGGCAAAAATTGGCAGGAAGGAAAGAACATTACAGTCATGGGAGCACGAATAAAAAGAAATCTGCAAATCAAGTTTAAAAAGTAAATCTTTTTCCAAGATTTGTTAATATAAATACGTAATTATTTTTAGCACCTTTAACATATCACCATAAATAAATCCTGAAGAGCCAGGCAAGGAACTGTATGTTTGTGTCTAGATTGGAATATAACTACCGTATCTAATGCTCTTAAAGTTCATTTAATAACAATAAAAATAACAAATCTGATTCTTCCCTTTCAGGCATAAACTTAAATAGTTAAGAGGGTATAAAAGCCTAAAGTAGGGCAAGTTTAATTCTATAATATTAGTAGTTTATTCATATCTTGATGCAGGAAGGGA
Source organism: Homo sapiens (assembly GCF_000001405.40). Classification (NCBI taxonomy): domain Eukaryota; kingdom Metazoa; phylum Chordata; class Mammalia; order Primates; family Hominidae; genus Homo; species Homo sapiens. Next base: position 81,711,187 of record NC_000005.10, read on the forward strand.
ATTAAATAATTAGGTGCTTGTCTTTAAGAGCATCTTTCTTAGAACTAAAACAAAAGAAACAATAGGCTTTTATGTTTTTAAAGACTAAACTCAGCTAGTTGATTCTGCTCAATAAGTTATCAATGAAATATCTATTCCAAATATACCAAAATATAACAATTCACCTTCAAAATAATTAGTATTTGATTTTATCTAAAAAAGAAACATTTTCCTACAGCTCATCGCTTTGCCAGAAATTTACCATATGCTTAAATAAAAGCATAAAAAAGCAGGAGGCAATCTTAGAAAAATGTGAATCAATGACAGTTCAATAGGAGAGAATTATCAGAAATATATCCATTGTATAAGAGGGAAAGAAGTTGAGCCTTTTAGGACATGCCAGAAAAGTCTAAGGTAACAACTTATCTTCAGATATATCACCAACAGTAAGTCTGCATACTATTTATGATAAATAAAGCCTAAAGAGATAATAAATTGTAGTAGACAAAATTGATCACTCTACATGATAAAAAAAAAAATAAAACCTTTATCTCATCCAAAATAATCCCAACAGTATATGGAGGTAGATTAGCATAATGGTTAACAGTGTGGGTTCTGGAGCCAGACTACAGAGATTTATATTCTTACTCCTCCACTTCCTAGTTTAGCCATGTTGACTATGGAAAACTACATAATCTTTCTGTGCCTCGGTTTCCTCACCTGTAAAGGGAGGAAAATAAGAGTCCCTATTTCATAAAATTGGTGTGAAATTTTAAAAATTAATACAGGCCTAGCACTTAGTGCACAACTATAAGCTATTTAAGCTATTTTTATTATCACTGTTGCTAGTATTATAGTTTAAACACCATACTGAATCTTCAGACATTTCTTTGGATTACCTATTGTAGCTATTATTAACCACTAGCTCTTCAGTTAAAATATCAAAAATTATGGTCTAAGTAAGTCATACGAGATCTAACCTGAAACAGAGCTTGTGAATAGACAGATGGATATTCATAAGACCTTCTAATAAATGGGCAAAAATAAAGAAAAGTTTATGTGTTTCTGCTCCTGTTTGGATTCCAAAGCACTGCTGGCTTATACCCTCCAGCCACATAACAGTTAAGAATATGCCTTTGTCATCTATCATATGTTAGAAAAGGGAAAGGATCATGTCTTTAAAAAATAAAGATTACAAGGCCGAGGCGGGTGGATCATGAGGTCAGGAGATCGAGACCATCCTGGCTAACAAGGTGAAACCCCGTCTCTACTAAAAATACAAAAAATTAGCCGGGCGCGGTGGCGGGCGCCTGTAGTCCCAGCTACTCGGGAGGCTGAGGCAGGAGAATGGCGTGAACCCGGGAAGCGGAGCTTGCAGTGAGCCGAGATTGCGCCACTGCAGTCCGCAGTCCGGCCTGGGCGACAGAGCGAGACTCCGTCTCAAAAAAAAAAAAAAAAATAAAGATTACAGATTTCTGGCTAAGGATGGTAGGTTGAACTTACATTTACAGGCACACTGTCCCACCAAAATGAAAGTAAAGGGACTTTTTGTTTGTTTCTTTGTTTTTTTTTTTTTGTTTTTTTTGACACAGGGTCTCACTCTGTAACCCAGACCGGAGTGCAGTGGTGCAATCATGGCTCACTGCAGCCTTGACCTCCTGGGCTCAAGTGATCCTCCTACCGCAGCCTCTGGGACTACAGGTATGCGCCATCATGCCCAGCTAATTTTTTTTGTATTTTTTTGTAGAGACGGAGTTTCACCAGCTTGTACAGGCTGATCCTGAACTTCTGGGCTCAAGCAATCCACCCACCTCAGCCTCCCAAATTACTGGGATTACAGGGGTGAGCCACCACACCTGGCCTAAAGGGATGTTCTTTTAAGGCTTAAATTTGCAAGGATGAAGAGTCCACCAGATGAAACAACAGTAACAAAATTATGGTAAATCACTTTTCAAACCTAAGGAATCTGAATACTAAACAGACAAAAGAGCAAATAGGGTTAGTATTACATAATAGAATCTCCAAATGGCTAAATTTGCAGTACCAGGTACCTCTGGAAGTGAGAGAAAAAGTTTACAAACAGGAGGATTAAAAAAAAATCTGTTTAAAAATCTGTAAGATTCCAAACTCCCCACTCCACCCCTCCACACTCCAAACAGGGGAACACCCCTCCCCAACCCCAGCAAAAGACTTGGAGATTTATTCTCTTGGTGGAGATTTTTTTAATGGTCTTATTATTACTAAAAAACATAAGGCAAGTTTAGAACAGGCATATCACACTAAAAAAGAAAAGAATAAAGAAAAAGTTTATGTGTTTCTGCCCATTTGGATTCCAAATCACTGCAGGGTTATACCCTCCATCCACTAAGAGTCTTCCCTAGGGAATCTGACCAGCCTAAAATAAGACACTTAAAAGATGTACATCGCCAATAAAACAGCCTACCAGATTATCCTAAACAGAAACCCGTAAGTCTACAAGCCTCATCCAGAGGCACAGAACTACTACTCCACTCTTTAGAACTTTTTTTAGAATGCATCAGTGAACAACCACTACCACACATTTAAGGAGAGCCTGAAATAGGAAAGACAGAGACCAAAGCAAGCAAACAAACAAACAAACAAAAAGAGTAACTTGGAAGAAACAAATAATAGGTAAAGAGAAGAAAATTTCCAAAAACTATTCTTAACCTTCAAAGAGATAAAAGAATACAAGCAACCATGAAACAAAAACTGGATTTTTATTATTTTTATTATTATCATACTTTAAGTTCTGGGATACATGACCAGAATGTGCAGGTTTGTTAGATAGGTATGCACATGCCGTGGTGGTTTGCTGCACCCATCAACCCGTCATCTACATTAGGTATTTATCCTAATGCTATCCCTCCCCTAGGCCCCCATCCCCCAACAGGCCCTGGTGTGTGGTGTTTCCCTCCCTGCGCCCATATGTTCTCATTGTTCAGCTTCCACTTATAACTGAGAACAGGCGGTGTTTGGTTTTCTGTTCCTGTGTTAGTTTGCTGAGAATGATGGTTTCCAGCTTCATCCATGTCCCTGCAAAGGACATGAACTCATCCTTTTTTATGGTTGTATAGTATTCCATGGTGTATATGTGCCACATTTTATTTATCCAGTCTATCATTGATGGGCATTTGAGTTGATTCAAGTCTTTGCTATTGTGAATAGTGCTGCAATAAACATACATGTGCATGTGCCTTTATAGTAGAATGATTTATAATCCTTTGGGTAAATATCCAGTAATGAGACTGCTGGTCAAATGGTATTTCTGGTTCTAGATCCTTGAGGAATTGCCACACTGTCTTCCACAATGGTTGAACTAATTTACACTCCCAACAGTGTAAAAGTGTTCCTATTTCTCCACATCCTCTCCAGCATGTTGTTTCCTGACTTTTTAATGATTGCCATTCTAACTGGCATGAGATGGTATCTCATTGTGGTTTTGATTTGCATTTCTCTAATGACCAGTGATGATGAGCTTTTTTTCATGTTTGTTGGCTGCATAAATGTCTTCTTTTGAGAAGTGTCTGTTCATATCCTTCAACCACTTTTTGATGGGCTTGTTTTTTCTTGTAAATTTGTTTAAGTTCTTTGTAGATTCTGGATATTAGCGCTTTGTCAGATGGATAGATTGCAAAAATTTTCTCCCATTCTATAGGTTGCTTGTAAAGCAACGGCAACAAAAGCCAAAATTGACAAATGGGATCTAATCAAACTAAAGAGCTTCTGCACAGTGAAAGAACTGGATTTTTTTTTTAAGTAGGAGGTCCAGTAACAAGAGAATTGTTTTAATCTGTGGAGGGTTGGAAGATAAAACTGAGGAAATCGCCCAATAAAGGAAAACCAAAATAGAAAGATGTGGAAAATATTTAAGAGAAAAGATAATAATTAGAGGGGCAATCCATATTCCTACTACATCAAAGAAAATGGGGATTCTAAAACACACCCACACACTCACAGAGACAGACAGGAGGGGCTGGGGAGACAGGGGGAGAGACAAAATCAAAAGAACTAACTCAATAAAATTGCCAGAACAGAGTAGGATTTTCTAGGTCAAAAGAAGCCACCAAGTACTCAGGTTGCTACTTGAGAATGTGTTCCACCAAAATAATGACCTAACAAAAAGGAAATCAAGCAACAGGGGATCCAGCACAAGAAAGAAATTCTTAAGATGATGAGGATGCTAAGGAAAATAAAGAGTCCAAGATAACAACTATGCCAAAACCAGGTAAACAACCAGTGTAGATTAGAACAAGTTAGAAGAATCTGAGAGCTACATCATTAAGAACATGAAATTAATAGAATAGTTAAGAAGGTATTTACAAACAGAATAGAGTTTGGGGATAAACCAATGATATGTTCATAGAAAACAAACCTACCTTTTAACAAGTATAAGTATTCCACTGAAAATAAAACTGTGTACAAGAAAGAAAAAGTAACCATAGAATACTACTACATGGCAAAACTATAAATAGCATTTAGTCATAATCATGTAAACATTAAATACTGATATAATCAAAATTAGAATAACTGTACTGGGAGGATGGGAAGACAAGAAATGTGTATGTGACTACATTAACAAGATAGATGGCCAGGTGCAGTGTGGCTCACACCTGCAATCCCAACTCTTAGGAAGGCCGAGGCAAGAGGATTGCTTGAGCCCAGGAGTTCGAGACCAGCCTGAGCAGTATACTGAGATCTTGTCTCTACAAAAAAATTTAAAAATCAGCTGAGCATGGTAGTGTGAGCCTGTAGTCCCAGCTACTTGGGAGGCTGAGGCGGGAAGATCACTGTGCCCAGGAGGTGGAGGTTGCAATGAGCTATGATCGCACCACTGCACTTCAGCCTGGGTGACAGAGTGAGACCCTGTCTCAAAAACAAAACAACAACAACAACAAAAAAAAAACAGGACAGGTAAGAGGACAGAGTTCTTATCTTCCACTGTGGGAAGTCAATAGATAGCGTCAAAAAAAAAATCAAGTAGCAGCAATATAAACTTATTTGGATTTATGACAATAAACACCAAAAAAAATCAGCTAAAATAGTTGAAGTTGTTTGTCTACAAGAAGCAGGAAATGAGATAAGGGTAATAGTAGCCACTGTCGTCCTCCATTACAAGCCTCATAGGCCTATCTGACTGGTACTCTTTAAACAATGTGCTTGTAAAACACTGATAAAATGTGTACAAAACACTGATAAAATTAAATCAAAATTTAAAAAATTTCCTAATTATAACATTAATGCATGCTTACATAATTTGCAAACTGCTCAAAGAAACCAAGAATTAAGAAATTTTGCCATCCAGGTAAATTATTAATATATTGCAGCACTGCCTTTGAATTTTTGCCATACACACATACTTGTGTATATAATTTTTTTAAACTCAGGGTTCATGCTGAATATGCAAATTACATAAACTTTTTTTCAGTTAACATTCTATCATTAACCTTTTCTGATGTCCTTAAGTATTCTTTTAAAACTCCTTAATACTCCATTTTATCCTCCAGCATCACTTCTTCAACTTCAGGGTCTATGAAATACTAAGCATCCCAAAACTACTTGCATCATGACTACCTAACATAATGCCTTATTGTAAGTACACTGCTATTATGAAGTTTAGTATAAAGTAAACTTAAAAGTGACATGAACACATTTAAAGTTCAGATCATTTTTAAGAAAGGGAAGCATCAAGTATGTGTGTATCGCTCTGAAAAGACAGGTGAGGCTGATGTTTTATAATTTTTATACAATTAAGGAAATACATGGCCTGAACTTCACCAGAAGAATTTTTCATTTTAAAATTTCCTTCAGTTAATTGTTCTTTAAATACAATATTCATCATTTTAAATCATAAGAAAATAGAAGAATATTTATTGATTCTTAATATTAATATAACCTGCTGGAAGACATTCATTGATGGGTCTTCTCCCAATCCTGTACATATTGCTGGGTATGGCCAGAATGCAAGATCCTGACCACTTGTTACCAGGGCCGTTTGTCAGGGTTGTGTCTGCTATGAACTACCTTGAAAAATGAGGTAGTCACCCTCCAGGACAAAGAGCAGCCTTGCTTACTATAAAAGCAATGGATCCTCCATGCCCAGAGCTCCTCAGCTCCAGTCCACTATATGTACAGCATCTATCCGTAACATATTCTATCACCCCCATAAAACTTGGAGGCAAGGAGAACTGAAGAAAATATGCTAATGCTCATGCTGTTTCTATGCCATGAGTAATAAGGTCCTTTGCCTCTGACTTAGGAGTCTCATGCCTTCTACATGACATGTAGAAGCATCCAAGAAATAGTAAAAGTTTACTTATAGAGTGAAATCAAATTCCAGACCCATTAACTTACCTCTTGGCAATTCAGACCCCAGGGATCAAATATATGACATTTAAATAATTAAATAATACTGTCATTTCTTCCTTCCCACCCATTTTAAACAAGCATAATATATGAAAAACCAAGGTCCCCACAAAATTTAACTTACTGTACATTTGTTCAAGACTTTCTACCAGCTTCTATTAACCTTTTTTGCTGCTTCAATCCATCTGTCCCCAGCCAAATAAGATCCATGATTCTACTTACATTTTCAATGCTCTTTTTCATTCTACATATTTCCTAAGAAGAGTTTTCTGGCATTTTATCTCTCCAGCCATAAGACATAAAACCTGCACCTAAACAATTCACAAAGCCTACCTAAAAGGTACCAGAGCCAATCAATGGAGGATACATGGTTGTGGTCTCTCCACGTAAAACAAATGTTGTCAATATACAGCTGACGCATGCTGGTGCCTCTTCAGACTTCACTTCTAACTTTGTAAGCCCCTGGGAACTCTCTTGTACCGCCCTTAGGATGCTAGGTGTGGTTTTTCATCATTTATTTATAAGATTTTTTCTTCTGAATCATAGACCTTAATACCCACCCAGACTTTTAAGCAAATAACAAGAAATAATATTTCTTTAAAAAGTAGGGAAAGAAGCTCATAACAACACATTATGCGCAGGGAAATGTATTTTAGGAATTGACATAAGAAGGAGGATGGAAGAGGAAACTATCAGGGTTTTTCATTGTAGCTATAATATAAACAATGTACCACAGAGATAGGATTCAGAGGGCTAAGAGGAATGAGTAGACCCAAAGTGACTGCTAGCAAAGAAAAACCCATTCGAATGCTGAGAAAAAATAGCCGATAACAGTGATAAGAGAAAGAAAACAGAGAAAGATCTAGTAGTTTTGAAAGCAGGCAAAGTAAGCTAGCTCATGTCAGAGGTTATCCAGCAGTTACCAATCAACCTCCTACCGGAAGCAGAGGTCAAGCTGCCGAGGTGGGAAACCTAATGAAAAAAACATCCCTACATTCAAAGGAACGTGACTGAAACTTAAGAGATTAGGAAGTTGGTGGGGGCTGAGGGCTTCACCAGCTTCACTGGGAAAGCTCTGAACTGATACTGTTCTACGTTAGTTAAATTTATTAACACAAGTAAGATAAGACTGTAAGTTTCACATTTCAGTTATTCCCAGGAGTGCCACATCTGAAAAGAGGGTGTCAATTTATCAATATTCAATGAGACTATATTCCTGGGGAAATCTAAGTAAGAAATGCACTGATTAGCGTCTTCCATGATATTTAGCTACAAGTAATGCCACTGCAAGTAAGTCTGTAACTTCTTTAACCATGAAAAGTAGTTTGGACCACGGAAATTGTAATGTAAATTTCTAAGGACATTTCTAATCCAGATATTGCTATGAACCTCTTACATAAATATCTCACTTAAAATATAACTAACGAACACTAAATTTTTGGGGGTTTGTCCATTTTCCCCCGTTTACATTTTTTATAATAACAAGTACATTTTTGATAGAATTATACAGTATCACTCTTCAGTAAACATTTTGTTTATTCCTACAATGTTTCTAGTGAAACATCCTTGTTTATGCATTAGGATCCAGACGAGGTTGCCACAGGTTTCAACACAAAGTATGACAATAAACTCCTGCTACAGAAATTCATGGGGTGTTTTCAAATCGTAAGGAGCAGAAGGCTCCACACCTTCTGCAGCCATGAGCAGCTGCTCCAGGACTTATAGCCACCACTGTTTGACCTTTCCCCATGCCCATCCCCGCTTCCTCCAAGAGCTAAAGCCAATCCTGAAAAAGCAGAGGGCTGATGATTAACTTCATCCAGCCAAACCTGTTACTTCTCAAAAGAGATGTCCTGTATGGGCTTCTTAATATCCATAACATGGTGTGGACATTGAGAAATTCCTGTGACAGTGGAATCACTGTGGGTGCCCAAGGTTTCTATCCATCTTGATTATGAGCTTGAATTGAGGCTTAGCCAGAGACAGCAAAGGGTACTCCAGAAGAAGGCTGGCTCACGTCTTAAAATGTACCCAGGTTTTGTTTTCTTTGAGTGTGATAAAATGACAGGCACAGAGACAACTGCCTTGGGAAGAAGAGTTTATTACTCGCAGTTCTAGGAGGAGGAGGCATGCCATGAAGCACAGGTCCATATGGGAAGGCACCAGGGTCAGTCAGGAGGCAGAAGGAGACAGGGGAAAGCATGGCACAAGCCTTTATTATGGTTTTCAGCAGAAAAGGCCAATGCAGGGCAGGGTAAACAGTTTAGGACTGGCTGGTTTGAGAAATTTCAGTGGGCTCCAGGGTGTAAGAACCATCCCTAGTTGCCTGTTACCTGGCCCTGGGGTGTAAGTTAGGGTAGGGGGATAGTGGCTCAATCTGTGAAAGCTCAATAAAGGAGGTAGCTGGCAGTATGGGCTCTAGATTGGCTGTTTTACATATGAAAATGCTCACAGGAGAGTCATTTGCTATCTCTGGGAATTATCCAGCCCTGGAGGAGTAGTCTGCCCGCAAGCCAGCAAGGCCCCAAGATGTCAAAGCATCATAAAATACAGAAAATAAAAAATATGGATGATACAGCTCAGATTGTACTTCTGGGCTCAGAGCCCATCCAGATTTTTACTTCTTTTATAAACTCTGGTAACATCAACCATTCTCAGCTCCAGAATTTCCCTAAATTAAAAGCCTTCTTTGGCCCTAGAAGCACTACCAATCCTACCTCCACACTGTGTCACCACTACCATGCACTGGAGATAAATGTAAACAGAGTATTCATTCCAAATGGTCTTCCCTTGGTTTAATACTGACTGTCTGTATCATAATTTAAAATCTGTATCACAGCCTACCAAAATAATGACATGGTCTTTGCTACAACTTCTGAGAAAGTCATACTACTGCTGTCAGAATCTTTCAGAACACTAAAGCTTCAGGTGCTAAAACAGCATATAGGCTAAGCTTTTCAAGTTATACTATTAGCTTCTGTTTAAATGTTTGCATAAAATTTCAACAAAAGGAACACAAAAATAATGCTTCAAGATTTCAAAGACATCACTAGTGTTTATCACCTTATAGACGAAAAGCAAGGAAGCTGACTAGATAAATATCAAGGCACTTCCCCCCTCTCTGCCTCTAAGCTTCTGAACAAAATTTTTGCTCTACTTTAAAAATGTCATCAGTTATGCATTTTTAGGAATCACAGTTTGGTTTGACATCATACGGAACAGTAGATATTTAAGCAGAGGAAAAGCTTGAATCTCTGTATTGATTTTCTAACTGGTAAGATTCATTTTACTGTTGAACTGTTACACACATTTTCCTGATTATTCCACATAAAAGTAAAACTAGGTCTGTTTAAAGTATACACACATATATAGCACATCAATAACCTGGGGTTTTCTTTTTACTATATTGTTTTTATAATCACAGACATGCTTGCTAGGTAATACAATCAACATGAAACAAAATATTAGGTAGAAGACTGGTTTAAAAACAAAACTAAATGGAAATAAAGCCAAAGATATACAGATTTTCAGGGATTTTTATAAAGAGCCACAATAGTAGGAAACCTAAAATCTGTCAACTGTTAATCAAGTCTGGATGGATACCATAAAAAATATAAACCTACTACTGCTTGATGAGATGTTTAGTTACAGCATCTGAATATGGCAATCCAATCTGTATGCTTCATACTAAGGCATCTAGTTAATCCTTCTAGATCAGGCTTGAGAATCACACGACCTAAAAATGTCCCCGAATATCTTTCCTAACTTCTATACAACTCTTCCAACACAGACAACAAGCAAAAACAAAAACAAACAAAAATCTTACAGGTAGCTACTTCAGACTGATGTCCCAGTGAAGCACCCAAATGAAAAAGCTCATGAACCAGTTCACACACTAAGCAAAATACAAAGAACCAAAAACCGACTAAGGTTACGTTCCAACCAAGTCCTATACACAAACCAAAGAGTTTTATAATGCCAAAATCTGTAACAGAAATCTAATTCTTTAGCAGTTCAGTATCCAGTGACTAACTAATCAACATGGAAACTGAAAACAAAAACAAAAACAAAAACAAAAACTAGGCAGCCATGAAGCCTTTTCAAAAATTGGCAATCAAAACCTTACTATCCTGTAGCAAATTCAAAACCTGAACTAAATTCTCTAAAACAACAGAACTCTCTAACAGATTATGAGATCACAGACATGACATTTAGTTTCCTGAACCATTTCATCAGCATCATTATAAGGAATCAAATGCCTTTGTAAAAATGAAACAAAAAAATCTCCAAGTTCACTGATGGAAAATGGATAATTTGTTCAAAAACACTGGACTCTATGCACATGAGTATCACCTCCTGATTACACCTTCTCTGCTGCTTCATCCCTATACTGGTCCATTGGGGCACCCTGATCTTTACTAAAAGTTATGGTCTAAACACAGAAAAAACAAAAAAAAATCTTTCCTTCCCTTAGTTCTTAGCACTGCTGACACACTCTAGCATTCCTTCAACTAACATCTACTGCCCAAATGCTATATGCCAGGTCCTATATTATTCATTTGAATTTTCTAAAAGATTTTACAAAATGCTAACGAAAAATAAAAGGGAAATAAACAACAGCAAAAAGAATACAAAATATCCTGGCTTACATCTGAATTAAGCATTAGGATCTTACTAGATCCCTGCCCAGCAGGTATTGATGGCATGATGAAAGCCTTGTCAAAAATACTGCTAAGATAACTATACTACAACTCTCCAAAAGTGAAATATAACTATACAGGCACATTGTGAAAGTTCCTTGCTTTCCAGCTCAAGGTCAGTCGCCTTACTCTCTTCAGTATAATTTTGTTTTTTTTTTTTTTCAAAATGAGGGCAAAGAGAACAGTTCAAATCTTGCCACTTAATTCTCATTTCTGGGCTAGGAGACCTACCTTTCTCACATTTAACAACTATAGCATTCTTTTACAAGAATGGCATGCCCTGCTAAAGAATTCTGGAAACATTCAGATAATACCTAGCCAATGAAGATCCTAAGATTATTGCAACAGAGAAACAACTTTAGTCCCTAGTTACATGACCTTGAGCATGCATTTGTTTTCTCTAAGCCTTTGTTTCCTCATCATATGATGTTAGTAAGATTAACCTCACATGGTTGTTTTAAGTATAAAGTACACCAGTGTAAATGAAGGGCCTGGCATAATGTGTGCTACCTGCAGAAACACATAGTATGTCTCTTCCCTTTAAGTATGCATAAAAATCCAACATCAGAGAATGGACAAAACTGTGACACACCATCTTCTGGTGTACATGCATAATCACAATATCAAAATTCTACTTACTTCCAGCTCAAATAAATCCTTCCCTGATTTATATCTAGCACAATTGCTTTCTTTCCCTTTTGATGAAACCTCAGACACTTTACCAGTATCTATTAACATGATACTGTAATTATTTATACATATATTCTCCATGTGAAAAATTAACTTAAAGCCAGAAACTCTTATTCTTCTTTCCTTTCTTTATGCTAATTAAAGAAGTTTTTGAAAGTAAATTAAGACAAATCTCTTTTAATGCTTATCCATTTAGGAATAAAAGGACTACGTTGAATAACAGAAGTTTCTATACAAGTTAACAAATGAGTAGTTAGCACTTTCTTTGAGATTACATAACTTCTTCCCAAATTGTTATACATTGTTAGTAAGAGTTATATATTTAGTAATTTGTCCCTTGAGAAGGTTCTTGGTTCTCTGGAAGAGGAAAAATTCATAATGACCAGTTAATGATGTCAATGTAGTTGATTACTGTTGTTAGTAGAGTATACAAATTAATTTCCCCCAACTCCATTTTTCTCTTGCTTCTAGTCCCCATAAAAACATAAAGAATAGTTTTATTCTATCTGCAGCTTGTAAGTATTCACAATGGTACATAAAAGAAACACACAGAGTAAAAGTTTGACCCTGAAAGTTGGGAGAATGAGTAGCTCTGGATACCTCTAAATTGATGCGCATTAACCCAAGTGCAGGCATATCTTTAACTGTTTTTTATTGAAACTATTAACACCCATTTCTCTGCCTCTTTAAACAAAACATCAAGAATATATTTAAAGGTCTTCCTGATTTCTGAGTCATCATTACTTACACAAGTATCAATTATTGAGCTACATCTCAATACCTCCTATAGATACTATTGCCCCAGACAGTAAGTACTCCATATAGACTGTTGGACCAGACACGGTATATATCATTACCAAGACATAGCAACAGGGACAATATTATAGACTAGTGTTTGTCCTCTGTTCCTACCTATTCATTTCCCCAGAGTTGAGGAAGGAGTTATGTATTTATCCAACAACCTCACTTCTCTATCTTCTGTCTTTTCTATGCTTCTTTGCTGAGGTGCCACTTGCGCTACCACTACAATTTCTATCACTTCTAACCAAAACACTTAACTCTGCTGCTCTCTTCTGTCTTCTCTGCTGCTTTCAATCAACTGCCCATCCATAAGAATGCAAAAACTAATTACTAAAAAACACAGCATAATACTATGAAAGCACACATTTATTTTTTAAATCAACATATATTTATAATAAATTCCAAATAAACTTTAGAGTAAGTGTGTTGAGGTATGCAAAAAATCTTACTGAAATTTTTACTGTGGTTGCACTGAATACACAAATTAATTTGGGGAGAACTGGCATCTTTAAAACATTATGTCATCCCATGGTAATTCTCTTCTATTAGTTATGTCTTTTTTCATATCCTTTAATAGAGTTTCATAATTACTCCATAATGATCTTTTGCATTCTTTTTAAAGGTTAGCTACTTGATTGTTCCTATTACGAATGTTGCTAAGTCAATTTTTTAAAAGGGGGAGGACTTGCCCTATCAGACTTTAGAACACAGTGCAAAGCCACTGTATAAAAAACATTGATACTAAACACAAATAGACAACTGATCAATGAAATATGAGAAATAATTCGTACATAGTAAGTGTGTACTACCAATCAGCAGGAAAAGTGCAAACTGCTTGTATTCTACAGGAAGAAAAATAAAATCACCCCCCACACCTCACAGCCTATACAAAGGTAAACTCCTAAGAAATTACAGACCCAAATATAAAATATAAAATTATAAAGCAAATAGAAAATGGAGAGGGATATGTAATATCGGGTTAGAAGAGCATTTCTTCAGACCACAAAAACACAAACCACAATGTGTTGATTTACATGTTGTGACGTGATGATTTAACCACTTGAAAATTAAGGATTCCTTATCAAACGCAGCTACGATGGACAGAAATAACAAATTATAACAACATCTAAAACCAACACAGGTTAATGTCTAGAATATTCAAGACGCTCCTATTGAGTAGGCAAAATGGACAAAGGATATAAATAGCCAATTCATGTTTATTTATTCAACAAATATTTATAGAGAACTTACCTTTTTAAGTGCTAGGGATACAGGTGTGAACACAGGTAAGGTCTCTGCCTTCAAGGAACTTGAGCAGAGAAAATAAATAAATACATAACATAATATAAGGTTTTGTTGTGATAAAGACAATGAAAGATAAAGCAGAACTCTCTGGGGACATGACATTTAAGAAGAGATCTGAATGGAGTGAGTGAGCCACGTGAATAAGGGGAAAGAGTTTTTTAGGCATAATAAAACAGCAAGAATGGGAGGTCTTAAGGAGAACAGAAAACAAATACGTGAAGAGATAACTAACCTCACTAATAATCAGAGAAATAAAAATTTAAATAATATACCACTTTACAAATGAAAGATTGGCAAAAATATAATGTAAGTTAATACAGAGTGCCAGTGGAAATGGAGGAAAAGAGAACTACTATGTACTCCTAGTGAGAATGTACACTAGTACAGACATTCTGGAAATCAAGTTGGCAAAACTTAGTGAAATGAAGTATATGTATATATACCCTATTATCCAGAGATCCCACTCTGAAAAATCAAAGTTCTCCCAAAAGCCCATAAGAGGACATGTATGAAAATGAAAATCAAAGTTGTCTGTGGTAGCAGAATATTACAGACAAACTAGGTGACCATCACCAGAGGGCCAGAGATGTGGTAAGTGCATTCACTGACATACCTAGAGCAGTTACAAGTTATGAAACAGATATACAGAGATCCAAATGGGTAGCGGTTTTTTGATGTTTTTGGCACTGAAATACAGTTTTAAAAAGTCTCAGATTTGCTTCAAAATAATACAGTTTGCAGAGGTGGAGTTGTGGGGAGGAGGCACTAGGGGAGGAATGGTTAATAATATGAAGCAAGATCAGCTCTGAGCTGATAATTGTTGATGCTGGATGATGGACACATGGTGGGTTGATACTTTCTCTACATTTGGATCTGTTTGAAGTTTTCTATCATAAAAGGCATTTTAACATGTTGAATGAAAAAAGAAACAGAAGATCTTTAGCACAATATAATTTATATAAATTAAAAATATGTGTGCATAAAACAGCACCATATATTTTTTAAAGAGACAGACATATTCAAAAAAACATTAGTACGAACATCTATGTAGGCAGAGAATTAGAATGAATACTGGGGATAAATGAGAACTATTTTAAATAAAACAAGAGAGGAGTCTTGCCAAAAGCTGATAGTCTGTCATTAATCTGAGGAGTTTGATGAATTCAACTTTTTGCACCTGAGGTCAGAAAAGAAACACTGAACAAATACAGAGCCCTCCGGGACCACATAGGAGATGTAACTAAATCTGATTTGGGAGGAGGGGGTATTCCTGCCCCATACCTTAGACACACTGAATCATAATCTCTGGGATCAGGCCAAAGGTTCTACTGTTCAATTTCCATTTCAGAGGAGAAACAACAGTACAGTAAGTGAAATAATATTCCAAGCTCACAAACCGGCAAGTGAAAGGGGTGGAATTCAAGCCCAGGGCCAGAACTGCCACTGTTATTCACTGTGCTACCAATGCTGCACTATTATACTTAAAACCTGCATACTATTACCAACTGAAGTTCCTAAACTGTTATTGTATCCCACAATGACACTGCTCTTAGCAACCACAGAGAAAATTAAATTCTATATAGTTTATATACCCCCAATCATCCTCATCTACTTTTTCAACAAATATCCCACTTTTCTCCAAGATAAATCCTCTCTTCCAGTCACACTAGTCCTCCCTACTGCTTCCAGGATACCCACAACACTTCTAAGCAGTTTCTCCAAACTAAAATACCCTCAATTCCCTTCTATATTTATTTATATCCCATTCATCCTACACGGTCCAGTATGCAGAACACTTTCACAGCATTAATTGAATGAACTAAAGTCCCACAGCTGCTCCATGAGGTTTCCCTGATGACTTCAGCACATACCTTTTCCTCCTTTAATTTCTTTTGCACTTACTCTGTACGCCATTCAATTAGCACCTTATTACAGTAACACCCCATTTATCCAGCGTCATTGGGAAAGGAAAGTGTTCATCAGAAGCAAATTTTCCAGAGAACCTAAGCATTAATTTAGGAAGCGGCAAAATAGAGTGAAAATAGTGCCGACTTTAGTTACAAACAGACCTAAGTTCAAATCCCAGTTCTGCCACTTACTAGCTAAGTGTCTTTGGGCAAATATCAACAAACCTTTCTAAGTCTGTTGCATTGCCTATAAAGTAGAATATACTACTAACTTCACAACATTGTTGGGGGTATTAATCACATATGAAGAATATGGGCCAGGTGCAGTGGCTCACGCCTGTAATTCCAGCACTTTGGGAGGCCGAGGCAGGCAGATCACCTGAGGTCAGGAGTTCGAGACCAGCCTGACCAACATGGAGAAACCCTGTCTCTACTAAAAATACAAAGTTAGCCGGGAGTGGTGGCACATGCCTGTAATCCCAGCTACTCAGGAGGCTGAGGCAGGAGAATCACTTGAACCCAGGAGGCAGAGGTTGCAGTGAGCTGAGATCGCACCATTGCACTCCAACCTGAGCAACAAGAGCAAAACTCCACCTCAAAAAAAAAAATCTCATGCAACATTCTTTAAATCATGACTACAACTATTAGGCACTAATGCATTAAAATCATTTTATGGAAATATTCATCAAATGCGTATAATTTGAGATTTTTCTCAGAGGACAGTAAATATAAATTGAGCATCTCTTGATAACTCATAATTCATTCAACATTTGCTCATTCAATAAATATTTAACCAGGGCCAACTATAGGCAAAGTGACTAAGGATTCAAAAGAAAACATGGTAAACATGGTCCCTGCACTCATGGAGTTTAGAGTCTACTAGTAATTAACTAATTTCACTTTGTGTTACAGGATACAAGTGAAACAAGGTACAGGGTGGAGAATAAGGGAGGACCTACTTTAGAAAGGATGGTCAGGGAAGGCCACTGGAACCTGATAGATCAAAAGAAGCCAGCCATAGAAAGGGCTGGGGAAAGGGAACACTGTCCTGAGGTGTCACAGGGCTAGCATATTCAAGGACTGAAAGAAGGCTATGGGGGATCAGGAATAAAAGGGAAAATAGCAAGAGATGTGTCTGCAGAATTAGGCAAGGACCAGATAATTCAGCGTCCTGTGAACCACCGTTAGTCTAAGTTTTATTCTAAAGGTAATGGGGAGTGACATGACAAGATAGATAATGTAAATGCAACAAGCATTTCAGGAACAGATGACTTTTTCTTATCCCTTTTTGGAGTTACCATTGACAAATCTGACTTAGCACTTCCATTTCAAAACAAAAACGGCGACAATACAGTGCAATGATTTTCAAAGTTTTACTTAAAAGGGCAGCATCTTTTTTTAAATAAATAAAACATTTCATCTAAGATGGCCTCTCTTGTCCTCATTTCATATTATGTCACCTCCTTCAGTTCCTTCTATAACAGAGTTTGAAAACATTGGTATAGAGAACATTGGTCGAGGAGTCAGAAAATTTCAGTTATAGTCCTGACTATGACTTAACAGCCATATAACCTTGTGCAAGCCACTTAATGCCTTGACTCAACTTCTCCTTTACTAAAATGGATATAATGCCTGACATGCTTACCACACACAATAATAGTGTGGATCAGATGCAATAATTTGGGCGAGGAAAGCTGTCAACATCGAGAATGTAAACTAGAAACTATATATCTTACAGATTTTGTAATAAATTCTGGTTGCTTGATTGATGTCTGAATCATTTTAAAATATTAAAGCTCCAAGCATGAATTAACTTGCGCAAATGTCCAAGCCAATTAACAAATTAGTGGGTATGGCATTAAATGAAACCAACGCATCTACTGAATCCCTACTAAAACTGAGGCCCTATGCAATGCTATAACCAGTAACAAAGAAAAACTAAATTTGATGTTTAATAGAGAATGAAGTTTAATTTTTAAATTACTTATTGAGTCTTAAAAGTCAGTATTCTGTATTTTAAAATTAAGAGAATACCTTTCAAATGTCTCACCATAAAAAATGATAGGTAAGAGAGGTGATATGTTAATTAGCCTGATTTAATCATTCCACACTGCATACATATATCAAAACACCGTATTGTACCACATAAATGTATATAATTATTTTTCAATCAAAAATATTAAAAATAAAAATTATAATGTTAATGGGTTAAAAAATAAATATGCTGTCCTCAATTTCTCAATACTTTCAAAGTGTTAAACTTACTCATTTTTATGAATCACTGAATTAGGTTATATTTGCGCATAAAAAGTTCATCTGAACTAGCCTACCTTCAAATAGGTTGGCTTCTCTCTTTAAAAAAATATAAAGAAATAACGTGAAGATAGGAATTTTCAAGCAATTATAAAACAATGTGAAACAGTAAATCCCCTTTGCAGCAATTAGAAATAGGAACTGGATATACACACAGCAAAATGGGTAGGTCTAAATGATTTCCTATGGGGCTGGGGGTTGTAGAAATGAGGAACAGGTATAGAGAATAAATGAATGAGTAAATGAATGAATGTCAATTAAACAGCAGAAAGGCCTGACATGAACCAATGATAATACCATGCCATGAACTGAGGAGTATTAACTCAATACTCTATACTTAAAGGCTTACTCTCATAGTATTTAACACTATGAGTATTAGGTTGTGATTCATAAAATGAACATGTTTCATACTTTAAAAGCACTGAGAAATCTAGGACAGCATATTTTTGCTTTTTTAACCTTTAATTATATTTATTTTTAATATTCTTGATTGAAAAGTAATTGTATACATTTATGAGATACAATGTGGTATTTTCATATAACTTGTAAGTTATATATAAGCTAGACTTAGACATCTACACTTACAGAGGGTTGACTGAGAAATAAGTGGTTATATAGATAGGTCAAAATAAATAGTTATATAAATAGGCAAATACACTAGATAGACTAAATCACATAATTTAAAATACCTATTCTAAAGGATTGACCCTTAATTATTAATCTATTTTTAATGTAAAAGATATAGGGTAACAATTTTAGAAAATACAGATATACAAAGTAAATCTTGACAGGTATTGGAGAAAGGAAAAGATCAGATTTTACCAGTGGTTATTTCTTTTTTAATTAAATGAGATGAGGGATTTCTATCCTGTTTCATGAAAATAAATCACAAGTACTTTTTACTCTATTTTTAAAATGAACGCTTCATCATTACCAAAATTACAGAGTAAGTGTACTTTTAAAAGAATTTTTTTTTTGAGATGGAATTTCGCTCTGTCGCCCAGGCTGGAGTGCAGTGGCACGATCTCGGCTCACTGCAACCTCCACCTCCTGGGTTCAAGCAATCCTCCTGCCTCAGCCTCCCAAGTAGCTGGGATTACAGGCGCCCGCTACCACGCCTGGCTAATTTTTATAACTTTAATAAAGGCAGAGTTTCACCATGTTGGCCAGGCTGGTCTCGAGCTCCTGACCTCAGGTGATCCACCTGCCTCGGCCTCCCAAAGTGCTGCTATTGCAGGCCTGAGCCACCACACCTGGTCTTGAAATGTTTACATAGTCAAAAACATCTAAAAATCTAAAAATCTACAGTTTTACTTGAGCTTCAGCGAAAAAGGCAGGAGATTCTCAAATACATTTGTTCTTGGTATAATATAAGTCATAATATAAATTATAGGTCATAATTCTGATTTATATCTTATCTTTTAATTTTCCATTGACTAGATTTTAAAAAGAAATACAATCTGGTAGAAAGGAAAGAAAAGACTTTTTACAGCTCAGTCCAAACTAAAGTAGAAACTCAGGTTCCTTTTAAGTGATGAAATTGAAGCAGTTTCATATTGGATGAGAGATGAGCCAAATGATGAACATTTTACCTCCAGAATATTCTTCACTAAAAACGTACTTAATAAGCAAATGAAAAGAAAATAATTTCTAATATATTTTTATTGTGCACACAGAAAATTTACAATCTTAACCATTTTTAAGTGCACAGTTCAGCAGTGTTAAGTATATTCACATTGTTGTGAAACAGATCTCCAGAACTTTTCCATCCTGCAAAACTGAAACTCTATACGATTAAACTTCAATGAAAACAAGTGGGTTCCAATGTAGATTCTATAAATACTGAAATGCGTGCCCTTAAGTTTCTAACTGCTTTTGCCTCAGATTCTTTGTCCACAAAATAGAGTACAATATCTATCTCATTGGGACAGAAAGATGAGAATGATGTCATTAGCAGAACATCATTATGTTCCTTGGGTCATTCAAATATGTTAACAGTTTACTAAGAAATTATACATCGGCCCTTTATCTTTTTTAGAAGACCAAAGATAAAAAAATAGTAATAATAATGACTAATATTTTCATGGGGCAGAATTATTGCCCTCAAAAAGCAATCACAAAACAATCCATGCAACTGCCAAGCCAAATGAATCCTGGGCAATATCCTATGGAAAAATATCTTTACTTATGCCAAGTAAGAGAAAAGATTTCCTGGCGGCCTTAATAAGCTTCAGGCAAAAATGTTTACCTACTTCAAGTGTTCCAGTAGCCATTTCAGTAAAGGACCCTAAACAATACAAAGTCGATTACCTTACCCAAATAAAGTTCAATTAATAGGATTTTCTTCAATTTCCAGGTTTCAACACATCTATAGAAGAGATTATCATCCATGTTAAAAGATATTCTTTCCTTTCCCTTAAGAACAATAAACCATTAACTTGTAGATAACTTGGGAAGACTCATACCCAAAATTTTGCTTCTCTCCTCTATTGCTTATGTAAGATATGATGGTGATAAGATAAACCCCAAACAGAATTGTCTTTTATTATAATATTGTTATAATAAATTATATTACAATAATATAATTGATATAATAATATTAACTTAAACAGAGAAATGAAAAGTTTTATATTCATTTCAATTATGTCAGGAGAACAAAAACTTCTGCTGCTTCATCACTGCAGTGCATTGAGGCACTGGATTTCAAGGCCTTAAAATGGGCTTCAAAAGATGGTCTGTGATTTGCTGTCTTATATCAAATCGAGGTTACCTCTAATATCATCCACCTATGTTAATTAGAAGGTCTTAATAGTAATCCTAGAAATGCTACATTAAAAGTAGGAAAACATAATCAAAACCATAATTACATTTATTTCAGAAACTAAAATATGCAAAAATTAAGAGCATATGATGTTAAACCATCTGTTTCTTCATTTTTAAAAAATCCTTTCTCAGTTTCTAAATATGAAAACTATAATTCTCTTTTTTCAAAATGAAGTGGTATTCCATGATCTATAATATGAATAAATCAATATAAACATGTACTAAAAATTAGTAGTCTTTATGTAACAGAGTAACAATAATTTACAGTCTGGATTCCAACACATCCAATAGTAACACTAATGCACTCCGTAAATTTACTGTCAGCATCTTTTCATAATGTTTTAAATAAAATGATTTTGCTTTTACATATAAGCTATCACAACTCTACCAAGATTAAATGGAATCACTCAAACTTAATTTTTTTACCTAAATTCTAAATCATAATCTACCAGAAGAAATGACAATTTGCTTGTTTTTCCTATTTTGTTGCTCTTTATAAGAACTTCCTTTTTTCACAGGCACAATAAATTACATATGCAAATAAATAAAAGCAAAACAAGCAATCTGAATGTTGCTTTTATATGTGGTATAATGCTTTGCAGCCTGGTTACTTTGGGTGGGTCATACAGAAGAAATTGTGACTACAGGTTAAAATGAGTTTTGTGCAAGTGCACCTATAACAAAAGCAAAGTATCTTATACCCTTTCTAGTAAACATACTTTTTTAAAAAAAGATACCACCACCACCCCCCGCCTTCTAGCCCCTCACCCGCTGCTCAGCTATTTTGGAAGTCTTGTGCACTGCTGGGTAAGTGATCTCTTGTCATTTCAGACAATTAGAAAACAGTACATTTTAAAAAGATGATTTCTGTCTTTTAAAAAGTTGAATAAATGTTTCTCATTACTGGAAGGAAAGAGGTCTTAGAAAGTAATTCAAAGTTGTAAGACCCTCCAATTTGGGTAACTTCAAAAGATTTAAAGTTCTAAAATATTTCAATAAACTTGTTTGTTAAATATTATAGCCTTCCTAGGGAAAATAAATAGGCCTGGAATCCTCCAATAATAGATAAAAATCTTATTAAGCTCATTTTAGTGTCAATCGGCAAGATGACTGAAGGAAAAAAATATGAAGGCTCCAACAATCTCAGGATTCCACTAAATGGAAAATATACCTTGGAAATCAGTTATATTGACTAATAGAAGAGAACTAATCATACAGTAATAAACAAATATAGAGGGAAAAGAGAGATACTTATCTCTCTAACTTTCAAACAACAGAAAAATGAATGTCTTAGTCATGGTAAATTATGGTTGTAGGGATTCCCATCAATACATCAACAGCTAGAAAAAAAAAAGGTCAGAAACCCCCATTATAGCCACACAGACGGAAACTCATTGGTC
Source organism: Homo sapiens (assembly GCF_000001405.40). NCBI lineage: Eukaryota > Metazoa > Chordata > Mammalia > Primates > Hominidae > Homo > Homo sapiens. The sequence continues at coordinate 81,733,489 of NC_000005.10, forward strand.
TTAACACTGAAATAGTCTCACTAGTAAACTATATATTTCAAAAAACGTGAATTTATTATAATCTATCCAGATTGGATTACTTAAAATCAAACAGCCCCAGGAATTGTTGTCTTTAATCCTCCAACTTTGTTGACAAATCGTATCTGTTACAAAATCTAAAAAATTATTAATCCTATATTTTATTGATTCCCTTTTCCTTTCTATATAACTCACCTTGATCTGACCAAATGCCATAGTTAGACAGTACTGTAGTTCTTTCTCAGTACAGTGGCTGTAGCAATATAACTTAGGAAATTGAAAGCTTCCCATAAGCCTCAGCTACAGTCCCTAGTTTTGTCTGAATAGGGCTCTGAATACTAAATAGAACTTATTTCAAATAGTTAAATGTCCATGCATTTAAAGATACAAAACTATTCTCTTCTCTGTCAAAGGTAAGGAAGTCCAAAAATTTTCAAAGTATCATCAGCCTTGCAATTATATGAAAAAAATCAAAGGTAACTACAGAAACAATCAGAAATATGCAAGTTGTACCACAAATAACTACTTATTTAAAGTAAATGGACAAAAGGATGACATTTTCTGATCAGAATCAAGAGTCAAGACCCTTTGTTTTATTTGGGTTAAAGCTACTTAAGTGAATTGGTAGATATGGAAAAGTGACATTAACCTATACTTGTTTCTTTGCCTTTTATAATTCCTTAAATACACAGATAAAAACTCCATTGCTTAATTTGTTGTATTACTTACATACTAACAAAAAAACCTTCCATACTAAGAAAAAAATGTGATAAGTAAAATGAATAACATTAACAAAGTATCTCTAAGCAATCTTTAATATCTTAAAGGGCTGGCAAAACTATTTTTCACTTTGGTTTTAGTTTGCAGTTTGACACAATTTCTCAGGTATATTCTAAATGACACCAGGCCACTACAACACATACACAATTCTTAAACATTTCAAAGCTCCTAGACTTGTCAGAAGACAAGCAAAACAGACAAGAAGTATATATCCATAACATAAACAAATCCCAGTACACACCATATAGATAATCAACCAGCAAAGGAAAATGGAAGCCAGTGCAATCATTGTCTCTCCTACCAATAACTAGCTAACTTACAATTGATATCAAAATCATTACCTTTATTGAAGATTTTTCAAATAATGTCACTTTATTCCAGTTCCCGAAAGAAAAATCAAGTTGGCCGGGCGCGGTGGCTCACGCCTGTAATGCCATCACTTTGGGAGGCCGAGGCGGGCAGATCATGAGGTCAGGAGATCAAGACCATCCTGGCTAACACGGTGAAACTCTGTCTCTACTAAAAACACAAAAAACTAGCCGGGCGTGGAGGTGGGCACCTGTAGTCCCAGCTACTCAGGAGGCTGAGGCAGGATAATGGTGTGAACCCGGGAGGAGGAGCTTGCAGTGAGCCGAGATCGTGCCACTGCACTCCAGCCTGGGAGACAGAGCAAGACTCCATCTCAAAAAAAAAAAAAAAAAAAAAAGAGAAAAGAAAAATCAAGTTGACCTGCATATGCTCCTCACTGCCGATTTTAAATGAATATTAAGCATGCTAAATTAATGATCAAAGCACTTAAGAATTTTGCTTAGAACAGCAATGGCTGCAAACTTTAGTTAATTCCTCTCATGCTGGATGTTGCAAATTATATTAAATATATAGAGATAAACCTAATTTATTGTATCTTTGATAACTACAACAAAAAATAAATAGCCCTAAATACTATCAGTTGCATTTCAAAGCTCTGATAAGACAATCATGAGATTTACGTAGAAATACACTATTAGTAATATATAACATAGGACTTTTTTATTACTTAAATTTTAAATTTAAATACAGTCATCCTTCCACATCCATGGGGGATTTGTTCCAGGGTCACCCCCCACCCACTGCAGATACCAAAATCAATGGATGCTCAAGTCCCTTACATAAAATGGTGTAGCATTTGCATATAACCTATGTACATCCTTCCCTATACTTTAAATCATCTCTAGATTACTTACAACACCTAATATAAATGCTATGTAAACAGTTCTTATACTGTATTGTTTAGAGATTAATGACAAGAAGAAAAATCTACACTGATCAGTGAATATGCAACCATCCATTTTTGATTTTCGAATATTTTTAATCCACTATTGGTTGAATCCTCGGATGTAGAACCCACAGAGAGGACTGACTGTATATTTTTAAATAATAAGATAATTTTAATAAAGAATTCATGCTTTACAAATGATAACTCACAACATTTTATAAACTTCCCTATTGACAGAGCAAAATATAAATTTTACCATAAAATATTAGATAAAATAGAACATCGATAACCATACTTTATCATTTCTATATGTGCATTTGCTCTCCTCTGAGATTAAGCTTATCCTCTTAAAAATGACAAAACGTATTTATCAATCCTTCTGTGTTTTATTACACCTGGGTAAAATGAAACGAGTATTTCAGATTGTTTCCTGTTCTCAAGTTGGTAGAAAACAAACTCGGATCAAGTCGCTGCCCAATCTTAAGAGTGGGCCCCACTGGCCTCAGGATGAATTCATAATTCTTAGGCTGGCTTTCAAGAATTAGTCATTGCTTATTTCTGTAGCCTCTACCACTTTTCCAAAAACATCCTACTACCCTGAAACACACACACACACACACACACACACACACACACACACACACACACTCTACGGCACTACTGAATTTTTTGCTTCTAGAAACTATCACAGCCTCACTGGACTTCTTCCAAGCACAAAATTGGCGCTATGCCAAAAGCCCTGTTTGCTTTTCTGGCAGGGTTTACCTTGCCCACTGCCTTATACAGTGCCTGGCACAGAGCAGGATGCTGAAAAAAGTAGTTAATGAATAAATGAATAATAAGTGAATTTAAACTTTTTTTTAATCTTGTTTTTGAGGGAGGTATTTATTGGAACTTGGAAATTGATATATGCTCACAAATGTTATCTTTTGCTGCCTTTTCTCCTCGAATTTAAAAGGGTGCTTTTTGGTCAAGTGGCTTTGATGTTTTTCTCATTAAATATCAAAATTTGTATATGCATGTATGGATATTAAAAAGTCTAAAAGATTATATGGTTATTTTTATTTTCTTCATTTTTGCTTATCTGTATCTCTAAATTTTTCTTCTTGGAATATTTATTACTCAAATAATAAAAAGTATTTTAAAGAGTACTAGTAAGCTAATCAAATTAACTCAATTTGTGCTCTGTAAATAGGGCCTTTACTCAGGTATTCTCATTTGTCCCTTCTACCAATTTAAAAAGTAGAAAGGAAATTTAGAAATACAATTCTAAAGAAAAGTCAGCTAACCAAGGGAGAGTTAAAAAATAATTTCCCATCAAACTTTTGCTTTACAGGCTAATAGCCTGATTGGTAGCCAGAGTGGGCAGTTATTAATTTAGTTTTCTCCATGGTACCACAGTTATTTTCTAGTTATCACTTCAAAATGATCCCTTTAATTCTAATCTCCTACAATTCAGAAAGTTTTTAAAAATCAGTTGACAAAAGGTAGCAAGTGTAATCCATCCCAAAATCACTTTTTAAAAATTCATACACTCAGTCACTTTCAACACCCACCTAACTAAAGCTAAAAACCACTTTACCTACTGGCTTTCCTTTCCATGTCCCCTGTAGCATACCATTATTGTCATCCTTTAATGATAATAATAATAAAAGTGGTTTAAAACACTTTGGAGTTCACAAAACCTCTTTACAACACAATAAAACCCAAAATTATTCCAACTATTGCCCCTCCTTGCAAAATTCTCCAAGTTAAAAAAAAAAAAAAAAAAAAGTATGTCCCCTTCCAGTTAAGTCTTCTCTCTATGCTTCCTTTCTCCAGTGAAGGCTGTCCACATTTGACATCTCCACCACCTCATCTTCTATCAATTTCCCAAAACACTGCATCTAACTTGAGTTCACTCCACTGAAACTGTCCTCCCTAAGTCACAGATGGTTTCTTAAAAACTGAGCCCTGTTTGGCCAGGCGCGGTGGCTCACACCTGTAATCCCAGCACTTTGGGAGGCCAAGGCAGGCGGATCACGAGGTCAGGAGACTGAGACCATACTGGCTAACACGGTGAAACCCCGTCTCTACTAAAAATACAAAAAAAAAAAATTAGCCGGGTGTGGTGGCGGGCGCCTGTAGTCCCAGCTACTCGAGAGGCTGAGGCAGGAGAATGGCATGAACCCGGGAGACAGACCTTGCAGTGAGCCGAGATTGCTCCACTGCACTCCAGCCTGGGCAACAGAGTGAGACTCCATCTCAAAAAAAAAAAAAAAACAAAAAACTCAGCCCTGTTTAACCTTCTTGTTCATTCTACAAATCTGGCATGGTAACTCACCCTTCCATTCTCAAAACTCCCTTTCCTTGATTTCTGCTAATGTCAGTCCTTTATGCGTTTCCCTCATATGTCTCCGTTCTTTTCAATCTCAATTTCAAACTCTCATTCCACCTATACCTTAAATATTCCCCGAACTTCCATCTCTGATTTCCTCACACTTTCTCCCTGCACATTCCCAAGAAGAATGGCTTTATCCCTATTTCGTGCCTTCAAATGATACAAGATGCAAAACCAAATGGGCCATACATTAGTAGCAAAAACAAGCAAAACTGATCTATGCTGTTAAAAATCAAGCAAGATGGGTAGCACATATGAAGCTTCCAGAGTGCTGGTAATGTTCTTTTTCTTGATGTGGGTACTTGGTTACACTGGTGTGTTCAGTTTGCGAAAACTCATCAAATTTACACATTTAGGATATGTGCACTTTTCTGTATGAATGTCAGATTTCAATAACGCTATTTTTTTAAAGAGAGAAATAATAAACTAAACCTTGAGTTCAGATTTCAGCTCTAACATGTGTACTTCAGCTAAATTACTTATCCTATTAAAGCCTTAGTTTCCTCACACTTATCCTTTCTCATTTCTGTATCTCCAGCCTAGACTTCTTCCAGGAACTCAAAAGCTACATATCCAAGTTCCTCCCAAACTTCTCCATCGCTAGGTCTTAATGGCATCTCAAACTAAACTCATCATCTTCCTCCTTACACCTTTAAAATTACCTGTTCCTCCTCCTGTATCCCAAAGTCTGTGACTAAAACTTCTACCAACAATTGCAGCCATCTTTAAAAATCCTAATTTTCACACTTAGGCCACCAAGTCTGATCTATTCTACATCCTGAAATGACCACTGCATTGGTGTAGAAAAATGATGACGCTATAAGCATTTGTATTGTTATAGCAATCGCTTCCTAATGGATCTACCTCCCCCTTTACTCCATGCTCCATATGATTTCCAAAACGATTCTTCTAAAATGCACCTCAGATGGTGTAACTTTTCTGCTTAAAATTGCTTATCTCAGGGCGGGCACAGTGGCCCACGTCTGTAATCCCAGCACTTTGGGTGGCTGAGGTGGGTGGATCACTCGAGGTCAGGAGTTCGAGACCAGCCTGGCCAACATAGTGAAATCCCATCTCTACTAAAAATACAAAAATTAGCCGGGCATGGTGGTGCACGCCTGTAGTCCCAGCTACTTGGGAGGCTGAAGCAGGACAATCGCTTGAACCTGGGAGGTGGAGGTTTCGGTGAGCCGAGATCATACCATTGCACTCCAGCCTGGTGACAGAGTGAGACTCCATCTCCAAAAAAAAAAAAAAAAAAAAAAAAAAAAAAATTGTTTATCTCCTAGGTCAAGTTGTCATTTAAGGCTGTTCTTGAAATAGTTCGTATTTAATCTGCCAGATTTATCCCTACCAACTTTACTGCAGTTCACCAACTATATCATACCTTTTAATGCCTCCATGTTGCTGTACATGATTCTCTCTCTGGCTAAAATACTCTTTACTTGCCCCATCTTCCACTTTGACTAATGCTAGCCTTTCAATAAACATCCTCTTAGAAATATTTCCTGACACTCTCACAGCCCTAGGCTAGATTCAATGCTTTTTTTCAGGAATCCCACAGAACCTTCTGCATACCCATTATAGTGCTTGCTACCCAGTGTGGTAGTGGCTGATAGTGAGGCCCCTCTGAATGGGGAGTTCCTGATGGGCAGAGATTGCCAGGTTATTAAGATCTGACTCAGGAAGGCTCAACAGAGGCTGACATATAACAGACGGTTAACATTTTTTTAATGAATAACGGAGTGGGGAGATAGAATAAATATGATTCCCATCTCATAAAATATATATATACATTTACACTATAAAATAGTTAACAAGTTTTAAAAACATTTTAAATGCTATTTTGGCAAAATCCAGCTTTTTAAGAAGCCCTACTTTCTTACGCTATTCTATATACAATTATTATTCTGTACAATTCTATATGATTCCATACAATTAACCCTTTAAGAGAGCCATTCTGCTATTCTGCTGGGGACCTAATACAAACACAAAAGCATTTTGTCAACTAGCAGCATTTTTGCCAGTACTTGCTATGTTATCTTGTCAATGATCACTCTTGTCGATTATACTCCTATCTTACAGAAAAGCATCAACAACCTTTAATATTTCAGTAAAAACTTGCTTATACTCTAATCTTTCTGGCCCTGAATTCGTAAGTCCAACTCACTTATATAATTGACTCAGTAAAATTTGAATTCAAAATTACTAAGTCATTCCCAAGATGAACTCCTACCTGAAAACTACTCTCAAGATATACACACATACACATGTGTGTATATGTATGTGTAATATATCTGATAGCAAGAAAGCTCACTCAAGTTTTTCCATTACAATATTTCTAAGTGAAGGAATACAGTATCAGTCACTAAGTTTAATCCAGGGTAAAAAAAAAAAAAAGAATGTACCAAAACACCTTAATAGCTTCCCAGGATAGCTAGCGCTTAAATATACTGATAATGTATAATCATCAAATAATTTCAATCCAATTATAAATGACAAATAGCACATAATGATGTGAAAAAAATAAAACAAAGAAATTATTTCTATTTTTTCTAATAGCCAGTATTACAGAAATGACTAGGTAATAGAACCAATATGATTGTACTACTGCTCCTGTATCACACGGAGCTTCTCAGGTGCCCTTGTCCAAAAAAAGCCCAATAGGCCATACGCTGCTTGGAAGAGACAACAAAAGAGACTCATAATTACAGGATCCTTTTTTCCTAAATATCACATATTCCTGACTCCAAAGTTTAAAGTAACTTATGCCGGATTACTCTGCCTCTGGTTACAGAATGAGAAACAGCTCTATCTGAAATTATAACCTGAGTTCTTAATTGGCATCTTCCTCTCTGGTGAGCACCTACATCCATGTTGTTAAATCTCAGATACCAGCTAAAGAATTTGTAGCTATCTGTGGGGCACTTTTGGTACCTATAATACTATCCACCTTTTTAGCAGCTATAAAATGCTTCTACTCTTCCCTTAACTTCTTAACCTCTATTGCCTCCCACCCCAACTAAAAATGATGAATATGCACATTCCCCTCCCATCCTCATGCCACCTCCCACAACTTCCATTACAATTTTTCCGCCATGTTAAGCGATGAAACACACTGAGTCAAAATAGTTAAAATGGGCAGTGCAGTCAGAAACCTGAGTTTGAATCCAGACTATACAATTTACTCTGTGGCCCTGGACAAAATATAAAACCTCTGAGACTCAGTTTCCCCATATGTAAAATGGGGATTATATCTACTTTACGAAGTTGCTATAGGGATTAAGCTATCAAAAGTAGCCAGCCACAGAAAGACAAATACTATATGATCCCACTTATATGAGATACCTCGAATAGTCAAATTCTTGGAGACAGAAAATAGAATGGTAGTTGTCAAGGGCACATAGAAGGCGGGAGTGGGGAGTGATTGTTTAATGAGTACAGAGTTTCAGTCTGGAAACATGAAAAAGTTCTAGAGATGGAGAACGGTGATGGCTATACCATAATGTGAACGTACTTAATGCCACTGAACTGTACAACTAAAAGTGGTTAAAATGGTAAATTTTAGGTTATATATATATTACCACATTAAAAAAGAAAAAGAATATTCTCTCAATAATTCATACTGAAAGACTTTTCCTCCCTTGTTAGAGAGAGGTATAAAAGCGAAAAAACCTTACCTTTCCCTCCCCCTAACCCAGCACTCCAAATTGAAGCTAAATGGCAAAGGAATAGAGAAGAGTTCACTGATAAAAATTAGCCTGTCTTCACAAATTAAAAGCCCAAAACTATCCTAAGTCCCGTACCTATCCACTTATGTTACAAAAGCATAAGGATTTCAAACAAAAATCAGCTTTCACTCATGATGTGGCACTTTTAGAGTTAAGTAATTTTACAGATTGTGTTTAACACACTGTAACAATATTTTTTGTTTAATGAAAGTACTGACATAAACTTTTAACTATCATCTAATCTATGATTCTCTGTTGAATCAAATCCACACTTAAACCTTAAATATATATGAATCTCTCATTATAAAAGAGGCAGCTGTAGCATAATGAAAGGAACACTGACCTTGGAACGAAAAAACTCTAAATATGGCTCAGGTCTGCCACATATTATCTGTATTACCCTAGCTGCATAAGTCAATTTCCACTTATAAATATTGCTAGTCAATGGAGATACCACCCAGCTCATACGATTATAATGTGACTTAAGTAAAACAAAATACTATACATTAAAATATTTTGAAAACTATAAAGTACAATTTCATTTATATTAAATTTAACACAAAGAAAATGAAAAAATTCTGTCAAAAATTCACATTAAAAATATACACACATCATAATATAATCTTCCATAGTCCTGAAATTCAAAGAAAGAATACTAAATGCCCATATTATAGAAAAGTATTTTTTAGAAATTACATTAATTCTTATACCAAATACTAGGAGTATTGGGGAGAAAATCAGCTAGATACGGTGATAGACTATTGTGACATATTTCCAATTCATTACATCCTTAACTCATTTATTCCACAAATACATAATCACAAACCTTGCAACCACTGTGCTAAGCAGTGGGAATATGACGGTAAGGAAGACACCATGGTCCTTGCTCTTATGGAGCTTCCAATCTAACTGGAAGATGAGGCATTAAACATCACACAAATGGCCGGGCTCAGTGGCTCATGCCTGTAATCCTAGCACTTTGGGAGGCTGAGGCAGGTGGATCATCTGAGGTCAGGAGTTCGCGCCCAGCCTGGCCAACATGGTGAAACTCCCTCTCTGCTAAAAATACAAAAATTAGCCAAGTGTGGTGGTGCATGCCTGTAATCCCAGCTACTAGGGAGGCTGAGGCAGGAGAATCGCTTGAACCTGGGGGGTGTGTGGAAGTTGCAGAGAGCCGAGATTGCGCCACTTCACTCCAGCCTGGGCAAAAGAGCAAAACTCCATCTCAAAAAAATAATAATACAAATAATTTGTTATTTATAATAAATATGAAAAAGAAAAAAGTCTGCTATGAGAGTATCCAATCCAATCTAGAAGGTTTAGGAGAAATAATTACGCCAATTGTACCAACCTCTGTTAACCCAGTATACTGTAAGTGTTCAACAAATCTTAGTTATTTCTATAATCATCATTATAAAAGCCCCACTGTCCTTCAGAACAAGTTTATCCTTAGGGTTTGAAAGATAAAAGATATCAATCCTATTATCTAGGAAGATCAGATAAACTGAACCCAACACCCAATTCCTCCATTTTAAAAACAAAACCAGGCAAGTATGGCTTCTTCATCCCAATTTTCACTCATATTTAACATATCCTTGAGCAATTATGTTGATGCTAAGGTTTCCTCAATAGTAGCTTAGACATGCCTGAAATACTGTAACCTGGTCTTTCTATGGCTGATTCTTTCAGTTCTCCGTTGAAATGTCCTCTCCTCCAAGAACCTTCCCGACTACCCAATCTAGCATAGCCTCCCAGTCATTCTCTACACTACATCACACTATTTTATTATTTTTATAGTATATATGACTATTTGAAGTTGCCTAGTACATTTATTTGCTTATTATTATATATTTCTCCTTCAACCTTCAAAGTCTCATGAAAGCAGGGACTCATTTTATTCTCCCTATATCCTCAAGATACATCTTCCTTGCTAAAGATCCCAAGTTTTGTTTAGGTAGTTCACGTGAGCCAATTATGGTAATCCCATTATATCTAGCATAATTTGTTTACAGGAAGAAATTCTGTAGTTCTCTCTAATAAGGGATAAGAAGATGTCTCCTAAGCAACTTCAATAAAAAGTTTTCCTCCCTGATTGGTGAGACACAAAGAAAGAAAAACCCTGTCCTTCCTCCTGCCTTTACACTTGAGTGTGTAAGGGAGTGATGCTGGGAACCCGAGGCAGCCATGCTACATTCATGAGAGGAAGACCATGAGGATGGCAAAGAAGCCGATCCTGAACCCTGATGTTCTTGACTCAATGAATGAACTCTTACACTACCACTTCTAGACATCCTGTTATGTGAGATTTACTTTTAAACCTGATCAATTAAGCTGTTTTCTGTCTCCTGTTTTGATACCTGAAGCCAAAAGCCTAATAAACTCAAGCCTGTTTCTTCCATAACATTAAGAGAAAACAGTACCTACAGCCTACTGGATTTGAGGGGATTAAATGAGATAATGCAGACAAGTGCCAAACAAACAAGATACTCAAATGATAGCACTGCTGTTAATGTTAAGCAATAATTTTCTATGACAAAACACAAACTCTTTATATACTATTTAGGATTTTGTTATTTTACAAAAAATATTCACTTTAATCCTATTTAAAATGAGATCATTTTTAAAAGAATAATTTATTTACTTAGATTTCTTCCATTAATAAAGTAGCTCTTGGTTTTTTCTCATCTAAAATAGACAAATAAAAGGAGAATCAGACAAATATCAGATCACTAAAATAAATCATATTAATTTCAGGTAAGAGCCTTTTTCTGTCATCAATTCCTCACCCAACTTACATGGACAGAGCTACATATATTTTCATCTATTATTCTTGCCTTTACAAATATTTCATCAGTATTTTAATATGCTATAGATTTAAAGCTAATTAAAAATTAAAGCTATATTCGTAATTACAACCATACTCTTTAACACCTACAATTACAAAAATATTTAAAACTAGAAAAAAAAAAACAAAGGGCTATATTTTAGCCTCTACAATTTTTTTTCTGTGCTGAACTACTTGTTTGACATTATAGCCATGAAGCAAAATTAACAGAGAAGATCAAAAATAGGAGATTGCCAGGTCATTCGTTTACACTCACTCTAGCTGAACTGTGATTTAAAATGTTACAATGGCTCATTATTGTCTGAAAGCTGTTTAGGGTCATACATGAAATGTAATTAACATTCTTAAAGGAAAAAGATGAGAGTAGTTTTGTCATTTCTAAAGAAATGACACCAACTGAAGTTTGTCTTTAAAAAAAAGAACAAAAAAATAAATATTAATTATGCCACTGCATTGAGACTGCCCAGGCTGATTTGAGTCCAGATGAATTTTTGGTCCTATAATTATAAGAAAAACATTAACAGTTCCATTTTTCAAAAATTCTTAACTATTAACTTACATGACAAAAATTACCATTTACCAATTATGACCAATCAGAAATGTTAAAGTTATCTGGAAAAACTCTATTCTTCCCCAGGCAGTCCATATTTCCACTTGTTTTTTAATGTCCTCACACAAAGAATAAAATAGGTTGCAGAAGAAGAGCCTCTGCTATTTCTCTAACTACTGAAAACAGGCAAGACATTAATCTTGGTGGACCACCCTTCAGCTCACCTTTTGTAGTATGTATAGGGTTTTAATCTAATAGTCAAGTAACTCTCACAGTCCAAGTTATGCTAGGTTATATACATACGTTAACAAAACCTTGCATGAATACATGCTACATTTGTAAAATACACAAAGTTTGATCAAATGTTTAAAATCGGGAATATTATTTATATTCCAAACGCTTCAGATATTAACAAATGAATCTTATTCTATTGCTCCAATGCTATTTTAAGTCCACCCTTTCAGAAACAGTAAGTTCTTAATAAAATTAATATTTTAGCATACGCTTACAGAGGCTCACATGTCACTAGCATGCAAATATATAATCTGTAATTCCCACACCAATGGCAAAGCAATAACATACACACAATAATAGAGAATAACCTCATGTGTTCCAAAATAATTTTGAAATCCTATTTTTAAATTATATATTCCTAGTAGTTCCATGTCTTTCAAACTCAGTACTTTTGTCCTATGTCCCAGGATTAATGCAATGGTTGTGATTTCTATGGAAGAAAGAAGATTCTAAATTTGAATTGTTTTTTCCCCCAAATTTTACTTCTAACTCTCAACTACTGAGGTGAAGTATTAATAAACATTAATAAACTGCAACCTGGGTATTCCAGCCCCTGCCCCACAGAGTATGCTCTAATCTTAAAACAAAATAATTCTAGAAGTGATTAAAGATGAAAGGCATATTTGGTCTATTACTGCAGAACAACTAAAATGTAGTGATTTTGTCTGCATCCTAAATTGGTTTTATGTGGCAAACTGGCTTTGAAAGCGTGAAACTGAAAACTTTCAACTTTTTTCTCTCACAGCTCTGAAAAAAAATTACAATATTACTACTACTTCTAAGAGTCACAATTAATCTCTGGATAAACAATACCAAAACTTAACTCTGAACATCTTACACAGATTCTTTCTTTAGATATGTTCCTTAAAAATAGGGGTTTTTTTGATACTTCTGAAATAACAGAAAAAGATCAATCAAAAGCTAACATGACATTTCGGATACAAGTTAAACAACTTGTATTTTGGGGGAACATCCTGGAGACTGAAAGGGGGAGGGGCAATTTAATATTTTACACAAAATTTCACTTCCATAAGATACTCCTTCATTAGTTTTGGAAATCCTGAATTGTGCGAATTGCTGTCAAGTAAGTTTCTGAAGAGATCTCTATTACTTTTCTTGCCTTATTCCTTCAGAAAGAAAGAAAGGTTTGTCATTTTTCTTTGCAGGGGGTACCTTAATGATGGGGGAATGCTTTAATTACTTTAATGGTAGAAGGGGAGAACAAGGTGATGCTGGCAGATATTAATCCCTTTTATATGAAGTGGCATTTAAATGTTCATTATACTGTAACTACTTTGAAATAAGCATATGGTATTTGCTTCTTGGTATATTCAACTAACATTGAAAATTTAAAAGCCAAAGTTACTTTTCAGAGCTCAAGATTAGACAGTTTGATTCTTGTAGTTTCTGGCTAGTTTACTAAATAAAAGTCGGTATATATTATGTGTATCTTTTATGTTCAACTTTGCTTTCTAGCAGATTCATCTTTCTGTGCTTTACATAAAAGATCAAATTAGTTTAATAAAAAATTAATATCACTACTCATCTATTTGCAGGTGCCAGTTACTCTTTCTGCGGTAGTGTGGCATACTGTGTGGCTTTAAGTTCAGCAACATTTCATATAGGAATTGTTCACAACTATTATGTTTAACTTTAAAACAAGCAATCAAACAAAATTCCTGGGGGGGGGGGGAATCTGAAGAAACAAGTTTTCGTCATTATGTTAGGCTTCCAACTTTCCTAAAATTTCTGTGCCTTCTCCCACACCATACACAGATCTGCAAAGCATCAGGGTGCACCAGTGGTTAAGACTGCATATTTGATCAAATCTTTAAAGTCTGTCACATCTGATTATGTAATGCTGTTCCCTAAATCTGTAGCATCCTACCCTAGTTCAGGAAGACAATCTGGTACACTGAAAAATGTATCTTTCAGCTTCAATCACAGGTTCTAAAGTTAGAGAAATCTGTGTTAGAAACCCAGCTTTCCTGTTTTCTAGCATTGTATCCCTCGGTGAGTTCTTTAACCATTCAGGGTCTTAGTTTTCATATTTCTTTAATGGAGGAAAAAAAAAGCAACTGTCTTGTAGATTTGTTGGGAGAATTAAGAAAAAAATATACATAAAACACTGAACATAGTGACTGGCACACAGGATGGCAAATAAATAATAGTTATTTTTGTTGTATTGTTGTTTAGGGGTATTTCTGAAATACAACTAAGCTAGAGAATGTGAAACTCAAACTTACAAGTCCTTATTTTGGAGGTCACTGAAAAAAAATTTTTTTACATTGAAAAAATTCCTTTGAGTCTAACATCTTCAATAACAATAATTTATTGATGCTTTTGGTATTAGAAGGCACCTTAATGTTCAAGATACCTCAGAGAAGAAATTAGATTATCTCCTACCCTCAACAAACTTATATTTTAGGGAAAGTTAAACATTAAACAGCCAATCACGGTTATTTAATCACAATTGCGATTAGTGTTATAAAGAAAGCCTGCTAAAGGAAGAAATGACCTAACAAGATCAGAATTAAAATTTCTAAATCCCACCTCCCTCCAAGGGTTTTCAATCACTCCCTCTATAATTAAGACTTGATCTGCTTTTCTTAAAATGACAGAGTAAGTAACTAATCTTACCCTGATCATTTTTATCAGAACTGTATACTGAAATTACAGGAATTGTGTAAAACCAATAATTCACTTCAAATATTTCATATAGTGACTTCCTAATGAAAGACAAAACAAAGATCTAATACAGGTAAGCACTTGTCAACTATTCACCATGAACTCATGTTAGAAAACACATTTCTTGATTATAAAACCAATGTGCTTATTTCCTAAGCATGCTATTATTTATAATAATGACTCCTTTTGCAGAATGTTTTTGTTAAAATGAGTATTTGTTACAGAAACAAATTATTTCTGTGATTTTTAAGATAAGAACAGTTCTAATTTGCTTACTAAAGGAGAATTCTTCACCTTTTATAATCTGTTACCTTAAAAATTAAGAACAAAAATCTGGTGACATCCATTTTAATGATGACTTCAAGATTCCTACCTTCAGATGTTAGTACATTGTTGCAGAATAGTGCCATTAAAGTCCCAAGTAAACATAAAGAGAAAAACCGAGAGATTAGATCAACTCTCCCACCAAGATGAAATTAAGTTTATTCTATAAGACAGAACCTACGTCGATGTTTGTCTTAGATTCAAACAACATTAACCTAGAAATTAATGCAACGACAATTAACCCAGAACAGTCATTGTCAATTCTCCAAAAGCGGCCTCTTCACCTATATTTAAGTTCATAAGGCAAACCAGTCAAGAATTCCTGCTGCCAATTGAAATGAATGGAAGAAATATATTTAAATCAAATAGCACCATCTAGCAGAACCCTGATCTGCTCACGAGAGTAGATATTACTTGGTGTTCAGTTTGGTAGATTTGACAGCAAAGTGGCAATTATTTGTTTTCCTGGTGGGAAATCACAGAATTAGAGCTAGAAAGGACCACAGTTATGCAAGTTCCAACATCCTTGTTATTATCTGAGAAACTAAAAAAAAAAATCAAGCAGTCCTCAGGATACTGAGTGGGATTCAACTAAAGTTCACCCCTTCCTGGAAGTTCACCTAAAATCTAAAATTACTTTGATTCTCAAATTCAGTCACCCCCAAAATAAGATCATGCCTCAATACATTTCAATCACTCTGACTAATGTGAAATTCAAATATTCTGTGATCATTAAAACATCCTCCTTCAGATGTTTTTATCAGGCACATTATAACAAAATGATTAATGCACACAAATGAGACTGCATTTCAAAACTTCAATTCTAGTAACTGCCGTTTCTTAACCAGGCTATAACGCTATGTCTTTTATATACTACTTGTCACAGCAACAAGATCCTGAATGCAGCTCAGAAAATATCTCTTGCAAAAAAACAAAAAAGCCTCTCTAATTTTTGTTTTGTTTTGTTTTGCTTTGCTACATCAAGGCCTGATACCTCTAAATCCTATGGGAATTGAGTGTGTTGCTGCCAACACAAAGATTAGGAAATGTTCCCATCCCTAGGGCACACAAAACTTTCAGGGGGAGACTAACTGCCTAAACCAAGGAGGGAAACTCAGTCGCCTGCGCATTCGGTTTTTATTTACGCAGCTATTTCTGTGCGCAAGGTAACCAAAGTACCTTTGAGAGATGCTCTCAGACTTTTTCTCTGGTCTGAACCCCCTCAGAAAGACAGGGTGCGTTCAACGACAAGGATAACTCTGACCCTCAGAGTTTAAGTGGTTACTGGGAATCACTGATCTGTTGCACAGTTTAAAAAAAAAAGGGGGGGGTTCTTCCTCAGTGATCACAGTCACTATTCGTTCTCATTTTTAGTAACAACCAAATCACCGTTACAAGTACACAAGAATAGCAGCAAACCGCTTTGCTTTGCAGTGTGCCGTGACAGTGGCATCCCGGGCCGGGAGGGGCTCTGTTCTCGCCAGCCGCCTCTTGGGCTCCCACCGAAGTTAACACCTGTATCTCCCCACAACTGTAACCAAGCGGCTCCTTCCCACCTGAACGCTTCTCCCCTCCCACAAACCCCTTTTCGGACCACTGGCCCTCCCCGCCACAGCTGCCCTCCTCGGGCGCCCCCGGCGGCTCCCACAACTCCCCTCCGCGCGCCCCCGACCACCGCCCCGCCGGGCCCGCCCCTCCCGCCGCTCGGGGGCTGCCAGCCTCACAAAAAGTTCGCCAGCCGCCGCCGCGGAGTTGGGTCCGCTGCGAGAGGCAGAAACGCCAGCCTCCTCCAGCGGATCCCGCTCCTCGCCAACACACTTTAGCTCCCCGGGAACTCGGTCCCTCTCCGACTCCCAAACTTCGGCGGCGTCTCCGGCGCCCACCCGCCCCCGCCCCCGCCCCAGCCCCAGCCCCAGCCCCGCGATGCGCGGGGGACTGCGGGCGCCGCGTCCGTAGCTGGCCCAGGAAAGCCCGGACGCCCAACCCGCACACGCCCTCCGCGCCCCGCGCGCGTCTCCGCGCCCCGCGGGGCCCCGCTCGGCCGCTCCACGCCCGGCTTCCGCCCGCCGCGCGCCCGGCACCGCCGCCCTCGCCTCGCCTCGCCCCGCGCTCGCGGCCCTAAGCCCCAGCGCCCAGGCCCCCGCCGCCGCGCTCCCCGCGCTGCCCGCCCCGACCCCGGCCCCGACCCCGGCCGGCCCGCCAAACACCCACATTCCCACTGCGCGCCTTCCTCCACGCAGCTGCCCCTCCCGCCACCCCCGGCGGCTCCCCAGGTCCCCGGAGCCCCGGACCCCAGCTCTAAAGTTACTTTGGAAGGTGAACCCGCGGGTTATTTCCCTCAATCACCCAAACAAGTTTCCATCCTCGCCACCAGCACCACCGCCGCCCCTCAACACACCCGGTCCCTCCCGCCGACAGCCCCCTGCGGCCGCCCGCCCAGCGCCCGCACCTCCCGGGAAAGCGCAGCTCCCCGCACCACACGCCCCCATCGCGGCACCCCTCCCCCTGCCAGCCCACCCCCGGCGCTCCCCGGGCGGAGAGTGTCTGTGTCTCCCAGAGTGTGCGAGTGCGTGCGTGAGTGTGCGCGCGTGTGAAGGCGGAGGTGGGTGAGAAGCGGAGACACTTACTTCTCCCGGGCCTGGCTGTCGGACGGGACGGCGCTGCTGTTACTCTTGCCTTTGCCGTACATGCTTGTGCCGAGAGCAGCTCCCACTGTCACGCACCTGTCAACCCATCACAGCCTCCCCGGGAACAGCCCCGTCCCCATGGCGACCCACGCAGCCACCCCCACTATTGGCCGCCCCACGCCAAAGCTCCGCCCCCTTCGCCCAGGCAACGCGCGAGACTGACAGGCCTCCCCCTCCCTCTGGCCTTCCGAAGCGCGCGGTGGCGGCTAAGCCTCAGCGGCAGTCTCCTCCCTCCTTCCCTCCCTCCCCGACTCCCTCCCTCCCGCCTTCCCTCTCCGCTCTCCTCCCTCCACCCGCTCTCCTTCCCCCTCCCCCCTCCGAACCCGGGCGCAAGGGGGGAATTAGAAACTGCTCTAGAAGGATTTTAAACAACTGGCTGTTCTCTCCGCCGCCACCCCTCCCCCCGCGCCGCCCGCGCTCAGCTCCTCACTGGAGAGAAGGCGCCGGGAGGAGGAGAAACTGCGGCCTGGAGTCTCCGGCCGGAGCCGGCGGAGCTGGAGCCGTGGCGGCCCCAGACTTCGGGGCGCCCGCCGAGTCCACGACAGAGCCACGGCCTCAGCCGCCCTGGGGCCCCCACCAGCCCCTCTCCCGCTCCTCTCCTATGCGTGACCCCGCGCCGGTACCCACGATTGATTTTTGCGGTCCTCAGCCCTACTCCCTGGGGTGTCGCCCCCGCCCTGTTCCCAGAGGGCCGGCTGGCGAGGGACACCCGCGCGGTTCCCTCGACCTTCTGGCTGAGCGACCGACAGCGACTCGCCTTCTCTCCTGGGGAAAGGCTGCACCTCCGGCCCTCGGCGCCGCTGCGGTGGCGGCGCCCGGGGCCGCGCCCTGCGCCCCAGGGGAGCACCCGGCCTGGGGTCGGCCTCCTCTGTAAGAGGTGAGCGGACCTCCCGAGGAGGCCCGGTGACTCCTGCGGCCGCAGCGGCCCCTGCCCCAACCCCTTCTTGCACGGAGCCCCGCGGCGCCCTGGACACCCCGCCAGATCTGCCGCAGAAGAGGGCCCCAGGCTTCCCCACC
The DNA here is from genome assembly GCF_000001405.40 of Homo sapiens. NCBI lineage: Eukaryota > Metazoa > Chordata > Mammalia > Primates > Hominidae > Homo > Homo sapiens. The sequence goes on from NC_000005.10 coordinate 81,752,058, forward strand.
CGGCCTGGTTTAACAGTTTGGGTCAGTGATGCCTATTCATCCTGACCCCTGGAGTGGAAAAGGCCAGAAAAGGTCTTGAAAGACTTCCCTGTCCTTGCCCGTTAGAATAGGCCCCAGCGCGCTCCAAGGTGTACAAAGCTGTGCCAGGGCTGAAAGGCTGCCCGAGAATGTTTCTGTATCCAAATCCCTAATCCCATTTCAGTAAACGCGCAAAAGTTTCAGAAACACACACAATCTGGTTCCCAGTAGAACTCTGCATCATTTATCTTATTGAAGTCCTTGACTGTAAAATCAGACGGGTGCAAATGGGGTTAGAAAGAAGATGGGCTTCACACGGGGAAGAAGGGGACAGATGGGGTGGGACAGGGCGACATCTGGAAAGGATGAATAGACAAGAAGTAGCTATGGGAGGAGAGGGAAATCGGATTCGCGTGGAGGAAGGTACCGTTCTATTCCACACACACACAGCTTTAAGCATTTAGTAGGAGGATCATAAAATGCATATGGAGATATACAGATAGATGGAAAGGAAAGAAATGGGTGTGAGCATTGACAGAAGTGATAGGAATAAAACATCAACAGATGATTAAGGAAGGGCAGTTAGCAAAAGTGAGAGGTCGAGAATCAAAAACGCGGTTGGCAACCAGACATAAAGACGGGAAAATGAAGAGGAAGGACTTTCTATACTGGTGTTAATGACAAGGAAAAAAACATGAGGAAAGTGAGGTATAAAAAGATGAGAAGACTAGAAGATACAGGATTAAATGAAGAAGCCATAGAGTGTGATAGCAAAAGATTAAAAGTAATAGAGGACAGACATTATCGTTAAAAAAAAGATATAAGAAAAAAAGCACTTTTATTAAAAGGACAAAAATTAAGCCAATAAAGGAAATGAGGGGGGAAAAGTGGGGGAAAAAAATACACTGGCTTAAGTAGATTAATTTCCAAGAGATGTAATTTGCCATTTCTGACTTAAGAATTCTTCTGTCAGTTTCTAATGACCTACAGTTATTGGGTGGTTAGGATATGGCATTCATATTCTTCTTTTTGTTTCTAATGACCTGCAATGATTGGGTGATTGAAGCGAAGCTGAGCCAGTCAGCCTCTCTTAATGAACTTTTGCTCAAAATGCTCAAATGTGTATAAGGTTGCCACAGTTTACAGACTCAACTTCAAGGTTAGCATTATGTAATTTTTTTGTTCAATTATCTACTTCCATTGGCCTTAACCCAGAAAATTTTTAGTATATCAAGGCTCCATCTCTTATAGAATACTCCCTATAAAGGTGCTGCTCAGAGAATGCTGTCAGTTCTCAGAGAGCTCTGGCAGCTTCTCAGACACCCTCCTGCCTGCCCCTGGAAAAACGAACCAAGGGTGGGCTTTGTCCTACTATCCAAAAACAAAGTAGGTATTATCCTTGCACTGGTGTTGGGACTCTCTTAACTATGGTTCTCAATCATGGCACGTTAGAATTGCCTTTATTTTCATTGTTGTTGGGTTTTGTTTGTTTGTTTATATACTAACTGGATCAGAAACCTTGGGGATGGACCCAGGTACCTGCATTTTTTTCATAAGCTCCACGTGGTTCTTGTGTATAACCAGGGCTGCCTGCCTTTGCTCTTCAGTATCCATTTAAAGACAGCCAATGGGTACCATAAGAGATTAGTACAAGACTTTTAGGTTGGGCTGTCCATTAACAAATGACCCTACTCAAAGCATTAAGATGTCTTTACAGTGTACTTTACTTTCTGCCACCAAGCCAACAAACTTGTTAATAGGACAAAAATGTATGCCCATATGTGTTCTCATAGTACAAGATCATGAATAGCCATGGTTTAATTTGCTATTTCCTATAGAGAAAGGAAAATGAAGAAAGAGAACAGGAGAAACTGTTTGCTGTCTACTGCTATAATTTATTCATTTGATTGGTTTTTACCCAGATTTGTTACATTTGGAAGTCCTATGGGTAATGGCATATTTTCTGATGTTTAAAAAATAAATAAATTATAGATCTGCACAGTGGGGTATGGAATTTAGAACAATTTGGTCTTAGTCTTTGGAAAGAATAAAATGCTAAAAGGTCTTAGTTCAGAACTTGCGAAGTTAATGTCAGAGTTACCTTTATAAGAATGTTCTCATCTGACAAATATACAAAGTGAAAACATGACTTTTATATGTATATGTATCCTGTATATAGTAACCTTAAAGCTTAAGTAATCAAATCAATTATCATTAAAACAGCTCAGCAGCTACCTGAACCATCTCTGTTTTATTTTCCTCTAAATGTTTTCACATGTAAATAAAATGCTTCTTTGCCCTTGTTCAAATTATGTTGAGTACAAAGAGTGTTCTTTGCATCAGCAACTGTATCTCCTGGGACCAATATTGTAATTAATGAGATTTGAAACACATATTCAGAGCCAAATTTGAGATCCCAGACACAAAAATGAAGATCCATTGTTTTGTTTTCATTTTTTAAAAAGGGAAAAGATTGGAGATTTAAAGCTTCCTAGTGTAGAGAATCACAATGTATTTTTAGAGTTTTTTTTTTAACCCACATATGAGATTGATGAATTTGGGGAGCCTGGATTTGGCATAGGGGAACCCTGACCAGCAATGTCACCAGAATGGAACATTTGGAATTGAGGTTGATTTTTTAAAAAAACTTTACTCTTTCAGATATAGAACATCACAATAACTCAATCATTAGGTCTCCCTCATCTGTACCCCCATTTCGTTTGGACACGTGTGCACAATTTTCTCTTTCTGGAACCTACATCTAATTCTTGGAAGTCTTTATCACTTTAAAACAGGCAGTTCATTATGCCACCCTGCTCAAGCTCTAGATTGACTATACATTTCTTTGATCCTAACTTTTTTTTCTGTAGAACATTAAGGTTAATAATGTCTACATTCTTACAGTGCATGAGACCTCAGAAAAGATTTACCTGTTATATACAACAAAGAGACCACCTCTTTATGTTTAAATGGAAGCTAATCATGAATTTAATTATGTGCATCATACAGAACATTTAGCTTATTAACTTAAAACCACTTAGAAATAAAAATATTTAGAAAAATAAACTAAACATTAAAATAAATTTTCTTGTTTTAGAGTAATATTCCCCAAAAATAAAACTGTTCTATTATTTATTTGTTTCATAAAACTAATCAGTTTATACAAATAACTCAGTTGCATTCATACCACTTTTCATTTCAAATCGTTTAACAGATATTCATTCATTATTACTCAATACATCCCAGTTAATTAGATTTCCCTAACCAGCTTTTTAAACTGGGTGAACTGAGTTCTAGATATATTCGTTAGCATTAGCTGATCCAAAAAGAAAACAGAACTAGTTCCAGAAGAAGAACTCCATGTTCCTGGCTGGCAGTCCTTTTCCCAGACCACGAAGCCACACCTCTTTCTCTCAGAAGTGACTATTCCACCAAGGAATGTGAGCAAGCTCTGAGATGTTTGTCATTCAGATTACCTTGTGAAACTTCACTCCCAGGCAGAAGAGACCAGCATGCTCAGATTCACAAAATGCTCAAATGCCATGTACCAAAGTAATGAAATGAATAGTCATTGCAACTATGCTACTGTGCAATTTAGTCACTTACACCAGAATAATAAATGAAATTGGGCCTCAAATTAACATTTTTTGACACACTATTATTGGTTTAACATCAGCTAATCTGAGGCAATGACTGTTTCCATAACCTATTGCCCTGGATTTTTTAAATCCCAATTTACATATTCATAAACACTTACCAATATGTTAGGAGACATGGTGTGCAGATCTGCCAGTTCCAAAGAGTTCCAGCCCTAGAGGGTCTAGTCTTTTTTAGCACTACCAAGAATGTAAAGTTTAGTGACTTGGAATAAAATAAAATTATCCTTATACAAAGAATTATATATAAGCTGAAGATGAAAAATGAAAAACCAGGGCTACCATGTATGGCAATTTCATATACTGTATGTAGCATTTTGCAAAACAAATTCCAAGTGTTGTCATGTTCACTGGCTGGATTTTTGTCATTAAATGTTGAGAGTTATGTAATAGGAAGTGTGCCAAAGAGTGTTCTTTATTCAAAAGTATTACTATTTTTTTTAGTGCATTCCTAAATCTTCACAATGGTTTTTCACCTAGTAAGGTTATGCCAATATGATATCTTTGCACTCTTGGAGCTAACAAAAGCCCCAGTCTCAAGAGGGAGGCTATGCAGCATTCCAGGCAGTGTCATTTCCTTCTGTTAGAAATGGAAACAGAGAAAAAAAACACCTACTTCATTTGCTTTTCATAATTTTCAAACATAATCAGATCCTCTTAACCAAGTATGGCAGGAAAGGAAGACGACGACATATTATACTACTATTGCATTTTGTTTGCCTTTAGATAGTTTTAAAATAAGTGGTTAAAAATACATTATGCCAAGTGAAATCTGCTTAAGACAAGGGCTGAATATTGCCATTGCCAATCATAAGCTATAAGGTATAAACAATCTTACCATGGTCATATACGCTTGTCAAAGATATAGAGGACACTACAAATTTTGGGAGTTAGGGCTGGTTCCTCAACAAGTCTTTGAAACCAACTGGCCTATGCCCTATGTATTGCAGTACAGTAAGTACAGTAGTTTTTTAAGATTTATGTGTATTCTGTGGTGGCAATTGCCACCTGCCAGCACCATCATATACCATTAGGTGATACATGTACAGTCAGATTCCTCATCAGAAAAATAATTTTACAGTGTCATTGTCTTCGAATGCTTTTCAAATGCTTCATGTTCTTTTCTTTGCACCTAAATTCTTCAGGCAGAGAACAGAAGGATCCCGCTGCCCTATGGTGCTGAGGTATTGACAGTAACAAGGCAAATTCCCACCAGCCTTGCCCAACTTCTAAAACCCATGTTGTCTGTGGTTTTGGAGGCCCACTTTAAAGAAGTTAAGAAAGAATATATTTCTGTCTAATGGTCGGTCTGCTACTACTATTCTGTGCTTACCTCCTGCACTGTCCTCCCTGTAACTCTCCTGCAATTTTCAGTTCTTTGAGGAGAACCTTAAACAATGTCTACGACTCCATGGATCCGACCTAAGGCTAAAGTTGTTGCACCTCTCTGGGTTAAAGATAGTTTTTGCCAAATATACTGACCTCTGGAATATTCTTCTGCGGTACTATTATTGACCCTGAGGTGCCCAGAAATTAGAGACTCGGGGGCACTATATCCATTTATCCTGGCTTTTCAGCCTAGTCTGGTTTCTAGAAGGGAGATAGCAAAGAGCGCACTGTGGGAATGGATGCAGGTAGTCTGGGGAGCAGTGTGGCCGGGGCGGGCCAAGGTCTGGGCACACTCTCCTATCACTCTGAAAGAGTTGTCCCCACACCCCAACTTTCCCGTACTGCTTCCTTTGTTCTTGCCTTGGCTTTTGTGTCCTTTTAGAAAATGCCAGTTCTGTTTCATAGTTTGGGTTTTTTCTTTATTCTAAAGAAGCATTGATCACTTGTTACACAAGGAGACACATTCATGCCCCAGGAATTCTCTGAAGACATAAGGAGCTTACCACAGGGTAATGAGCAGGTGAGGCACAGTACTACAACTTATCACCTTATCTCCCAGTTTATATATGTTACTATATATATTTCATATCATATATATGGCATATATATGTGTTTCATATGTATATAAGATATGTAATGGAATATATAATCTTTTGTACATATGTAAGATATGTAATATTATATATATATGGAAGGAAGAGGAAAGTTTAGTGGGAATATATGAAATTGGCCAGGCGCATGGCTCACACCTGTAATCTCAGCACTTTGGGCAGCCTAGGCAGGAAGATTGCTTGAACAGGAGTTCTAGAACAGCCTGGGCAATGCAGAGAGACCTTGTCTGTACAACAAATTTAAAAATTAGCTGGGCATGGTGGCACACGCCTGTAGTCCTAGCTACTAGGAGTTTGAAGCTGCCATGTGCTATGATCACACCAGTGCACTCCAGCCTGGGCAATAGAGTAAGACCCTGTTGAGAGAGAGAGAGAAAGAGAGAGAGAGAGAGAGAGAGAGGTAGAAGGAAGAGAGGGAAGGAGGGAAGAAACAAAGAGAATGAAATCACTATTTTTGTAAGTCAAAGGTGACTGCTGGCAACATTATATGGTTCAACCATGCAATAATTTCAGTTTTTGCATCCCATGCTACAGACTGCTTATGTGTTAACACGAACTAACATGTATTAAGCTCATACAATGTGCCTGGCACTAAGTGTTTTACCTACAGTGTCTCAATGCTTTTAACAACGCTTTGAGGCCAGGCATAGTGGTTCACACCTGTAATCCCAACACTTTGGAAGGTCGAGAATAACTTGAGCCCAGGGGTTACAGAATAGCTTGGGAAACATAGCAAAACCCCATCTCTACAAAAAAAAAATTTAAAAAATTAGTTGGGCATGGTGGTGTGCACCTGTAGCCCCAGCCACCCAGGAGGCTGAGGTGGGAGAATCACCTGAGCCCAGCAGGTCAAGACTCAAGTGAGCCCTGATTGTGCCACTGCATTCCAGCCTGGACAACAAAGGGAGACCCTGTCTCAAAACAAAACAAAAACAAACAAACAACAACAACCAAAAAAACCACAATCCTGTGAGGTGTTATTATTTGCACACTTTTTTCTGGTTCACACAACCAGTAAATAACCAGATTGAGATTTACATGCAGCCTCCCTATCTCATCAAACCTTTCAGGAATCTGACACACAAATTTTTCCAACCATCCCTACCCCTTAAGGTTTACTCCTTCATGTACTATGATTCTAGAAGGACAAACTTTTCTGTGAATTCAGGTTGGGTTAAATACAGTTGGGCCACTCAAATAGGGCTTATGGATATCATTTCAGCACAGCCGGCCCCTAAACCTCCTGATTAGATCAGAAACAACAAGCCACATCCTGCTTTATTGGAGACTCATCTTTCCTCAGGTCCATCATTTCCTCCGATTTTCACTACTATAAGGTGAGTATTTTGGCTCCCTATAGGATACAATGGGGAAGAGAAATGATTTGGTGTGTATCCACTTCTCCTTCGATATTTAAAAGACATGTTTTCCAGCTGGGCACAGTGGCTCATGCCTGTAATCCCAGCACTTTGGGAGGCCGAGGCGGGCGGATCATGAAGTCAGGAGATCAAAACCATCCTGGCCAACATGGTGAAACCCCAGCCTAAAAATACAGAAATTAGCCAGGCATGGTGGAGTGTGCCTGTAATCCCAGCTACTTGGGAGGCTGAGGCAGGAGAATCTCTTGAACCTAGAAGGCGGAGGTTGCAGTAAGCGGAGATTGCGCCATCACACTCCAGCCTGGTAACAGAGTGAGACTCTGTCTCAAAAAAAAAAAAAAAGGGTTTTCCTTACTCCTACTAAGTTGATCAGCTCATGTCTTCTTTCCAATCTTCACCGTATTCATTCTTCTTCAAGTCGATCACATTTCCCAGCTCCATGTGGCTGTGTGATCTGTGGTATGTAAAACCTGAAAACAAAGAGCTTTGTTTTAATTCACATTCTGCGTAGGAAAAGGGAAACTTGGGCAGTACCATTCGTTAACTGGATCACTGCAAATAAGAGCCCTACCTCTGGAAATGGTCAAAAACGGGTCCCCTGCATCTAAATCAGCAGGTTGCAATTCCTTTTGGGTTTTTTGTTGTGTTGTTTTGTTTTCTGTGTGGTTTTCGTTTCCTCATGGATTATTGTAGTTCACTGTTACTTTTTCTTCTTGCCTTGTTTTTCGGGCTTCACTTCCTCCTTCTATTGTTATAGCTGTCTTTTTCCTCTCATCACATTTCCTGTTGCCTTTCCAATTCGGTGGGGCCCCATCCAAATCACTCACTGCCTGGCTCCAGAGTCGTCTTGGTCTTAGGGGAAGAGCAATCTTATGCCAAATAGTTCCAATCCCTGGGACATCAGAAGAAGGATCCCAGGGACTCAGTATCCCAAAGTTTTCCTTTATTGATTTGATACTAGAATGAAATCCAAGTGTGCCTAATTAGGACAAGAAAATATTCGTCCTCTTGGCTTCCTAGCCCCAGACCGTTCTGAACTCTGACAGCACCAACATCCATCAAATCAAACAATGAAATCAACTTTGGTTACTTAGCATAATAGAAATAAACTTGTAATATTCTATTAGTGAAGGATCAATGTCTCCTGTCTTGAAAATAAACATCAGAGCTTGGCCTCAACATTTATATAGCAGCAGGAGACCATTATTTTGTGGCAACATTCGATTACATTGACATCAAGACAGATTTATTAAATTAATAAATAGTACATGATTTTCAGCCTTTCATTTCCAACCCTCACCACCACTACCCTCCCCAAGGTGATCTTCTGAAACTCTTCATCCATTTTGTTGATGTCTTATTTATAATCTCTATTTCTTTTTTGCTATTTGTCAGTTTACATCCAAAAATATTTTAAATACCCATTTTTAGATAGAAAATTTAAATTAGTTATTAAGAACAACGTTAACAATAAGGAGTTTCATCAAATTGCTAATTGTTAAAATGTTTCACTGGCGTGGTATCTGAAGAGGTATTATTTCAGATGTGCTCTTCCAAGTCCTAAATGTGGCTAATGGCAAAGCTCACAGTTCCTGCTGCCTCTTTTTCTGACTTCCAGCCTCAGGGCCTTTGCCTTGGCTATTTCCTCTGTCTGGAATGCTCTTCTCTCTGCTCTTTGCATGGCTGATTTTTTTTTTCTCCTTAGTCAAGTCTTCTGGAAGATCAATTCCCCAGAGAGATTTTTCTCTGAGAGTCCTTTCTAGAGTGCTTAGTGCCTCATCCTCAGTCACTCCTCATCCTGTCGTTTCGTTTTATTTTCTTTATAGTCACATGTCACTATCTGAAATGGTCATGGTCTGAATTACTCATTAGCTCGCATACTTTATAGAGGCAGCAGTCTTATTGTTCTTCTTCTCTGGGGTACTAGAGTCCCAAAACCCAGAATTGTACCAGGTACACAGTGGTTCTCAATAAACAAATATTCATTGACTGAATGAATAAATGAATAGATTACTCTAAAAATATCACACAAGATTGACCTGAGACCTTATCTCTCTTAGATATTTGCAGCATGCAATCTTTCCTGCCCTCTACCCTACCCCCACCATCTAGGGGCTCCTTGTATTCTTAGAAACAACGGTGATTGAACAGAAAGTGTCAGCGCACATTTAGATTTTAGGCTTCTGCTCTTACTCCAATTTATTGTTCCAGCATCTAAACCAATTTAGCAGAGTTGTGGTGAGCAGGACATGAAAGAGAGAAATATTTCCTCCTCTTTTCTATCATCACAGATCTAACTTGCTTGGAGTTCCACGTGGCTTAATGTTGCTGACAATAAGGAAACAAGTAGCACACAGTCAGCAGATTAAGTTTTCAGTAATAAGCTTTCATCATGTCACTCTCCTGCTCAAAAACCTCAATGCCTCCCCACTGCTTATAGGATAACTTCCTCTCCCCTCAGATTTGTATCCAGTATGATCCATCAGCACCTACAGCTTTTGGGAGATTAAGTAACTTAGGCATGTCTGTCTTCCCTACTAGAGTATGTACTCCTTGAAAATAGTCTATTCATTCAAAGGCATTTCCAGCTTACCTACATGTTGAGCTTGATATAGGGAAAATACATTGTTGAAGAAGACATGTCACTGCTTTCAAGCCTCAAAATTACCAATTCAGTTTGTGCCTTGCTTTTGGGAGCTACTTGCTAATGTTTCTAGAATTAAATTTTAGTCCCATTTGCTGAAGTCTGACAACCAGATTTGAATTCCCCGTTCCACCAATTATCAGCTGTGTGATCTTAGGCAAGTCATTTAACCTCAGTCTCATGAACTACAAAGTGAGATGATGTTACTACGTATTAGTGTTGTCATGAGGATTAAATGAGAAAATGCACATACTGGGTTTAGCACAGAGCTTGGCACATCATAAGTGCTTAGTAAATATTTATGAATGTTTTCTTCTCAGTAGAGCTTGTCTATAACCTATAGGGTCTGTAACCACACAAACACATATCTGATGCATACAACTCTCCTTACCTTGAATGGCTTTCCCTGTTCCCCTCTGACTCTAGCTCCTTTGTTAGTCATTCTCTGCACTTATAATCTGTATCAGATGAGATCCGGTGCATTCAGGATGGTATGGCCATAGACACAATCTGTATCATACAGACAAGCTGCCTTTTACTAGAACTTAACTTTTCCTGTGTCTTTTTGCCCAAAGACATAAAAACAGGGATATAAGAGCAGAGATAATGCTATGATTTTCCAGCAGTGCCCAAGATAGTCCCGTACTGATAGAATGTACCCGCTAACTCATTTTTGAATGTAGCGAATAGTATATGTAACACCAAATTCAACAGCCTTTTTATGGGTAGCAGTTAGTCATTGTAATGATATCCTTTTGACTTTCACAGATTCAAGGGTGAAAACTGGAATTTTGATGTCATCTAGTCACATCTGCAAAGGAGTTCCCACAATGTCCCTAGATTCCAGTAAAGATATTCTTTCTTAACTAGTGATACAACTTAAGTACTTTTCCTCACTGAATCAGCTGTAGCAATGGGGGGAAAAATTAGTCATCATTCTCCTAATAATAAGCCTACATATACTTTAAGACAGTCATCAAGTAATCCTCTTCTCCCAAATGAACAATCAAAATATTTATTTGCATAGCTAATATCACAAACGGTGTAGGCAAACAGACAAAGTCGCTCTCCTGTGAATACTATTAGCTTGTAGTTCACGGTTTAGGTGACTGTTCCGGAGTGAAATAAAAACATCTTCAGAGACTTCTACCGGTCAATCAACACTTCAAATATTTTTCTAAGCTGCCCCTGGTAATTGCAACCTTTTAAGCATTTATTGGTGGTAGAATGGAAATACAACAACAGCAGTATAGTCATCCACTCAACAAACATTCACTGAGCACCTACAGTATGCAGTATTGAGCAACACAGTGTTTGCTAAGCAATGGAGGGCATGCGAAAATTTATAGGAAGCAGTGGCAACCATAAAGAAGTTTAGAGAAAGACACAAAAATTTCCTGAGTACCTATCATGGGCTGGGCACTGCGCTAAGTCTTAGTGTGTACAGATAACATTTCTGACTTTGAGGATTCAGTAGTCTAGAGGGGAGTGTAAGAGTCTTATATGTTCAATATAGTCTTATAAGTGCTGGGAAAGATGTTAGTAGCAGTGAATATTCTGGGCCACAGAGGAATACCCCCACCTATAGCTTGCTTGATGCTTGAATGGAGACTTAAAGGAAGAATAAGACTTACCTTAATAAAAAAAAAAATTAATAAAAGTAGAGAAGGACATTTGAACAAAGGGAACAGCATGTACAAAGGCAAAAGGGGAAGAGAGACCATGCACATTCCAGAAGCTACAGGAAATTTGCCTGGAGTGGGGTGATTGCGAGGCAGTTGTGCAGAGAAAGCTGGAGAGTAAGCAGACTGATTCTTGAACAGCTTTCTATGACTACCATGAAAAAGACTGGGTTTTAAATCCTTGAATAGCCTTGGGGAGCTACTGGAGGACTTTAAATAGAGAAATGACCTGATCAGATTTGCAATTTAGAAAACTCACTCTGAAAGCTGTGTGGAGAGATAGAGAGAGAGAGGAAGCTAGTGGAGGGGACAGCACAAGGATCCAAGTGAGAACTGATAAAAGTATGAGCCACGCTAGGTAGAGTAAGGAACGGAGAGGAGAGGATTGCATGCAATCTTAAGATTTCAAAAAACTGGGACTAGTGTGCGCCCATTTCAAAAGACTGGGCAAAGTTGATCTATTTGGCCAACTTCTAGCAAGATAATATTAATGAAACACCCATAGATTTAACAGGCAAAAAGCATTTACTTTTATTACAATGCACTTACTTATATTGCCAATACATGTCCTTTAACTGTAAATTATTTCACGTGATAGAACCAAGTACCTTTTGCAGAACACATCTTTTTAACAACAGCGGAAGTTGATGAGGAAATCAACATTTTACTCTCTTCAGGTGTCTAATGTATAAAGAGCTTCCTATAATTCTCCATAAAAACACATAAACAACAAGAAAAACACAGACAGACAGACCACACACAAACACAACAATTAAAACAGGAACCAAACAAAAGAAAAAAATGTTTAAAAAAGATAGATAGATAGATTCAAGACAAGCAACATTTCAAAATTCTGACTTAGATCATTCAGACCTTGGCTGCAGAAGCCTCCAGATCCCATGCTACTCACCTGCTGTCTTGGTTAGGTTTTCAAAGGCAGACTCTGAGATGAGTATGGAATACTATATGTTTATTAGGGATCAACAACCTTGTGAAAAAAAGCGAAGGAAGTAGGATTGGACAGAGAAAGACGTTAGCTAGATTACAGGCCTGACAACGCGTACACCAATCTGGCAGAGATCTCTGGAGGAAACATTGGCCATCAGAGTTTCCTCTGTCTGGCCAAAATGTCCTGGTCTTTACATCCCAGCCTCATTTACCAGCTGCAAGCTGCCCCAGGGAGGATGTGATCTCTCGAGAGGTGGTTTTTTGCAACTGAGGCAGACCTTGAAGATGCTGGCACTCCCCAGAGCAGAATAGCATGTTTTTTCTTAAAAGAAGATCTCCTTTTCTTAAAAGGAGTTTCTCCCACACCTGCACACCCCTGTTTGGATGGCGCTCAAAGATAGAACCAGGCCATATTCTTGGCCTTGGTGGAACTATATCTAGATTGCTCCAGCCAGATGGCTATATCTCCTATACTTAGAAGTACTATTTTAGAATTATAGAAACATGAAAATTGTGTTGAGAAAAGAATTCAAAATTGAGTTTAAAATCATTTATTAATAATAAGATACCAGTGGGAATGAAATGAAAAAAAGCAGAAAAAAGTTAATAGTAATATGAGGTTATTGTTTTCATACTTTTCTGTGTATATAGTGGGAATCACAAAATGAGACATACAAAGCAAGCATGTAGGTTCATAGAACTAGAAGGCAGATTAGAAAGGGGTACAGAGCCCTCCTGAACGCTAGGAGAAAACTGGTTTCCTTCCTCCATTCAGTCAGTTACAGCCTCACCTGAGGGACCTTTACCAAGACCTTTAAATTCTCTTTGCTTGCATCACTAATACCTGAACGGTATTTATAACAGGAATACTATTATGTAGAAATATGACACAAGGTACAGGATAGAAGTGGAGATAATTTTAAAAATCAATAGAATGACTAAATAAAGACTGGCTCATCAGAGTTTAGAATATCAGTCTTTTTTTTTTTTTTTTTTTTTTTTTTGAGACAGAGTCGTGCTCTGTCGCCCAGGCTGGAGTGCAGTGGCGCGATCTTGGCTCACTGCAAGCTCCGCCTCCCGGGCTCAAGCCATTCTCCTGCCTCGGCCTCCCAAGTAGGTGGGACTACAGGTACCCACCACCACGCCCGGCTAATTTTTGTATTTTTAGTACAGACGGGGTTTCACCATGTTAGCCAGGATGGTCTCGATCTCCTGACCTTGTGATCTGCCCGCCTCGGCCTCCCAAAGTGCCGGGATTACAGGCGTGAGCCACCACGCCCGGCCTATCAGTCTTTTTTAACGTCATGGTAGAATAAGGCAGAAAATAGTGAAGATCTTTAATTGTGATTCCTGTAACTTGGTACTAGGTACTGAGTTCATAAATTCCTCATCCCTCGGAATTTATTTCTATGGTTAAAACTCATCGATTTAGATCCCATAAATTTGTAATGTTGCAGTAATACAGTTGTAGTATGTCATTCTGGCTGAGAAAATATTTTACAATGATTCCCCTCCTTATAAAGCAGGGGCCTACTAATCTTCTTCAAGCATATCTTCAGATTCTAGGCCCAGCAGTTATTTCCATAGTGTCAAGCATGGTCATGATCCATTTATCATGGCCCAATAATGACTGTATTTTTTAAACTAATTGACCTATTCTTAGAAAATATTATTTTTTCATAAAATGCAAATTATTTAGAAAATTACAAATAGCATCAACTTCAAAAAATGTATTTTTCACCAAAATTTGGATATGGGGTTTTCTGCTCCACTTTCACTTCGTACGTCCCATTGTAACCCCTTTCCCAACCCAACTAATGGAGCTCTGCCTACAAGCCATGCTATATTTCAGAGAGCTCTGTCCACTCAGGCCCAGAAAAAACAGATTGGTGTAATAATGCTAGGGTGAAAAGAGAATGGAGGAAAAAGGAGGAAGGAGGTTCAGAAATGGGTAAATTATAATATCTAAACTAAATATATACCCATATGTGCCCCCAAAATATCTCAAGACTAACCAGACCAGGCCAGTTTCCCACAAACACTTTGGTCCTTGAGTTTCTTTATAACAAGCTGTATTACTGGCCTATGGAAAATAATACACATAAAAGCTACCATCTTAATAGTTTTAGGAGTTATTTTAAAAGTTATTTAAAAATAACTTTTAAAAATCCAACAAATTAAGTTAAATGCTTTGATTTTAGAAGTGTCTATGTTTAATGAACAATTACATTAGATGCCTGTAACTGTTTTTAATCGTAAAGAAAATCTTGGTCTTAGGCACAGTATCCATCATGAGTATAACAAGAAGACCCCTGTGGCCCTCCCCCTCTATCACGATGAGCGCTACCACTAGGCACTGGACACCAGACCGTCTGCCAATGTCGTCCCCCACAGCTAGAAGCTCAACCGTCACCTTTGCCAGAAAATGGATTCTGAGCAGCACCTACTTCCTCTCATTGTTCTTTTCCAAAACAATCTCTCCAGCTAAGGTGCACTGGCTGGGTCTAGGTCACATGTGTGTAAATATATGTATATATATTTAAGGGTGCAACTTTGCTATAAGAGAAGCTGGGAAAATGTGTTTGGGGTTCATACTTTGGAAAGGCCGGACTCCTGCTGTGGGGGATTCCTGAAACACAGAAAGGGTGTTCAAAAGGTAGTAAGTGGCCACAAAAACCTAGGCATGTATCTGTAAGAGTGAAATGCCACCAAATACAGACACCGAAACGTGTGCATCAAATTACCGGTAGTGGGTGTTAAATTTTCCCAATCATGGAACTAGGAGAAATACTGGTATTCCCAGGGGAGCTAAAGAGTCATATGAGCACCTATTGCTGACATCTTTCCTTGTGCCCCGGACTCTTCCAGATGGCAGGAAGTTCCTGCTTAGGCCTCTAGCCGGGCCCGTCTCCACGAGCTGACCCTTGCTACTGTGCAGGGGTAAGCTGCCAGGCCAGCAGGGACGAGGACTCACCTACACAGGCATAACCTGCTATCCATTAACAATCTGGAAATGTAACTGACACACAGTGGAGAAAAGAAGAGGTTTCCAGCCTTGTTACTCTATATCTCCTAATTATTAGGTAAAGGGGAACATTATAATTGAGTTATGAAACAACTAAATAAAAATAGAATACCTGACAGAGAGCTGCTTTACATGACGTTTCTACATGAGAATAAACAATGCGTTCTTTGTAGAGCTTAAAAAAAAACAGGTTAGCTTTATTCTAGAAACTACAGTCTCTCGTTGTAACTAGACTAGTGCTTGTATTTGTTGACATCCTGATTTATAAAAACCTGAACAAGTTCAGTTTCAATAATTCTTTTTGTTCAAGGAACACAAGAGAAGGGGGAAAAAGATTGATGTCTGCCCCTAAAAAATGGCATATGCAAAAGATTTAGAATTCTCTTTGTTCAACTCTGGGTCAGATTTCATGAAAAAGCGATTAAAATTCCTTTTGCTCCCATTCTTCATGCATGTATGGAGGTTTGTGTTCCTAATGAGCACCAAGAAGCTTCCTCGCACAGAACTTTGTCTTTGAAAGATAAAATAACCTGTTTCCCTCAACTCTTCTCCATCTTGTTTCTCTGTTATTGACACCCCCTCCTCAACCACAACAAAGAATGTGTGCTAATTGATTCACTGTTGAAAAATTCAATTTAATGCCTAGAATTGGTGGCATGTGCTAAGTAATCAAAGTTGGACCTGAAGCAGGGGAATAAAGGGGACTGGGTTCTGTTACCATTTTTTAACACTGAATCACTATGGGGAGGTAAAAGCAAGAGTAATTGTTTTCAAGAAATGGCAAACAAGTGGTTCACCATACGTTCAGATTAATGAATTTGGTGTCGTAATATGCTTTGAGACTCTTTGTTTAGAAAGAAAGATAACAAATGAAAGTGGTAATATATAAATAAAACTATTTGGAAAGAGTCCCATGTAAGCCATGCTTTTTCATAAAATGTTAGTGTCTTTACATCAAATGATAAAAGTAAAAAAAAAAAACAAAGGAATATTCAAAGTACAGGTTCTAGTAAGGAAAAGCAACCAGATGAGTTAAAGAAAATCTCTCTATTTGTGTTATTTACACAGAAACTCCCCTTCTCCAAGTAGCCCCTTATCCTAAATGCATGTGATTCTTATAATGCAGTACCCCCCTTATCCATGTTTGCCTGTGTAATTCACTTTCCTACTATCATCCATGGCTTGTATCACTAGAGTAACAAACAATTATGATTATTTTTAAATTATTATTATTATTATTATTATTATTTTGAGACAGGATCTCACTCCGGTGCCTAGATTGGAGTGCAGTGGTGCAAACACGGCTCACTGCAGCCTTGACCTTCTGGGCTCAAGTGATCCTCCCACCTCAGCCTCCCGAGTAGCTGGGATTACAGACTTGTGCCACCATGCCTGGCTAATTTTTGTATTTTCTGTAGAGATAGGGTCTCACTATGTTGCCCAGGCTGGTCTCAAACTCCTAGCCTCAAGCATTCCTCCTGCCTTGACCTCCCAAAGTGTTGCGATTACAGGCATGAGCCACCACACCCAGCTGAGATTATTTTTTAAATGCTCTTTCAGCATAGCACATTCACTTTTGCTACAGGTTTCATTTTCAAGCAAATATAGCAAGGCATTAAACCTAATTGCTGATTCAGGCTTAGCATACCAAAGTCTTATAGATAAACAATACTTTACAGATTACTCAGAGTCCCTCTTCTCTAAATCAGTTTCTGAACCAAAGAGGATGAATAGGGCTCAAGAATACCCAGAAAGTTGTGAGACGATTTAATAGATTATCCCAGTACTGGAGCTGAGAGGCCAAGAAACAGCCCCATGTTACTGTTGCCTGGTGACATGTTCTGCCCCATCACATGCCATGGATGATGGAGAAATATGGTAACTAACATTTCCTGCCCTTCCTGCTCTTTTTTCTTGCTCTTCTGTGGAATCAATGACTCATTTATGGCATTACAGACACAACAGATGACGTTTCATGCTTTGTCAACAGAGGCATGCCCTTCATTTTTGCCAATGGGAATGTCAAGTAACAGCTAATATCTTTGAACCCAAAGTTGCCAGGAAATGTGAGGGTAAAATTTGCCCCTATTGTACTGTTTCCAAGTCAATCAGACACCACCTGGAGCTCAAATGTGACCATGGCCTACTGTATCCTGATTATCCAGTCTATTACATATCAGAGTTCTTTTTATTTCCCTCTGTCAATCCCATCTTTCTCTTGGCCACTGCACTGCTCCTCCACCTCAGTGAAGATCTAGAAGGAGAAAAAAAGTGAAATTAGTTTATTAATTGTGCTTTATGTTGGGGAAAATTATTTGGATCGAAGCATTTTGCAAAAAAAAGTAGGGTTTGAACGTTATCTGTGGGTTTGCATCTTTATTCCTATTAGAAAACCAAGTTAATTAAGAAATAGGCCCAGCTCGGTGGTTCACGCCTGTAATCCCAGGACTTTGGGAGGCTGAGGCAGAAGGATGACTTGAGGCCAGGAGTTCGAGACCAGCCTGGCCAACATGGCGAAATTCTGTCTCTACTAAAAATACAAAAAGTTAGCCAGCTGTGGTAGTGCGTGCCTGTAATCCCAGCTACTTGGGAGGCTGAAACAGGAGAATCTCTTGAACCTGGAAGGTGGAGGTTGCAGTGAGCCGAGATCACACCACTGCACTGCACTCCAACCTGGGGGACAGAGTGAGACCCTGTACCGAATAATAATAATAATAATGGTACTTTTAGATGTACTCACTCACAAAAGCCTTACTGTTTTCAAAGTCCTTTCAAATAATTATTTATTTTGATCTTCCTAAAATTCCTGTGACATATGTTGAGGTGATATTATTTATTTTTTATTTTAATATCATCATGAATTGTCTCATTTAATAGATGAAAAAACTGAGGACAAAAATGGATGAAGCTTGCTTGGGAATACCTAGCTAACAGTTGTGAAGTTGAGACTAGATACCAGCTCTTCTGACCCATGGTCCTAGATGCTTTCTGCTTGATTGTCTGCCTCTGCTCTCTGGACAGTCGCACAGTTCTTAGCTGGAAGGGTCTTATATACAATTTTCCCCTTCACGACCTTCTAGGTTCCAAAAATGTGGTTGTAGATATTGGAATGCATTGTCCCACTAGAACAATCATGCCTATTATATTCTATAGACCCCTGTGTCCATTCTCAAAAACCTATGATTGATCCACAAGAGTTAAGTAAGTTACTTTAAAA
This sequence comes from Homo sapiens, assembly GCF_000001405.40. Taxonomy (NCBI): domain Eukaryota; kingdom Metazoa; phylum Chordata; class Mammalia; order Primates; family Hominidae; genus Homo; species Homo sapiens. The sequence goes on from NC_000005.10 coordinate 81,770,627, forward strand.
CAAAATATGCTTCACAGAGCAATATTCCCTCAAGAAAGTTTCAAGGAAAAAAGTTTCAAGGTCAAATAAGTTTGAGAAACATAGAATATCATATATCCCTCTCAGAGATTTGTAATGTACATTTGCATATTAAAGGCTTTAAGTTTTCTTTAAAGAAAAGAAAACTGCTTAAAATGGTTCCATTGAGAATTCATCAACTTTATTTGACTTTGAAATCTTTTTAGTGAGTAAAACATATTAACACCCCAAACTACAGTTCCCCAAAACACGCTTTGGAAATTGCTGCTATAGAAAAATATGATGTGTGACGATTTAAGATATTAGGAGCACTTCTTCCACTGTGAGATTAAGGGTTACCCTGAAGGTAAGAGGGATGTTGGTGATCATTCCCTTGATATCAGTCAGGGACTAGAATTAGTGATGGGTATTGTTGGGACATACAAAGCAGAACCAGGCATGGAAGGATAAGGAACAGAATGATAAAGGCAAGGAATGATGCCTTGGAACACTGAGACGAGACCAGGAGGACAGGCTGGAGACACATAAATGGTGAGTGACAAGAGAGCAGCTAGCTTGGGATTTGTACCGTCTTCCTCGTTCTGCTCCCTCCTCTGATCCTGCCACTGCAGACACACTCCTGGACAAAATCAAGACTGGGAAGCAGGGATGTGGCAGAGACACAGACGGGTGGACCCAAGCATTGAGGGCTGCCATGGAAGGAGAAGCCGAGAGGAGAGAAATGCCAAGGAGCTGGAGCAAAGAGGACATCTGGCGGGAGTAACTGGTTTCCAATTGTTCTTCTCAGGAAAGGATGAAAACCAGACGCTGCTTTCGTACCCTATGTTCTCCAACAGTCAAATGACCATCCAATTTATCATCCATACAAAGACACTTTTGCACTATTAATCACCATGCGAGGACAACAGATGTAAACTGAGACTATCCCAGCCAGGCACGCAAAGATATGTGTTCACCTCATGCAATATTAAATGATAGTTGAAAGTATGGAGGAGTTATTTGGAGATTGTGGTGGTTCCTTTTTGAACTATGAACCATGGCATTCAGAAAAAAGAAAAGATAGGGAAGTATGTATTGATCATGTTAGTTATAATGACTTCCGCTTGAAATAATTTATTTAGCCAAAAATGCTTTCATGACCCCATTCAGCAAGCATGTATTGGGCATCTGTGATAGGAAAAGCACTGTGCTCCGTACTGTGGCGGATATGGAGATAAACAATACACACTATGCTCCAAAGGAGCTTCTGGTCAACACAGTGAATTAGGGGATGTGCTCAAATAGACAAGTTCCAAGTAAATGATCACAGGTGGTTATAAGAGAGCTAAGGACGAAATGCTGGGAAGTTCTGAGGAGGGGAGGCTAGGGGACACTTTGGAGATTTGACCATGCTTGAACTAGGCCTTGGGGGACAAGCTGATTATTCACAGTCTGGGGGCACAGGGAAGGGGAGATAGACCTTTCCAGGTGGTAGGACAGCAGATGCCCAGAGGAGTGTGTTTGAGGTGCCGATGGTGCAATTTGGCAGCAGTAGAGGATCCATGAAGAGGACAAGTGGGAGGTGAAGTTGAGAAAGTTAAGCTGGGCAAGCCTGTGTAGCGACTTAAATGCTAACATAAAGCAAATGGATATAATAAATTCAGGAAATAATTGAAAACTTTGATTATATAGTAGCGGACTGGGACTACCACAAAGTAGAATGTCAGCTCCTTACTGCTCTGGAAAACTTTGGAAATGTTGGGGCCAGCTCCGCAATTTTACAAGGTTGAACCCAGAAAGTGAGGGACTTGGAAACATTTGAGTTAAATATAAATATTAAGATTCTTATCAAATCTAATTTAGGCACTCGTTTTAGCTTTCTACTGCTGCTGTAAAACATTATCGCAGATTTACTAGCCTAAAACAATACAAATTTATTCTTCTACAGCTCTGCGGGTTAGAAGCCCAACATGAATTTCAATGGGTTAAAATCAAGTTGTCAGCAGGAACTTCCTTCCCTCAAGCCTCTAGGGAAGTCTCTTGAGGCCTAAGAGAAGTCTCTACAGGTCTGAGGGAAGAATGTTCCTTGGTTTTCTCCAGCTTCTACAGGATACTCACATTCCTTGGCTCATGGCCCCAGTCTTCCATCTTCAAAAGCAGCAATGGTGGATGGAGATTTCGCAGACCCTATCACTCTGACCTCGTCTTCTGACTTCCTCTTCACTTTTAAGAACACTTGTGATAATTATATTTAGCTCATGTGAGTAATCCCAGAGACTCTCCCTGTCTGCTGATTAGGGACCTTAATTCTCCTTTGCCATGTAAGTAACATATTCACAGGTTCACAGGTTCATGAGATTAGGATAGGAACATCAGGAACATCTTTTGGGTTGGGGGGTGGCTACTATGCTGCCTACCATGGCAATCTAGCAGTCAGGATCTTCCATGATTTTTTGACTCTCCCACAACCCCTGCCCCAGGCATGGGCAAATTGCCTCATCCTGTATTCCTCAAGGCACCTCTAATACCCATTGCTGCATATAACAGACTTCTACTGAAGACGCGTGGATCACGAAGGGTGATCACAGCATAACAGAAAAGCACTTACATTTGAATATAATGTCTTTTTGCTCTAAGGTTTTTGGGAGTTTTTTTAATAGCTACTTTCCCCTTTGGTCTGCCCACTCTCCCCATCTCCAGGGAATTTTTCCCTCTTATTCTCTCTTCTCCAAGCCCCAGGCCTGCCAAAATACCTCCCTCCCAATCCTCATTGGAAATGGAAAATTCCTGTTACTTTATTATTTAAAGCAATTTGGCTTGGTTTATCTTAGCTTTTCCTATCCAGGCCAAATCCTGGGCCTTCCCCTTCATAACCAAAAAGATCCATCAACATCTTCTGAGACAAATTCTTTGTCTGCAGTCTGTTTTAATTATTTTTAATAGGTACTCTTCTTCTCCGTACATGCTATCAGAGAAGGCTTTAATACCAATTTTAGAAAGAGCATTCCCTTTCCATTACAGGGAGGCGACCTTCTGTAGTACGGGGACTAATTGGACGGTGGTTTACAAAGTAATGAAACTAACAGGCAAGCGATCACCTGGGATAGTGAAACCAGCCTGAGTCTAGGAATCAAGAAAGCTGGGTATTTTCTCCAGTCGTGCCTCAAATGACCTGGGGACTTTGTGCAAGTCACAGTCTCTCTGAGTCACCATTCTGTCATGTGTAAAATAGGAAAGTTGAATTAGATGTTCTCTGGGTTCCAAAATTCTAGTTGGTTAGATTTTGTACTTTGCACTTTCTTGACGTAGAGTTTGGCTCTTGGAGAAATCAGCTCCAAGCAATCTATGTAATATTCAGCCTGTGGGTCACTCCTAAAAATTTAGAGGACTTTGATGAAATGATGAAGCTGGAATTACATATTAAAGACATACTTTCTAGTGCCTTATGGATCTCTGATCATACTGTAAATGCCTCATTGAATTAGTGGAGTTTATGTTTGTCGCCGGGGGAGTTTGACATAATAAGCAGTTGAAAACAACGAGTGTCACAGGGGCTTCTGGGACCACAGAAACTCTGCTACTATGATATCTGGTGTAATTCCCTGGGATTACACTCAATCTGGGGACCCTAAGCTTTTTCCTGTATTATTAAAAGGGTTGTTGGGATGGTAGCCAACCTGTGGAAGCCACAGTGACTGACTGAAAAGAGAAATATGACACAAATCAGAGAGTTTTGGGGCAAAGATTAATTTAGAGGTTGCATATGGGATGGAATGAAATAGTGGCAAATAGGCAGCAGGAAAACCAATTAAGAGGCTGTTGTAAATGTTGTTATAATAAAAATGTAACAGGATGCTGGATGGGACTTTTCCTGTTGTCTCAGGGTTTCCGCTGAAGCACCAGGGCCAGAGACAATAGGCAGTGGGAGTCTGCTCATTCTCGTAACAGTTCCTGAACCCATCAATGTGGGACTTGCTCACCAGGTCTCTGACTATGTATTCCATCATGCCCTCATCCTATTTATAAGGGAAATTAGTGAATCATGAAAGAGAAGACTCTGACATGTAAGGGAATTTGGAAAAATGGAAAGTGCTGTGGTTTCTCTCTCCCCTCAAATCACATGTTCCCTGGAGTTTAAAGAACAGAGGCTCATGCCTGACTCTTGACTACAGGTGGGCAGGGACAGAGAGGACAGCAATGGGAGAGCCTGATCTTCCAGACTTTGACAGGGAAAGGGGGGTGAATTTCCCATAAGTTCAACAGATAACCCGGAAGGTAGCTGGGTTCCAGGGCTGCACGCTGGACCAGAAAGAGTATTGCTTTCTTGGGAGAAGAGTGTAGTATTTGACATTCTCTTAACAGTGACCATATGGAGGGGTGAGAGTCTCCATCTCACAAAAGTGTTCCATGAAAGGAAGGGCCAGCAGATGGACAGTTGCCTGGATGGAGGCCATTTGAGAGAGTCTATCAGGAGAGAACCGAAAGAGAAGTACGAGGACAGCAGCTACCATCTCCTCTTGTTGTCCTTGCTGCCCCCCCAATCCTCCCCTATGCCACTATCCCATCCTCAACCGTAAAGGAGCCAGAGGCAGGTGACAGAGAAGGTAGAACCAGGAGGGCCAAGGAGCAGATCCTGCGCTGCTCCCTCCGCTGATCTGTGGGATCCCTGGCCTGGCCTGAGCTGAGGAGAGGAGAAACACTTTCAAGTGGGTGGCAAATGGAAGTTTTGATTTAGGTTGAACTAGATGTTTTTAAATTCTAAAAATGAACTGTTGTCTAATATCCTCAAGTAACAGGAAAATACACAGAATCTGCCTGAGGTATCATCCAGGAGTAGGAAAGGGAGGTAAGACAGAGCATGTTTGAAGGCAATGAAATTTAAAAATAAAACTGCTTCCTGTTTGTAACTCATAGAGTCCAGATCCAATAATGAAATGATATGAAAGCAATAATAAACAATGAAAATAGCAACAATAATTAAAAAAAACCATCTGTTGAACATTTACAGTTGCGCCAGACTGTTAGATACTAAAGATGCATTAATTTACTTATCCTTCCAATAATTCCATGAGGTACCCACTACTATAAAATTTAATCCCATTTAGCAGATTTGAAACTGAAGCTCAAAGAAGTTAAGTAATCTGCTACAAAATAGTGTTAATAAGTAGCTAATTTCATATCCCATAATCCATTTAAAACTAGAATTGGGTGGCAGTTATAAAAGCGGAAGGAAGCAAGAAGTGAATGAAGTCTATGTGTTTATCATTCTAATCAGGATATCATAATTGGCAAAAAGTGATGACACAATGTATGTACATTGGTACCACTTTAGTTATTATATAGCCCACAAGTAACATTTGTTGCTAAATATAAAACTAATAAATGCACATGTTAGGTAATTTGCTTTTGGTGGGTTGTTTTGTTTTGTTTTGATTTGTTGTTTGTTTTTGTTTCTCAAGAAATGTTTCTTGGTCATTTTGAAATTCCTTCCCTGGAATGCAACTGATATATTAATTTGTCATGTATGCCATGTAAATGTTCTATTAGGCATAGGGTATTTGATGGAAATAACTGAGTGCATATTCATTGTTTTAGTGATGAGGTAACAGCTTAAAATAGACACCTACATTCAAGAACAGCTTCTACCCTATGAACTCCTTGAAGTAGGGATCTTATTTTCCCCCTCGTTGAGCTCTAACCTGCATACTTATGAGGTATCTGGCACACTGTGGGCGCTTATTAATCTAGGACCTTTTCATTGAGAACCTGCTAGGTCCCAGGCACTGAATTGAGTTTTCTGTGCATATGCCAGCGCACACCTCTTTATGGGTGTGTGTTTGCAGTCTTGGCCACGCCCTTTCTGCCATCTACAGAGAATTCTGGCTTTTGCTCTGCAGCTTCTCCTCTTCCCTGCTCTCTGAGGAGAATCAGACTTTTTCCAGGTTCCTAGGCATTTCTGATGCAGAATTAAGAGACCTGGAGCCAGAGGGACAGAACTAATGAGGTGGGTGGAAGAGGAAGGAAAAGAAAGATTAGCCCTAGGAGAGCAGGACTTCGGGGAGAAGGATGAGAGAAAGGCGTGGCCATTCATGTTTCTCCCAATCAATTTGTCGTAGATTACAAACAGGGTATCTTTTATTGTGCTCTGAGAAACCCAGGTAAAGAATGTGATTTACTTCTGTTTCTAGCCTCTGTCTCTTCTCCAAGATAGGACCAAGTAGGTCCCAGTTTACATATATATTATTTCTAATATTTAGAACACCCTGACAGTGTAGGCATTATTGTTTTTAATTTCCAAGTGAGGAAAGAGCCTTAAAGCAGGCCAGTCATTTTCTCAGGGCTCCTCAGCTAAAGCTACGATTTGAATCCAGTTCTGGTGAGCCCAAAGCCTGCTGTCCTTCTGCAATGCCACACTATGTCCCCATAACCATCTGTTGAATTGAGCTGAATCAAAATGCTTCCCTTGTGAGGGGCCTCTATTTATTCTGGTATCATACACAAATGGGAAAGGCTTATTTCTGATATTTGATTCAGAAGAGAAAAGCTTAACTACTATCCTGGAAAGCAGGCCTGCCTTCTGTACTAAGCTTGCCTGTGGGCTTGATGGTTCATTTTGAAGTCCAATCACTCTGCACCTAGGAAATGGCAATGTTTACCACAAAAGGTTCAGCAAAAACTGTTGCTAAAATTGCTCTGTGGCCATTCATGTTTCTTAAAATCAATTTTTTTGACCAGGTAGCTGCCTGATGCACAGAAGTGAGAAGGAAAAGGTTTCTTCAAACTGCCAACTAAGTTACCCCAGACCTTTCAATGGCCGAATAGTAAACAAAAATAAATGCACTTGTTTTGGTGAATTATCATCTTAAATGGCTTGAAGGAATGTTCTCATGGTCTATTGCCATAGAAACCATGATAAAATTTCTTATAAATACTTCAGAAACAGGACTACCTACCCCCATGGAAAATGGATAGTGTGTACAATGGACCTCCAAGGAAATAAGTGGCTGTGTGACAGAAAATAATGTAACCCATTAAAAGAAATCTCTTGATGATCCAAGTCATAATGGATGAACTGTGTATATGAACAGAAAAGGGGAAAAAAAAAAGAATCTGACAGTCGTATGAGGTGGTTTTGGACTGGTGTTCAGACACCATTTTCCAAAGTTGCATAAACTTTCTTTCTTACTGAGGAAACATTCTGTAGGCATTAACAGTGAAGTGATTGCATCTATATTCAGAGAGTACATGCACAGAGCCATTATGGACCAGAAAGGAATTGTATAAAAATGATTTGACAAAAAAAAAATAGTCAGTCTGCTATGCCAAAATCCAGAGGACTCTACCTCAAGGTGAATCTTATTCAATTCCAAAATGTCAAGTAGATCTAGTCATTTTAATATTTTTATTAGATTAAAACTTGATACCTTTATAAAAGCTAAAGAAACTGACCGGAATATAGGCTCCAGCACTGATAAATTGTGTGATCTTGGGCAAGTTGCTTGGCTTCTCTAAGCCTCAGTTTCCTGATCCGTAAACTGAAGGTGGTGCTTATATTTATGGCAGGATTAAGTAAAATAACCCAGGCAAAGCACTCCACACTGTTTTCAGCACTCAGTAAGCACTCAACAGTAAGTGTTAGAAAGTACTTATCAGAAGTAATAATAAATATAATAACTGATAATAAGTTTGCACAACTCATCAACATATAGTGCTAATTTTTTCATTCTCTTTTCCCCTTGAACTCATAGACAATATCTGATCTTAAATAATTGAAAAGAATGTGCTCAGAGAGGAAGCAAACACAGATCTGAAAGTCACAGTCCACGCAGTTTCTACATTGCTCTGACCTTTCTGATATTGGTGGATCCGGAACATTCAAAGTGCCATGGGCATCCTTCTTGCAGTATTTCCTCCTGATGTTTGAAAAGAAAGTCTGTTTTCATAAGACCTTGGGCCTGATTTCCAGTGGGAAAAGGGCTGAAAAAAATTTGGCTTCATTTCCAAGTATCTTTGCATATTTCCCCAATTGCACAGAACCTCCAAGCTTCCCCAGATTACCTCGTTTCAATGACATCGAATCTTTCAAAGGGAATGTAATAATTCCACAGAGGACTTAGCATTTCTGACAGCTTACCTCCCACTGTCCTCAGAGCTTCATAAATTATGCTGCCTCTGAATGTGAGCTGGGCAGCACCATTTTCCTGGCCCCTTACGTGATTCATGGTTTCTCTTAACTATGTCAGTGCCTTGTCAGCAAAGCTGTTCCTTTTGGACACAGTATGATGTGATCTGCTTCTTGGAGGACAGCTTGCTAATTATGTACTGATTTTATATACTGATGATTTTGTTTTACAATTTCAAGGTAACTAATAACTATTAACTTTAGAAATTACTTCCAAATTCAGAAAACATTACCATTTAATTAACAATCTGCTCTCTGCAATACACTGTGACCTGAGAAACCACTCTAATGGTAATACACTGTTATCATTAAAATTAACCAACAAACCAAAAGAATGGGTGCTGTTAAGGTCAGATATGGAAAGACCATAATTAAAAGAAAGTGAAACTAAAAACAAGTATCAGACCAAAAGATCAACACAGCACAGACAGCCGCCGTGCCAGCTTCCCTGTTTTGCACTGCCAAAACAGCTCCCTCCTGACCTGCAGCTCCGCAGAATTCCAAACCTAGGCCCTTCTGGAGCTCAGGGCTGAGACAATTTGTTGCATGGTTTAGTAATGGAGGCTCAAAGCAAAGTGGATAAAACATTCCTGAAAATGACATGCCTCTAAAGTTCCCTCTGAGGTATCTATGATCTTTACATATGAGAATGAGCTATACATTTTTATGAATAAGTTTTATCTTTCCCCAGCCTTCAGAACTTCCCACAAGTCTTCCAAGCTACACAGGCTCTTCCTGACTTAGGAAGCTTCCACTCAGGGACGTTTGGTGGACGTTGTTCATGTGGGGCCTTCCCAGCATTGTCCTTGCCCCTGTGTCCTCAGGGAGGGTCTTGTCATTGCCAGATGCTTCTTTAGAGCTAGAGAATGCAGAATTGAGAGAAAGAGAAGAGAAGAAGGAAAAAGGCACATGGGATATGTCTAGGAAAAAAGGTTTTCAAGATTTAGAGAAGAGAGTTCTTGAAAAGCTATAGGAAGTCAAGAGGGGTAGAAAAGGAGGCTGTGGACTGTGTGCTGACAGCATGGTGTTTGAGAAAGGCAAATAAAGAACTCAATCAATTATTCTGAAATTACCTTTTAGGTACAGGCTATGTTTCTTGGTCAACATGACTACCTTGAGGTTAGACCTCTTGAATTTCAGCCTCAGGAGAATTTCTTTGGGAAAGATTACTACAGAAAAAAAGTTGGCACTACTCGGTTCTACTGCCAGAGTCCACCCGACTTCTGAGGCTTAGACACAGGAACCCTAGAGTCAGTATCGTACAAGGCTCCCTGCCCAACTCCCAGCTCCTGCTGTTGCTCAAGCTCCTCCACCAGTTCCATCCTGGGTCTCTCTCCTTAGAGGATTTTAAGAGGCCCAAGGCTTACAGAGAATAAAGGCATAGGGATTGTGCTACCTTAGAAGGATTTAAAAATTGGCCCAGGACAGGCCGGGTATGGTGCCTCATGCCTGTAATCCCAGCACTTTGGGAGGCTGAGTGGGGAGAATCACCTGAGGTCAGGAGTTTGAGACCAGCCTGGCCAACTTGGTGAAACCTCATCTCTACTAAAAATACAAAATTAGCTGAGCGTGGTGGCGAATGCCTGTAATCCCAGCTACACTGGAGACTGAGGCAGGAGAATCACTTGAACCTGGGAGGCGGAAGTTGCAGTGAGCTGAGATCGTGCCACTGCCCTCCAGCCTGGGCAACAAGAACAAGACTCCATCTCAAAAAAAATAAAAATAAATAAATAAATAAAAATTGGCCAGGGACAGAAGGCTAAAAGCCATTATGGGTTAAGTAGGGGTTTTTTGTTTTTTTTTGTTTGTTTGTGCTTGGCCTGAATTGATAATCTACCATTTTAAACATTGTTTCTGTTGGAAAAAAATGTGTTCTGATTTCCCCAAAATGGGTATATACAGGGATTTTTAAATCAATGCCCAAAGTAGGTCTAGGATAGTCACTCAATGCTTCTTAGGTTATGTTGATGTTGATTTGGCTTAATTTTTATTTTCAAAGGACAGATTCATCATTTATATTTTTAAAATATGTATATGTAGGTATGAATATAAATAAGAGTATTGGATATACACCAAGATGTTAATAATAATCTTTAGGCTGTAATATTATAATTGATACTTTCTTTTCTATATCTTTATATTTTCCAGAATAAGAAAACAATGAGGATTTTTCATTTTTAAGAAAGCAAATAACATTGAGAAACAAAATTTACAATAGCTTCAAAAAACATTTTAAATACGTAGAAGTAACTTAATAAATGAAGTGCATAACTTCTGTGCTGAAAAAGGATACAATATTGCAGAGAGAAATGAAAAAAGATTTAAATAAACAGAGAGATATCATGTTCATGGATTGAAACACTCAATGGTGTCATAACGTCAGTTCTTTCCAAAGTGATCTATAGATTCAATGTGATCTCAGGCAAAATCCCAAGAGGCTTTATTGTAGAAATTCATAAGCTGATTCTAAAATATGCAGTCATGTGTCACTTAATGATGGGGATATGTTCTGAGAAATGTGTCATTAGGCAATTTCATCATTGTGTGAACATCACAGAGTTTATTTACACAAACCTAATATAGCACATTTTACACCTAGGCTATGTGGTATAGCGTATTGTTCCTAGGCTACTACCCTGTACAGCTTGTTACTGTACTGAATACTGCAGGCAACTGCAACACAATGGTAAGTATTTGTATATCTAAACTTGTCTAAACTTAGAAAGAGTACAGTAAAAATAAGGTATAAGAGATAAAAAATAGTATACCTATATAGGGCACTTACCACGAATGGAGGTTGTAATGGAAGATGTTCTGAGTGAGTCAGTGAGTGAGTGGCAAGTGAATGTGAAGGCCTAGGACATCACAGTACACTATGGTAGACTTTTTTTTTTTTTTTTTTTTGAGATGGAGTTTCGCTCTGTCACCCAGGCTGGAGTGAGGTGGCGCGATCTCGGCTCACTGCAACCTTTGCCTCCTGGGTTCAAGTAATTCTCCTGCCTCAGCCTCCCGAGTAGCTGGGATTACAGGCGCATGCCACCACACCTGGCTAATTTTTGTATTTTTAGTAGAGACGGGGTTTCACCATGTTGGCCAGGCTGGTCCCGAACTCTTGACCTCAGATGATCCACCTGCCCGGGCCTCCCAAAGTGCTGGGATTACAGGCCATGAGCCACCGCACCCGGCCCACTACGGTAGACTTTTTAAACACTGCACACATAGGCTATGCTAATGTATTAAAATATTTTTCTTTCCTCAGTTATAAATTAACCTCAGTTTACTGTGACTTTTTAACTTTATGAACATTATAAGGTTTTAACTTTTTGACTATTTTATAATAACACTTAGCTTAAAACACAAACATATTATACAGCTGTACAAAAATATTTTCTTTCTGGCCAGGCACAGTGGCTTATACCTGTAATCTCAGCACTTTGGGAGGCCAAGGTGGGTGGATCACTTGAGGCCAGGAGTTCGAGTCCAGGAGTTTGAGACCAGCCTGACCAATATGGCGAAGCCACATCTCTACTAAAAAGAAAATACAAAATATAGCTGGATGTGGTGGCACACACCTGTGTTCCTAGCTACTCAGGAGGCTGAGGCCTGAGAACTGCTTAAGCCTGGGAGGCAGAGGTTGCAGCAGTGAACTGAGATCATGCCACTGCACTCCAGCCTGGGCGACAGAGCATGACTGTGTCTACAAAAAAATGTCTTTCTTTGTAAACTTATTCTACAAGCCTTTTTTATTTGTAAAATTTTCTTTTTTTTTTTACTTTTGAAACTTTTTTGTTGAAAACGAAGACAAAAACACACACATTAGCCGATGCCTACACAGGATCAGGATCATCAATATCACTGTCTTCCTCCTCCACATCTTGTCCCACTGGAAGGTCTTCAGGGGCAATAACAGTCATGGAGCTGTCATCTCCTATGATAACATTGCCTTCTTCTGGAATACTCCCTGAAGGACCTGCCTGGAGCTGTTTTACACTTAACTTTTTTTTTTTTTAATAAGTAGAAGGATTATGCTTCAAAATAGTAAAAAGTGTGGTACAGTAAATGCATAAAACAGCAATGTAGTGGTTTATTGTCACTACCAAGTATTATGTACTGTACATAATTATACATGCTAGACCTTTATATGACTGGCAGCACAGATGGTTTGTTTACACCAGCATCACCACAGACACTTGAGTAATGTATTGTATTGCATCGGCTATGATGTCACTAGGCCATAGGCATCTTTCTGCTTCCTCTAGTATAATCTTATGGGACCACCTTCTTATATGTAGTCATTGACCAAAACGTTTATCTACGGCACATGATTGTACAGAAAAAAAAAATATGTTGATGTTTCCTAACTTTCCATTCCTCCCAGGTTATGACTCCTGCTACTTTTGACTGGGCCCTGCCTTCTTACTCTGGTTCAGTAACAGGGCTCCCATTTGGAAACTGGTACGAAGGCCCCAGTTGCCTACCCAGAAACAGCCTCAGGTGTTGCATGGGCAAACCTTACCCTTTGCCTCATGTGGGTGAGCCTATTTGAGAACATCTTAATAAAACGTTTCCTGATCACTATGGACAAAGGGATTTTTATTGTTGGGGTGGCCCAATATTTTCATGCCCCCGGATTCCCCCATTATTGTTTCCCTTTCTCTGATTCCTTGTCCACCATCTGCTCCTCTCTCATGGCTGTGTGTTTCTTCTTTAACGGTTGGGGATCAGGTTAGCAGCTGCAGGAGAACTTGATTAGTGCCTTGCCTCTGTGCAGAAGCATTTCCCTGACAGCATTGATCCTGGTTTCGCTTTGCAGGCAGCTCCACAGAGAGGCTTGTGCTGCAATGGAGGTGGACTGTTGTCTGGTCAATGTGAGTTTGGGGCAGTCTACTAATTCATTCCTCTTTGCTCAGCTGTTAATTTTGCTTAAATAAGAGCTGCCTGCAAGTTTTCATTTAAAATCCACTGCCTGACTGAGACCTTGTGATGGCAAGATTCAAAGACAATTTTTATTGCTAAGTTATTAGTCCTTTGAAAGAAGGAAAATTTGATGTTTAATATTTAAACAGTTTCTATTTTGCAAAATTCTTTGATATCTGAATGTTAACTGTGTAACCATTTAAGGTCCATTTCCACAGACTTTTCCAGACATTTCAAGCATACAGGAATTTATTTGTAATGTTCCTGCATGAAAAATTGCCATCTCTTTTCTGCCATGGTGGCCACTGCCAACAGATATGTCCATTACGAATGAAATAAAGAGGCACTTTATATTTTGATGCATTTCAATTTGTCCATTACACCAGACTGTTCTTTTCTTGAGGAAAGGAACAAATTCCTTTCATCTTTAAAATGTTACCACTTTTTCAAGTTTTGGAAAATTTAACAGAATTTAGCACAGGGAAATTGCATTGTCTCTGGGCAAAGAGAATAACTGAGCATTTTCATTTCAGTTTTTTTCTTGATTTTTGGTTTGATGTTCAGGAGTCATTAAAAAAACTAGCATAAATGTGTTCAGGTGTAGCCCTGACTAAGGGTTCATTTCTCTATGTATTTTAATGATGGTCTTTTAGGACATCCCCACTTTTTTGGAGCTGGTGTTTCCCTTAACCAAAATGTTCCATCTCCAAAATACTGCACATGATAATTTAAAGGCATACTCTATTACCTGTACAAAATTGAACTCAATTACTCTCCAGCCCAAAACAAACTGTTCAACTTTTCCTTTTTGTAGTAGCCATAATTCCTACAAGTTTGTGCCATACCAATATAAGAAAGTGAATTCACAAGCTTCCAGTGGAGTACAATACAAATCTTCAGGTACAACACTAAAGTGTGGTACTAGGAAGAGAAGCCAAAGTCCACTGTGGTTCAAATTAACAAATTCATTCATGAATGCTAATTATGAATTAAACTGTAGATTAAAAAGAATAAAACAAAACAACTTTCTTCCATAAATTGTGTACATTTGTGTAGAAAAAGAGGCAGCCTAATATGGTGGAAACTAATCAGGTAGAAACCTAAGCTTTCGTCTTTAGTTTACTTTGCCAAATGACCTTGGGCAAATCATCCAACCAGTTGGTCATAGTTTCCTTAAGTATAAAATAGGGATAAATTATTCCAGATCAAAGATTATATGAAAACATTCCCAAAACTATAAAGCCACATTTATATATTTTTGGTTTATGGTTGGAGACGTATTTGAAGTGTCTGCATTACTCAGAGCCCCTTTCTCCAGAAACTGCCCTTACCTGTAACCTTTGCTAAAGTGGTAGGCATAGCAGTCAAGTTTGTGCCACCCTCGCTAGTGACACTGGTGAACTAGGGATGGACACCTGAGCAAGGACACTCAATAGCAGTGGGGACTCAGATCTTCTCTTGAAATTAAAGAGACTTAAGAGTTTCCTCAGACAGTAATATGCTGATCATAAGAAATTGAGAACTATGGTAGCCATGTGCAACCATGAGCATGCTGATGAGCAGGCGGAAGGCAATGGAGAATGGAGCAGAGGTACAGAGAGGAGCAATAAGAGAAGAAGCAGATTTCCAGAAAAAAGGAAAAAGTGCCATAGGGTGGCAGGGGAGACAAAGGAAGTACCTTAGTTCTAGGTCCGGTCCTTAATCCAGCCCATGGACTATACAACGATTTTTTTTTTTTCCTAGGATGGCCAGAAGATGGCCCATTTTAACCTCACAATAAACTCCCTTGGAATGACTCTTCCTCGTAACCAATAGAGCTAAAACAATAATACCACAATTGGAAAGGTCGTTACCAAGACCACTGCAGATTTTATTGTACAAAAAGCAGAAGTTTCCAACTGTCCTTTGTAGCTACCAGGATGAAACTCTTTCCAGATATGCTTTTCCAGATGTAAAATGCAGATGGGACCATAGACAACTGAGGAACAGGCCCACTTTGCAGCACATAGGTTTACTAAGTAGGTTTGAAAATGTACTTCAAACAATATGAGATGTTTTCCTCCAAAGGAATTATCTCCCTCTGAGTCCCCCTATATAACGTTTCAGAAGCCACAGAAAGCAGCACACTATAGTTGGAAACACCGTACACTTTAGAGTTAGACCCAAATTAAAGTTCTGGCTCTTCTAAATATGAACTCTGGACTTGGACAAGTTATTTAACCTCTCTTTCAGTTTTCTCATCTATACATGAAGAGTAACAATATTTCCTTTCCAGTTTGTTGTAAGGAATAAATGAGTTAATTTATGAAAAAAGCTTGGCACATATTAGGTACTCAACAAATGTTAATCTTCTCCTTCCTCTGACTCACTATGTGAGTCCTATTACTTTACAGCCCATCACTGAATTTCACTCCAAATCAATAAGCATGATTTGGAAGAAAACAGAAATCTCTTTTTGACTTCTTGACCGAGTCAGCCAGAAAGTCTCCTACTACACAGGCTTTAAATAGCTGTCTTGGTCCATTCGGGCTGCTATAAGAAAATATCATAGACTGGGTGGCTTATAAACAAGAGAAATTTATTTCTCACAGCTCTGGAGGCTGAGAAGTCCAAGATCAAGGCGCTGGCAGATTTGCTGCCTGGTACGGGCCTGCTTCCTCTTAGATGGCGCCTTCTCTCTGTGTCCTCACATGGTGGAAGGGGAGAATAAGCTTTTTGGGGCTTCTTTTATAAGGGCACTAATCCCACACATAAGAGCTCTGATCTTTCGACTTAATCACCCTACAAAGACTCTACCTCCTAATACAATCACCTTGGGGGTTAGGATTTCAACACGTGAATTTTGTGGAGATGCGAACATTCAGACCATAGCAGATTAGAATTGAAAAGAGCACCACAAAGGCCTGCTTCCATTCAGATATGCATATTTTGGTCAACAGATCACTTTCTCAGTGAAGTAACATCCGATGCTAATACACGTCCAAGCCCGTGTGTGCTTGTATCTACATGTACTAATAGCACACAGCCAACAGAGTGGCTTTTTTCACCAAATAGATTCAAGATTGACTTGTTAAGCATATCTGCTCATTTGCATGAAGAAAGCTAGAATGCTTCACATACTGGGCACACTACTTCAATCTTCAGCTATAAAATCCATTAGGCTCCATAAGTTATTATTTTGCTTAAAAGAGGAATATTCTTGACAAGGAAATCCTAGGAGAAATGCACTGCATGATGCCACAGGAAATGATTTCTGGAGGACTGCAATGAGTCCAGCCAAATCACTTCAGACATCTCCACAGCCTGTCAGTCCACGTAACACTACAGGAAAACACATGCGTTCATTAAAATGTCTGATTTCGTACATGCTAGATATAGCAAAGAATCTGCTGGAAGCTGGACTTCGGTAGATATGACTAGTTTGCACCTTAAGGATTTAGATTGCATATTCTCAACTGAGGAGCACGAAAAGAAAAGAAGGCAAGGGGATCATGCTCTACTAGCTACACACAAGCAGAATTAGTCCTGAAGCAACCTGAGGAAAACATACAAGAATCATGAAACCCTAAAGGGGAAGATCCAGACTCTCTCCACCCATCCATGTCTAGTCCTGGTACCAGCCCAAATTACCTTGCAGCAGACACAAAATACAGAGAAATATTTATATCCTAAAAGAAGAGTTTTATTAAAAAAGAGTCAAAATACTAACTATACCCTAATACATTATATTCTTATGTTAATGTTCTTTTGTGGTTATGAAAAACCATAGCTCCATAAAGAATAGGAACAATGCACTTCCATTTATATTATTATTCTTACACTGTGCACATTACATGCTAATTCAACATTTGTAAGAGAGATATCAACAGTGACAAATCAAGTTTCATCAGGTTAAATTGAGGATTTTGATAGTACCAAAATTAATAAGTCATAATCCACCAATCCATAGTTTTATACCAGCCTCTGTCTATTTAAGGTCAATTTGGAAAAGTTTTCAAGCAACTACTCTAAACCTAACCCCCTTTTTCATTTTGTTATTTGGTTAGTGTTTAACTAAATAAGTTTATAATATAAGCATTAAGACTATCTAAAAAAGCATCCCCCCAGCACCCCCCCAAGAAAACCCACACTAATTTAGGTTAAAAACAAAGTAATGGCAGCAAAAGTGTCTTTAAGTTTTGCAATAATCCTTCCAGTACTTTTGCATCCCAAAAGGCTCCAGATGTGACCAGCCACTGCAAAATGGTAAGTTGTTTATCAGCATTCTACAATGGGAACTGGCACCTGTAATTTTACTCTTATTTTGCATCAGCATTATTAAAACACGTAAAAAAAATGACCAAGTGAGGGTTTTGTGTAATCACACGTACACCTTCAGGGTGAAATGCTCTGTTGGCTGTCTGTTGTCCTGAAGGTGACGGCTATACCAAGCAGCTTCCTTCTCTGTTGTCTGTGTGTAGCTGCTATGAGCCTCCTTCTATAGGGAGTTTCTGCTGGTAGCAGTGACTGGAAAATAATGTGGAAATGTTGTTCTCACAGCCTGTAAAGAACCGACTGTTGATCACTTTTGATAATGCAAAGGATTACAGTGCTTTTCTTTTTCATTCATTTTTTTCTTGTTTTCATTTTTCTTTCTTTCTCCCTGTTGGTTGCTAATAGTCATCTGTAATTAGAAAGAGGCCCCTTGTCCGCCTCAGTCTGGAGTGAAGGTTTAAGAAATAAACATATTTGAATCATGTGATGACAATTAACCACTTTGTTAAGCCATAGATCCCACTTCACCCTTACCACCTCCTCTTAACCCGGAGCTATGTTCCATCCTGCCTAAGGTTTTCCTCACTGCTTCAGCCTGCTCCCAACTTTCCAGTTGTTTAGAAACATGACAAACTGACTTTTGTTTGTTGGCACTTCAACAATGTAGATTATTGGAACTTCACTTTTGCTTGACTGCTGATTTCCAATCCTATATAGCAACAAAGTGTAATTTGTTACTGATATAAAATCAATGGGAGCTAGAAGTTTGCTGTTTTAAAAAGTTTCTTTTCTTTGTTCCTGTCAAACAATTACACACTCAGATGCTTGAAAACAGGTTTTTGTTTGTTTGTTTTGTTTTGTTTTTTGAGATGGAGTCTCGCTCTGTCGCCCAGGCTGGAGTGCAGTGGTGCAATCTCGGCTCACTGGAACCTCCACCTCCTGGGTTCAAACGATTCTCCTGCCTCAGCTTCCTGAGTAGCTGGGATTATAGACGCCCACCACCACACCCTGCTAATTTTTTGTATTTTTAGTAGAGACAGGGTTTCACCGTGTTAGCCAGGATGGTCTCGATCTCCTGACCTTGTAATCCGCCCGCATTGGCCTCCCCAAGTGCTGGGATTACAGGCGTGGGCCACCACACCCAGCTGAAAACAGGTCATTTTTTAAAAGACTCTTTCTGCAAGTCCTTTGCATACATGTGAAGAGAGATGAGTTGGGAAACTGAGGAGCAGAGGGTTTAAGTGACTCACCTAGGACAGCAGAGTGAGTCATCACCAAGCTGAAGTGGGGACTCGGTGTTCCTGACAGCTGATGGTCAGCACAATACACTTGATTATATGGCCTTGGGAGTTAGAGCTCCACAAAACTCTCATTTCTGGTTTAAACTGGGCTTTGACTAGTTTTGTTTCTGCTTCTTATTAATGGCAGTTAAACATGTATTGATACAGTCAAATAACCACAAGGCCAGGGATGCTCTACTTAAGGCCATCCAGGAACTTCCAATTGCTGTTTGCTGTGCACAGGCATACTGAAGCTTAGCGTGCTGAGTATCCAGCAAAACCTAGCACGATCTTTATTTCCCTAAGTTAGTTTTAAAATTGTCTTGGCTGGGTGCAGTGGCTGACGCCTGTAATCCCAGCACTTTGGGAGGCCGAGGCGGGCGGATCATCTGGTCAGGAGTTTGAGACCAGCCTGGCCAACATGGCGAAACCCCGTCTCTACTACAAATACAAAAATTAGCTGGGTGTGGTGGCACGTGCCTATAATTCCAGCTACTCGGGAGGCTGAAGCAGGAGAATCGTTTGAATACAGGAGGTGGAGGCTGCAGTGAGCTGAGATTACGCCACTGCGCTCCAGCCTGGGTGACAGGGCAAGACCCCATCAAAAAAAAAAAAAAAAAAAAAAGAAAAGAAAAGAAAAAAAGGCCGGGCGCAGTGGCTCATGCCTGTAATCCCAGCACTTTGGGAGGCCAAGGCGGGCGGATTACGAGGTCAAGAGATTGAGACCATCCTGGCCAACACGGTGAAACCCCGCCTCTACTAAAAATACAAAAATTAGCTGGGCATGGTGGCATGTGCCTGTAATCCCCGCTACTTGGGAGGCTGAGGCAGGAGAATCACTTGAACCAGGGAGGCGGAGGTTGCAGTGAGCTGAGATCGGGCCACTGCACTCTAGCCTGGGGACAGAGCAAGACTCCGTCTCAAAAAAAAAGATGGATTAAAGAGGGTTGAGAAAAGAGGCAGAGACTAATAGACTCGGGTTAAAAGCTGGCAAAGAGTGGGAGTGTTTGAAGATGTATGAAATGCATTCCAGGCTGGGTGACAGGGCAAGACTCTGTTTCAAAAAAAAAGATTGTCTTTAGTGTCAGCATGGTCAAAATGTTTACATCCATCCAAACAGCTTATTTCAAAACAAATACACCCAGCAGTCGGCCAATCAAGGCTTAATATTAGGAGAGTCTTATTAATATGAAATGTGCAAGGCTGTGAAACGTGTAGGTGAATGAGAAGATAAAAAGATGTAGAGTGGTCACATCCCTACTCGAATGAAAGTGAGACCTCATGCACGACTGACCAGATGAGAGTGACCACGGTGTCCCAGTGACAGCTGTGTCAGGATCCATTAATGTTTCATAACTCACGGGGCCCATTATTAAGCATGCCTCTCCTCAACAGCGTTTGGGGGTTTGACCCGAGTCCTCTGCATGTCACTTCATTTTAAAAGGCTATTTTTCAAATCTGGAGCCATCATCGAAGGTCTCAAAAGATAAGTTATTTAATGGATAACAGAGTATTTTTTAGTAATATTAGTTATTTTAAAGAAATAAGGTGAGACTCCTAAAAGCTGGAGCCAAAGGATCCTTCTGACTTGAGTGTGAAGGAAAAGACCCTCTCTTCTCCACCATAAGCTCTCAGTGTAGGAGAGTCCCTTGGGCGAAGGCAGAATCTGGAGAGAATCAAGATCTCCCCCTGAACTTACCAGAAGCCCTTGGAGAAGCCCTGGAACCACCTGTCTCTAATTAATCTCTCCTGTATTCCCTTAGCACTTACACCTCATAATTATATTTATGATTGTAATTGTATTATATTACAGTTCAGATCTCCTTATGATAAATACCATCATAATGAAAACTTCACTATTATCAAAAGATTCCCCAGCCTTAGCCAATAAACTACTTATTTCGGAAATCCAATAAAATAAGGTTCTATTGAAATACAATAATTTGGATGTTCCTTCAATTATGTTGTAAAGGAATTTGACCTTGCGGCTATATTCTTTGTCATGTGAGAGTGCACGGGCCCTTCCTCTGGATCATAAGATCCTTAACAAAATAGTCCCTAAGACAGTTTCTTACGTAGTAGATGCTTAATAAACACTAGAACAAGTGAATGATTTGCAATAGATGTGTAATGGAAACTGGATCCCCCAGTATAGAGCAAAGGCATCACTAAAATTATTGAACTGCAATTAGCATGGCCTTCATTCTTCATTACCATTTTTATCAGTATTTGAATGAATTAAGTGTGAAACTGTAGCCCTGATGTGAAATCTTTTAGACTTTTTGTTCATCCCTGATGCTTCCTTCAAAAAACAACCAGTTTTATATCAGCCAGTAACAGAAGACCTATTTGTGCCTACATGACTCTGTCAACACTGGCATTAACTGGCTGGTAGTTTTCTGGCCTGTGATATTTATTTCCCTACAGCTCTGATTATAACATTGATACAAATTCTTCAGTCCTAGTGGAAGACAATTTTACATGGACACTATTGGTCCATTGTATTATAGTATTATCTATATATACAAACCATAGCACATATTTGTCTACTCTTTTGGAAACCGACATTTTTGAAAAATAGTGTCATAGTGGCTACACTGAAAGTAAAATATTTTAAATCAAAAGTTTAAATATGATAAGCAAACACTAATTTATTCTTACTAAATGTGAGCAGGATCTTTGAATCAAGGATGCAATATGACTATTAAAACTCCTACCTCTACCTGATGAGAAAAGATCATATTAGAAGATGATGAGGCCGGGCGCAGTGGCTCACGCCTGTAATCCCAACTACTCGGGAGGCTGAGGCAGGAGAATGGCGTGAACCCGGGAGGCGGAGCTTGCAGTGAGCGGAGATCGCGTCACTGCACTCCAGCCTGGGTGACAGAGCAAGACTCCGTCTCAAAAAAAAAAAAAAAAAAAAAAAAAAAAGAAGATGATGGAGTAGGGAACTTAATTTATTACCCTCTGGAAGGAGGTTTTTCTGGGCATATGCTGTACATGCTTATCAAGAGAAGTATACAACAAGCAAATGGTAGAGCTGGAATTCAAAGCCAGAGCTGCCCTTTACCATTGTGCTACCCTCCTTCCACTCCAGGAACGCCCTTTTCACAACTGAAAACAATTAACGTTGGAAGATATACTCAATCCCACTTAGCCAATAATGCTCCACAGATTGACAAGAAAAGAAAGCAATGCAATAGGGCAGAGTTGTACAAATCTAGGAAAAATAAGTAATTTAGGGCCATATCCTATATCCTTCAATAAAGATGATAATGTGCTGATGGAAAGGAAGGCTATGGAGGTTAATGTTAATATTAAATTATTGAATCACTGGTGATTATGAGGTTATTAAACAAGTTATCCTTTCT
Source organism: Homo sapiens (assembly GCF_000001405.40). Taxonomy (NCBI): domain Eukaryota; kingdom Metazoa; phylum Chordata; class Mammalia; order Primates; family Hominidae; genus Homo; species Homo sapiens. The sequence goes on from NC_000005.10 coordinate 81,792,628, forward strand.
GTACTAGTCTCCTACTTGTATGTCTGGTCAAGTACCCAAAGCTGAAATCCTATATCTAGCCCAAAGGAAGGAGCTAAAAGCCCCAAGATCTCTAAGAAAAAGAACTGCAGCAGCCGTGCAATGAAATATAAACTTTGGAGACAAATTTAGTTTTCAATCTCCGCTGTGGTGCTTAGTAACTGCATGACTTTAGGCAAGTTATATAACCTTTCTAGGCCTCTGCTTCTTTGTTAGTAAAATGGGGATGATGGTTACTGGCATGTGGTTCATAGGACTATTTTGAGTAGTAAATGACAAAATGCAAAGATCACACTTGTGTATACTACTAATTGCTCAATATTATTTGTTATTTTAAGTAGTTATTTGTTGACAAACAAAAATTTGACATTCATTTCCGTCAAAATTTTCTTCATACATGACATGCCCAAATCCCTTTAACTAGATTCATTTTTTTTTTTAATTACAATGCTCTCATTAGAAGAGAGAATCTATTTTCTCTGGAAAAAGAGCCACATTAATGATCATGCAAACTTCATTCTTCAACTTTTTTTTGTAAAATTTTTGTAGACCATACAGGAAATAACACCAAACTTCGTTTATGGTGCTTAGCATTATTATTGCAGTTTGATGATTTTCCTAGAAATTGAAAATTTTATAATAATTTATTCAAGAAAGTTTTTATCTGAGCTCTAAAATTCCTTCAGATTCATAGACCTGACAAGAAAGAAAGTCATCAGGAGTGTCAGATAAATAATAAATGGGACTGCAGTTTTAGAAGGTGCTTGAGTAATACTGTCTTCAAAGTTCTCAAGAATGAGAGGATTTGCATTGGAATCAAACCAACACATTTAGAAGGTGGGGTATTTGCAGTGCTGAGGTGCCCCCCCTCACGACCCAGGTCACCCGCTCTAGAACGCCTTCCTGGGCCCTCGACAGCCATGAGGAGGCACCTGGCCCCTCAGGGACTTTTGCAGTACTTTGCGCACAATTCACACATAGCAGTTATTACACATATGCCTTATTTTGTTTTGTTTGGGTTTGGTTTGGTTTATATTGCATCCATTGAGATTTTTTCTTAAAAAAATGAAATCTAAATATGCTGCTGGCCTGCTCAAAATCTCTCTCCCTGATTTTAGGAGAAAAAAAGTCCTGAACACTTCCACGTGGTGTTTGTTACAAGCCATTTATGGTCGGCCATGCTTCCTTCTCCAGCCTCATCGTTTTCTGCTCTTCCCCTCCTCACCCCAGGGAACTGTGAACTGTCACCTGGGTCAGGCTGTGCTGCCTGTCCCCCTGGGCTTTGGACCTGCTGCTTCCTTGCTGGAATGCTGCCTCGGCCCTCCGGCTCCCCCAACACCAGTCATCTGGCAGGCTGCTGCTAATATCACTTTCTGTGGAAAGCCTTCCCAGACCTTCCTCCCTCAGAACTGGATGGGCTGACTCTTTCACATCAACCAATATATACCCCAATATCACACTGAAGACTTGGTGTTGAAATGCCTGTTTTCTTGCCCTTCTTCCCCACTCAACAGGGAGCTCACTGAGGGCAGACATCAGGTCTTTCTCACTGGTGTAGCCCCAGCTTCTAGCCCATTGCCTGGCTCATAAAAGACCCTTAGTAATTATCTGTTGAAGAGATTAATCTGAATCGATACACTTAAATTCAACAAAAACACAATATTATCTTTCAAATAAAAAGGGATATATAACATATGGAGAAAACGCTATCTTCTTGGCAGCTGGTGTGAGAATTCCTTTGTAGGAAGAGGCTTGCTCTGCTATAAACAGCCTCTGATAAGCCTGCTATGAGGTAGGAGCAAGCTTCCTGCTGGGGTCCAGGCTTTGTGCAGAAGAAGACTCTGCCTAATAAAGGAGAGAGAGCAACCAGGTGCAAGGCCAAGGGCTTCCCCAGGGGACGAAATCAAAGAAAAGAAGATTCTAGCTTACGACCCAGCTAGAAAAAGACTTTGGGGAAAAATGCACAATGAAGGCTTTATTAAGTTGTTTCCTATGTGGTGTGTGATGGAAACCTCTTCTCCATCCAGCCTAGTAAATCTTCAATAAGCCTCCTTTATTTTTTTTAACTTTGATAATTAATGCTTTTATATAAAAAAGAGTTTTGTGATTTTGGAAGCTCAAAGAGGACAAGGGGGAAATCAACATATGGTTATTACACATTTTTTTAAAGTACATTTTTTCCTGAGTCTCTCTACAGGCTTCCAAGCAAGTCAGGCTTCCAAGGTCTATAATGTGAAGGCACCAGCGATCAAAAGTCTTCGGATCACATAGATCTATCGTCCTTCCTTAGGAGGAAGAATCCAGCAAGGAGCCGCTGGCTCACTTGGTTACATCTTGAGTAGATAAGCCCATCCCAGGCTGTCATCCAAGCAAGCTAGAAGGAAGTGAAATCTTTGGAATCTTTCATTCTAAACCTAGCTTTCATTCTAAATATGGCCTCGTCTCTGTTAGCTTTGTCATTTCATGCAGTCAATTAACAAATTAATAACTAAAATTAGGCTTTATGAATGGAAAATGTGTGTGGGGAATAATTGGAGATGGGGTTGTTATTCATGAATCCACCTACCTCTCCCTTCTAAAGGTTGCTTTGGGGAATTATTTTGTGCTGAGCACCTGCATGTGGGCAGGCAAGTTTGGGGAAGTGGGAGAAGTTTGGTGAAATGGCTATGCATAAAGCACTTGGAAGGGACTGGGGAAGAGGGACAGGGTCTGGAAGGCTGAGCATTACAATACAGGGGAGAGAGGAAGAAAAGAAGATATATTCTGTGGTGTGTGTCTAGTGCAGGCCAGAGAGACTTGGGAAGAGAAGCTCTGGTGAATAGAGGGTTTATGAGAGTATATCCCATGGACACTGTAAAATCATCCTTCATTTCCCTTCCAAAATCCTTAGGAAATTTTACATTATGGGCTAGTGCTTTGGGTGTGAGCGGATTATGTCTGACGCCATGGGTGTTCATAAGTGACTTGAGAGTGACTGTAGAGGCTACACAGAAATCTCTGTGAGGGGCATGTAATTGTATTCATTCAACAATTCTGCTATGCTTCTCAGATTGCAGAAAAATCACTGCTCAAAATTCCCCACTTGTCAACTTATCCTTAAGACATTTTTCACAGGAGCTCTGATCATCATCACCCCACACTTTGCACCAGGGCTGTTTCAGAAGCAGTGTTGCTCTTCCTCACACATTCAGTCCAGCACAGCTGGTGGCAGTCGGCAGACCTTTGATGTTGGAGACCTCTTAGGCACAGGAGATGTGTATGCTGGGACTCTTCTAAAGGGGAGAAGGAAGCTAAATATCTCTTGCCTGAATTAAAGTTTATGTTTCTGCCATATTTCTCCTAGCTTTCTCATACTCCAAATCCTCTCAAGAAGGAATAAAGTAAGCACTAATATATGTTAAGTGTCTATGAGCCAGGTACCGTGCTAAATACTCAACATGAGTTAACCTCAGGCCCACATTTTTCTATAACTATGTACCAAGAAATAATGGGCTAAGAAATCCTACCTGATGATGGATCATCCAGACCACTGCCTGATTCAACAGCATCCCCACTATAAAGATTATTTGTAAGCAGACTATTTGAGGCACAGGGAATGGTCTTGTTTAGAGTGGGTCTAAACTACCATTTTGATTTAGAGACATCCTGGAGGACTCAGTTCAAGTTTATATCAATCACAGATTTGGTAGGAGAGAGGGGTTATATTTATTAAAAACTTCCTAATTGACAGTTATAGACTATATACCTTAAATATCATCTTGAAACCTACCTTCAGGATTTTAATCAGGTTAGCATACTATCTGGGGAACAGAAAGAGGTTCATAGAGGAGAGCTAGCATCCCTCTCAAATTATTTGGAACTCTTAATTTTAGGATGAAGGAGGGATAACCTAGACTTGCTTTTTTTTCTTTTGTCCAAGGGCTTTCTTGAGTCAAAAGAAACTAGCTTGGGTGATTCCAGATTGCAATGAATTGTCTGGATTCAAAGTCAAATGGGTTCAAATTCGAAGCATCCCAGAGTCATCAAGTGAGTAAATCAGTCACAGCAGGTCAGGACATACTCTGACACTCTATGGCTGCTAATTTTACTGGTACCACTTAGAAAGAGACAAATTGATACTCCAATTTAATGTTTTCAAGTATATGACTTCAGTGACTAACACTATTATTAGAAACTAAAGTTTAGATTCAAAGCATGTCTAGAAATGTTAAAGACCTTTACTTTTTTCAAGATAAGAAAGGATTATACCAGGGTTAGAAGACTTATTCTTGGGGGAATAGCATTAAAACATAGCTCAATGTTAGAAACAGGTGACCATTTACTTATGAGAAAGCTGAAATGTAAATAGCTTTGTAATTCATTACCATTTTGGGCTAGTGGTGTTCAATACAATTTTCATTCATAAGGAAATGGAACATCAAGCATCCAGGATAAAAATAAAATATGACTCACCAAAATAGTGGCTTTTGTTTTGTTTTGGTTTTGAGACGGAGTCTGGCTCTGTCGCACCCAGGCTGGAGTGCCGTGGTGTGATCTCGGTTCACTGCAACCTCCGCCTCCTGGGTTCAAGCGATTCTCCCCGGCTCAGTCTCCCAATTAGCTGGGATTACAGGTGTGTGCCACTAAGCCAAGCTAATTTTTTGTATTTTTTAGTAGAGACGGGGTTTCACCATGTTGGCCAGGCTGGTCTTGAACTCCTGACCTCAGGTGATCCGCCCACCTCGGCCTCCCAAAGTGCTAGGATTACAGGTGTGAGCCACTGCACCCAGCCAAAATAGCATTTAATGAAAGGTTATTTGTTTTTATTTTAAAATCTTAAGCACATTGTAACATTACCTTGAATAAACACTGCTATTAACCTTCAGCTGTAAAGTGATTTTCAATAATGAGAAGAGGCATAATATCCAAGAAAATTTTCTAATACAAATATTGTTTAGAGAGACTAAATAAAAGGTGAGACTCTCCACTGAAACTGGCCAAAGGAAGATGCAAATTAAGAATTTACCCAAAATAGAGTAGGAACCCATTTTATTAGAAGTAAAGCAAAATAAAGGCTTCAACCACCCGAAGTCGCATACCAGTGATTTAATTGGAAAGGTCTTTTCTTATAAAGAGGATTAATTCCAATTAACGGAAAATTCAAATTATGTTTATAAACACTAACAAAACATTATCATTCCATAGCATATTACTTGCACAGCACCTATCCTATAAGACATTTTATGAAAGACAAAGGTTCATTCATTTTGCTAATTCCCTATTTTATAGATGAAGAAACTGAAGCATAAAGCATTTAGAAGGCTGCAAGTTTCTAGAGAAGCTGAAGAAAATCTTTCCCTTAGTCCTTTGTTCATGATATTCCTCTAAGAAAAAAAAAAAAAGCAAGTCCCATGTAGCACAAAATATAAAAAGTGAAAGCTTTGTAAGGATCTATTGCAGCAACCCTGAAGAGATGTGGAATTGAAAGTGAGAAATAAATACTTACAAATGCAAAGACTTAAATTCCCATCTCTCTGGCCCTTCTAATAAGGCATGAATGGAAGGGTTCTGCCTCACCCAGGGAAAGAGGTTCTTGATACACAGCTCTTATGCTTGCAGCTCTTGACATCTTCTTTAGCACTTTGAGGACATTTAGCATCCTTGAAGCAAGAAAGTTCATGCCATTGTTGACACTATCAGCCACATTGTGACCTGGCAATGTGAGGTTTCCTTACGGAGGCCTGCTCTCAAGTTATAGGGCCAGATCAACCCCTGACTTGCTGTTCCTGGACTGGGAGCTAAATTATAAAAAGCCCACAGCCCAGGAAGTAGTAGCTAAAAGCTATCTGAGCAACCAGCAGAGAAATGTACCTGCTAAGATTCTCTAAGAGCAACCCAGAAGCCACTGTTGTCATTGTCCCAGGCTGTGTGTGTATGTGTGTGTGTGTGCGTGTGTGTGAAAGAGAGAGAGAGAGCGCGCACACACACACACACACACACACACACACACACACACACACACACACGAAAACAAGTCCCAGGGGACTTTGGTTGTTGCTATCTGTCTTCTGAAGGAGCTCCTGTAGTTACCCAGCAGGGCCCAGGCGGGGAGAAGAGCAGCAAAAGATGTTGCTGGGGAGGAAGGAGGGGCTGGTTACAGAGGGCCTGCAGTCCTCTCCATACTGTAGAGCTCAGATTTCATCCAGAAGGCATTTGGAGGCTGATGAAGGTTTTTAGCAGAGAAATGCACTTTAGACCCATGGTTCTATTCTGGCTGGCTGCAATGTGGAGTAAAGTGAGCAAGAATTGCCTTGCTCATCATTGTGGCACAGTGTCCGGTACAAAGTTACTAAGTAGGTGCTCAATAAATATCTATTAACTAGATGAATGAATGAATGAATGATTAAATGAATAAATTTAGTAAGGGACAAAGAAGAGTCTGGCAGAGTTCCCTGTGTTGAAGGTTACCAACAGTATCTTAATCACGAGATGAAAGAGATTTCTTAATGTGTAAAAAGGAGGATTACACTATCTGCTTTATAAGATGATTATGCCTTTCTGGAGTGGGAGGAAGAGAGAAAAAAAAAGCCTCATAATAGTGGTGGAGGCAGAAAAAAAGACAAACTATTAACGAATTATGGTTGGTATCATGAAAGAAAACAAAGACCACTCTAGAGAATAACAACGAAGGTCTATTTTACAGAGTATAATTGAGAAAAATCTCCTTAGAATGTGATATTCAAGCTGAGCCCCAAATGATGAGAAGGAACTGACTATTTGAAGAAGCGAAGGAAGAGCTTTACAGGAAGAGGAACAGCTTCTGCAAAGGCTCTGAGGCAGGAAAGAGCTCATTTTGTTCAAAAAATGGCAAAAGCAGTGACTGGAGTTCAGTAACAGAGGTAGGGGCCAGATCACTCAGGGCTGGTAGATCATGATCCCGCCAACCCCCTTCCCTGTTCCAGCAGGAAGGATGAAAGGAGTCTAAGCAAGGTAGCAGAACAGACGAACAAGTGGAAGTGCAAGGGAAATGTCAGGCCATGTTTATTCTAAACCTTCTCCAAAGGGACCACCACAGCCTAGAGACACTCGGAAGGGAAAGAAATACATGTGTTGAAGACCAAGTTTTCCAGCTTGGTCAATTAAGATGCTTGGAAAGTCCTATTCCTGGACAACCATGCTTTCTCTTTCCCTCCAGAAGAATTACAAACCTGAGTCATGGAAAGAGAGGGTTTTTTTGGTTGGGTTTTTTCTTTCAATATTATAGCCCATTCCAAAGTAAAATTGACAGGAGGAAAACTGTGTAAGGAATGAGTAGGGAGTGGAAAAAGCTGCCAAGACAGTGCAGAGAGTGGGGAGGTGGGGAAGCAAGTCAGTAAAGGAAGAATTGCTTTTCTGCCTTTTTTTTTTTTTTCTTTTTTTACCTCCTGGCCCACTGCTACCCCTTCATCCTCATCCCAAAGGAGATGGGACTGGCTGAGTGTGGGATTAGATGGCCCCAAGGGAAGACAGTTTCTACCTCTTGTCCTTCCTGAACTTGCTGCATGTTAGATTTTTCTCCTGGACAAAGATACACCTATACAGGAAGTTCCCCTTCTAGTGGGGAGAATGTCGTTTTTGAAAATTCTCTTTGATAATTCCTAATTAAAGTTCTTCTGATTTTGCCTGCAACTTAGTAGTTCCATAACTTGTCTAGGAAGAAATATTTTGTAGCTGAAAGCAGATGGGATCCCAGTAGTAGGAGGGGGAAATGTGTCTCTTCCATGAACTGGAAAAGTCTGAGTTGAAGGACTGGTTGTATCTTGGGTACCTCTTACCGCTGGGTGGGACTTCTCTCTGGGCTTATTATAACAAACATAACATAGCTCTCTGGGCTCAGCATAACAAACATGGGGTAAATCCCAGATCCACTGCTTATACTACAGGACCCTGAGAGAGTTACTTAGATATGTCGAAAAATAAATCTCCTATAACTCTGTGTTTTTCCAAAGTTGGTGATCATTAATAGGACATAAATTAAATTTATGGGATCAACAAACATTTTTTAAAAAGAAATAGAACAGAATAGAAAATAATAAAGTGGCTCACATAATATACATATGCAAGTTATATATATGTAGCCCTGCTTATGTGAATGCATGTATGCGTATGTGTATATATACATATGCATGCATTGTTTATCATGGGTAATCATCAAAGAAATTTGGAAAATACTGATAACTTAGTTCCTAGCTTCCATTCCCACTCAGAAGTCAGAGAAAAAGTTAAAATTGTACATTCAACACTGCTCAGCATCTTTTAGATTCCAGTGGTCTATTTTGGGAGTTGGTATGTCTGTTCCTCTCCTCCCTTTTTACTTCCTTCTCCTTCCTGTTGGGCCACATTCCTCCTCCTTCCTTGGGGCAGTCTGCCTTGGTCTCAGCGGTATTAAAGCTTCAGGAAGACAAACCAACCAACAATAAGCCCCTAACATCCCAAGACTTATGAAGAGGAGAGAAGACAGCAGGAAATGCTTTTAAAAATAATATCCCACACTACATATATAACTTACCTGAGACTCAGTTTCCTTGTCTGTTAAATGTGGTGAAGATTAGAATAATTGTTTAATATTTAAATGCTTACAACATTTTAGGTACTGGATGGATATGAATACTTTTCCTCTTTAGGCTCTTGTATTGTTCATGTTTTGTGCTAAAAGAATTTCTCCAAGCCAGCCCTAGTTCTCCGGGAACTTAGCTGGGAGATGGATGTGTATGGTACATGGAGACAGCAAAATGAAAACAAATCAATACATCAATGGAGTGGAAGGTATTTATATCATACTCAGTCAAGTGTGTTTTATGGCCCACAGCCAAGGGTCTAAGATACCTCAACTGATGAATCCCCTAAGAAACTAGTTCCAACATATTCAGATTGAAAAAAAAAAAAAAAGGACTGTACCCAATTACAACAGTGTGGGCACAGGCAGGGCCAACCAACCCTAAGCAAATTTGAGAATGGTGACATGTCCATTCCTCAGCCCCCTACTTGTCTGTCCTGCTCCCTAGTTCAGGGCCTGGTGACAGTCCTCTGATTGAGAACTTAGTTGTCCTCATGCTGTTTTTATTTTTTATTTATTTATTTTTACCGAGACGGAGTCTTGCTCCATTGCACAGCTTGGAGTATAGTGGTGCGATCTCGGCTCACTGAAACCTCCATCTCCTGGGTTCAAGCCTTTCTCGTGCCTCAGCCTCTTGAGTAACTGGGACTACAGGTGTGCACCACCACGCTCAACTAATTTTATTGTATTTTTAGTAGAGACGAGGTTTCGCCATGTTGGCCAGTCTGGTCTCGAACTCCTGACCTCAGGTGATCCACCCATGTCGGTTTCCCAAAGTCCTGGGATTGCAGGCATGAGCTACTGCACCTGGCCTCATGCTCCTTTTAAAACACACCCCCACCAACCATCCTGAGAAGATTCTAATGGCATATAGAATAACTGACACTTTAACCAAAACCCAGTCCCACTCAAGGTATCTGTGGGGAGAGTTATACATATATATAAAAATAGATTTTTATATAAAAAATAGTAATATATAATAAATTAAATAATAATATAAAATAAATAAATATAAAAAATATATTCATATATAAAATAAATTTTTCTCCCTTTTCTCCCTGAAGAACCTTAGCTTAGCCTCCCCAGTGTGGCACAGTGGGTAAGTGAGGAACGGCTTAGAAGGGGAAGAGGGCCCACGGTCTGGCCTGCCCACAGGGCATGCCCTGTCTAGCTGAAGACCCCCTGACCAGTTCCTAAAGCAAGTGAGGTAGGAAAAGATGCCTCCACCAGAACTAAAGCTTGTCCATGTGACAGGCATAGAAAGACCTCAACCCCCAGGTCATTATGCCCTAACCTGTCCCCTACTATTAGGGTTTTCCAGAGAATTAGAACCAATAAGGTGCATGTGTGTGTGTGTGTGTGTGTGTGCATGTGTGTGTGTCTGTGTGTATGTGAGTGGAGAAAGAGAGAGAGAGGGAGAGGTTTAGTTTAAGGAATTGGCTAATGCAATTATGGAGCTTGACAAGTTCAGTATCTGTTGGGTAGGCCATAAAGCTGGAGATCTAGGGAAGAGCAGATGTTGCAGGTGAAGGCCGCCTGCTGGAAGAATTCCTTCTTGCCTCAGGGAGGTCAGTCTTTGTTCTATTCAAGCCTTCAACTGATTAGATGCCAACCACCCACATTATGGAGGGCGATATGCTTTACTCAAAGTTCAACAATTTAAATGTAAATTGTATTCAGAAACACTGTCACAGAAACATCCAGAATAATGTTTAATCATATATTTGGGTGACCTGGCCCAGACAAGGTGACACATAAAATTAACCATCACAGAGTAGGTCTAGGTCAGCAAGATGGCTGACTAGAGATGCCTGGCACTTGTTTCTCCCACAAGAAAGGACCAAGGTAATGAATAAACAGAGAAGATTTGACTGGAGTGTCCAAAGGAGAGTAATGGAGTGTAGCAGGGGCGTGGAGATACACCTGTGGTGACTGGAAATCTAGGAGGTCATTGTGGAGGCACCTAGCCTCTGCAGCACCGTCTTCCTTGGCTGGATCAAATCTACCTGGAGTCCCACTGTGGGGAAAGGTAAGCAGGAAACTCCACCAGCCCCCATTGCCACCACAAATACCTAAAGTCCCTACTGCAGTAGAATCCTATTGTCCTCACAAGCCCTGAGCCCCGTTTGAAGAGATGGTAGGAATTCACACTGCTGCACTTCCCTGCATTAGAAGCATAAAGTGTGTACGCCCCACTCCTCACCCACCCACTGTGAGGCAGGCTGTGCAGCATGGCACCATCTTGAGACCAGAGCCACCTCTGGAGGCCAGTAGCCACTGCCCTTCTCCAGCACTAGGGTTCCATATTCATTCCACTAGCCCACACAGGTGGCTGAATGCCACAACTCCAGCTGCATGGAGCCTGGGCCCAGGATCAGCTGTCACTCTGGTCTTGTTTAGCAGGGAAACAAATTCCCACTGCCAGTTGGAGGAACAGTCTTCCAGTTGGAGGAATAGTCTAGGAGTCCTGCCCAGGGAAAACCTGCCCTTGAGCTAGCCAAACTGTTGCACACTCTCTCCCTGAGCAGGAAAGGCTCTCAAGCCTCCAAGCAACTGACATGCTCTTGGGCTGATGGAGTGGCTACATGCCTCTGCCCAGAGCCTGGGAAACGTTCCCACAGTGCCCAATCCCCTGCAGAGAAGCCCCTGGCCTGCCCATTGCCCCATGGCCACAATGGTAATCCAAGAAACAGCTCCATGGGCTGCCCCTGGAAGACACACCCCCAGGCCAACTAAGCAGCCCAGGACCCACATCCCAGGCCTTAGAAACAGCCCCATAAGCCACCTATGGTGGGCACACCTCCAGGCCAACCAAGCAGCTGTGTGCCTGTGTCTCAGACCTGAGAAGCAGCCCCACAAGCCACCACCATGAGACATGCCCTCAGGCCAATAAGCAGCCATGCACCTGCATCTTGAGCTTGGGAAGCAGCCGTGTGGGCCATCACCAGCAGACATGTCTCCAGGCTAGACAAGAAGCCATGCGAACACATCCTGCACCTAAGAAATAGCCACATGGTCCGTCCCTGGCAAACAAGTCCTTAAGCCACCTGAGCAGCTATGTGCCCATGCCCCAGGACTGAGAAATTTCCCTGTTGGCTGCTCCTGCCAGGCACACCTCTATGCTGGCTGAGCAATGGCGTGCACCTGCTCCTGGCTAAAGTAACAGCTCTATAACCCCTAACCCCAGCCCCAAGTTGGCTGACCCACTGTATGCATGCACACACCTCTGACATAAGAAATAGCCCAACAAGCCGCCCCCTCACCCCCGGCAAAGCCACACCACCCTCACCACAAACTGTCTCATCCTAGGCTACTGGGATACTTGAAAAACTTAACTAGTATGGATTACAGCTAAGAAAACTACATGGAGACTACACTAGTGCATCCAGCTAGAACTAAAGCCAATGCATCCAACCAAACCAACACCCTAAGGCCCATTTATATGCCTAAATCTTTCCCTACAAAATCAACTCCATAAAATTGGAAGAGGTGACTCTTTCACCAGATGCGTAGAAACCAACGTAGGGAAACATCAAACATGAAAAAGCAAGGAATCATGGCATCTCCAAAGGAACACAATAGTTCTCCAGTATTATTCAGGGTTATTATAGACAGGAGAGGACATACTCTCCTCACATACTCACTGAATTTCCTTAAGGTTATTAGTTTTGCATTATTTTTCTGGCTTTTCATATAACTCTTTATGATTAGGTAACAAGAACCACCATCATGAAAGCATGCAAAACTATAAAACTCATTGATTGAACCAAAGGAGAAAGAGTTAAGGAATCAAACCTTATCGCTACAGAAAACTACTCAACCACAAAAATAATCAGAAGGAAAGAGAGGAACAAAGGATATACAAAACAACCATAAAACAATCAGTAAAATGACAGGTGTATGTTCTCCCCTGACAACAATAACCCTAAATGAGCATGGATCAAATTCCCCCTTTAAAAGATATAGACTGGCTGAATGGACTCAAAAAAAAAAAAAAAAAAGCAAGGGCCAACTACATGCTGCTGGCAAGAAACTCACCTCACCTGTGGCTGAAAGTGAAGGGATGGAAAAAGGTATTCCATGCAAACAGAAACCAAAAGTAAGCATGAATAGCTATACTGATGTCAGATAAAACAGACTTCAGGTCAAAAACTGTAAATAGAAACAAGGAAGGAAATTATACAATAATAAGGGGATTAATTCAGCAAGAGAATATAACTATTCTCTTAATATATATGTACCCAACACTGGAGCATCCAGATATATAAAGCAAATAATTAGATCTAAAGGGAGAGATAGAGCCAATACAATAATAGTTGGGTACTTCAATACCTCACTCTCAACATTGGATAGATCATCTAGACCAAAAATCAACAAAGAAGTATTAGATTTAAGCTGCACCATAGACCAAATGGACCTAACAGACATTTACAGAACATTTCACCCAACAGTGGCAGAATATACATTCTTTTGGTTAGCAAATGTAACACTCTCCAGTATTGACCATATATTAGGACAGAGAACAAGTCTCAAACATTTTTAAAAATCAAAATCATACTGAGTATCTTAGCTGATTACAATGAAATAAAACTAGAAATCAATAACAAGATTAACCTTGAAACTATACACACACATGGAAATTAACGTTCTCCTGAATGACCAATATGTAAAGGAAGAAATTAAGAATGAAATTTAAAAAATTTTTGAAACAAATGAAAATAGAAACACAATATACATGTAGGACACAGCAAAAGCAATATTAAGAGACAAGTTCACAGCAACAAATGCCTGTGTCAAAAAACTAGAAAGACACAACCTAACAAACAGCCTAATGATGCACCTCAAGGAACTAGAAAATACAAGCCAAACCTAAAATTAGTAGAAGAAAAGAAATAATAAAGGTCAGAGTAGAAATAAATAAAATTGAGACTAAAAAAATTACAAAATATCAATGAAATTAAAAATTGTCCTTTGAAAAGAGAAAATTGACAACCCAATAGCTAGACTAATTAAGAAAAAAAGAGTGAATACCCAAATAAATAAAATCAGAAGTCAGAAGTGAGGTATCACAATAGATACCACAGAAATACAAAGGATTATTATTGATCACTATGAACAATTACACATCAATAAATTTGAAATTCTAGAAGAAAGGAACAAAATTCTGGACACATACAATTTACCAAGATTGAACTAAGAAGAAACAGACAGCCTGAACAGATCAATGACAAGTAATGAGACTGAATCAGTAATAAAAAAAAATCTCTAAACAGTGAAAAGTCCAGTACCCAGATTCACTGCTGAATTCTACCAAACCTTTAAAGAAGAATTAATAACAATTCTTCTCACTTATTTTAAAAACTGAAGTGGAGAAATTCTTCCTAACTCATTTTACAAGGTCTACATGACCTGATACCAAAACCAGACAAGGAAGGACACAACAAAAAACTACAGGTCAATATCTGTGATAAACATAGATGTAAAAATTCTCAACAAAATACTAGCAAATCAAATGCAACAACACATCAGAAAGATAATATGCAATGATCAAGTGAGATTTATCTCAGGAATGCAAGGACAGTTCAACATATGTAAATTAATAAATATCATACATCACATCAACTGTATGAAGTACAAAAACCATATGATAATCAATAGATTCAGAAAAAGCATTTGATAAAATGCAACATCCCTTCCTGATAAAAACTCTCAATAAATTAGGTATAGAAGGAAAGTAATTCAACACAATAAAAACTATATATGACAAACCCACAACTAACATCATACTAAATGAGGGGAAGCTAAAAGCTTTTCCTCTAAGAACTGAAATGGGACTAATATGCCCACTTTCACCCGTCTTATTCAACACAGTACTGGAAATCCTGGCCAGAGCAATCAAGCAAGAGAAAAAAAATAAAAGGCATTCAAACTGGTAAAGAAGAAAGTCAAATTTTCCCTGTTTGTAGATGATATGATCTCATACACAGAAAGAAATCTAAAGACTCACCAAAAAACACTTAGAACTAATCAACAAATCCAGCAAATTCGCAGGATTAAAAATCAATGTACAAAATTAGTGTTTCTACACACAAAGAACAAGCTGAAAAAGAAATTGAGAAGGCAATCTCACTTACAATAGCTACAAACAAACACACAAACAAAACCCTGGGAATAAATGTAACCAAGGAGGTGAAAGCCCTCTATAAGGAAAACTACAACACTGATGAAAGAAATTGAAGAGGATACAAACAAATAGAAAAAAATCCCATGCTCATGGATCAAAAAATTTATTATTGTTAAAATCATCATATGATCTAAAATAATCTACAGATTCAATGCAATGCTTATCAAAGTACCATACCAATGATATTATTCACAGAAATAGAAAAAAATCCTAAAATTCACAGGGAACCACAAGAGATCCTGAATAGCCAAAACAATGCTGAGCAAAAAGAATGAAGCTGAAGCATTACTCTACCAGACTTCAAAAAATATTACAAAGCTGTAGTAATCAAAACAGCATGACATTGGCATAAAAATCCACATAGACCAGTGGAACAGAATGAAGAACTCAGAAACTAATCCATATACCTACAGCCAATTGATTTTTTTTAAATAAAGATACCAGGAACTTGCACTGGGGAAAGGACAATCTCTTCAATAAATGGGTGCTGGGAAAACTTGATATCCATATGCAGAAGAATGAAACTATATCCCCACCTGTCACCCTATACAAAAATCAGTTCAAAATGAACCAAAGACCTAAATACAAGAAACAATAACTACTAGAAGAAAACATAGGGGAAAGGACATTGGCCTGGGAGAAGATATTCTGAAAAAGACCTCAAAAGCACAGGCAACAAAAGCCAAAATAAACAAATGCGATTATATAAAACTAAAAAGCTTCTGGGCAGCAAAGAAAAGAATCAACAGAGTGAAAAGAAAACCTACAGAATGGGAGAAAATATTTGCAAACTATTCTCCCACTGGGGATTAATATCAAAAATATTCAAGGAACTTGAACATCTCAATGGCAAAAAAATAAGCAATCTGATTTAAAACTGGGCAAATGATCTGAACAGACATTTCTCAAAAGAAGACATACAGATGTCCAACAAATAAATTTTTAAATGCTCAACATCACTAATCATAAGGGAAATGCAAATCAAAACTACAATGACTTCATCTCACCCCAATTAGAATAGCTATTATCAAAAAGACAAAAAAAATGCTGGTGAGGATATGGAGAAAAGGGAACTCTTATACACTGTTGATGGGAAAGTAAAATAGCACAGCCACTCTGGAGAACAGTATGGAGGCTCCTCAAAAACTACAAATAGAACTACCATGTGATCCAGCAATCCCTCTACTGGGCATTTATCCAAAGGAAAGGAAATCAGTATATTGAAGAGACATCTGCACATTCATGTTTATTACAGCACTATTCACAATAGACAAGATATAGAATCAACCTAAGTGTCCAACAACGGATGAATGGATAAAGGAAATGTGACATATATACACAGTGAAATACTATTCAGCCATAAAAAAGAATGAGATCCTGTCATTTGTGGCAACATGGATGTAAGTAGAGAACATTATGTTAAGTGAAATAATCCAGGAACAGAAAGTTAAACACCACATGTTTTCAGTCATATGTGGAAGCTAAAAAAAGGTTGATCTCATAGAAGTAAAAAGTAGAACACTGGATACAAGAGGATGGAAAGGGTTGGGGGAGGGAAGGGATAGGAAGAGATTTGTCACAGGACATGAAATTACAGCTACATAGGAGGAATAAGTTTTAATATTCTTTACTTATAAGTTCACTGTAGGATGACTGTAGTTAACAATAATACATAGTTTCAAATAGCTAGAAGGAGACTTTTATAATGTTCCCATCTCAAAGAAATGATTAATATTTGAGATGATGGATACGCTAATTACCCTGATCTGATCACTATAGATGATACGTATTGCAATAACAGTATGTACCCCATAAATACGTACAATTACTAGGTATCAGCTTTAAAAATTAAAAATATAAAACAACTTTATGTTTAAAAAAATTAACCATCGCAATTGCTAGATCCTAGAGCAGACCCAACACACCAACATTAACCCAAATGTTTTCAACTCCAGCACTCTTTCAAAATTCCCTGAGTCAAAATGGTATGTTGTAGCACATTTTAAAATTTTAGGGGTGGGCGCGGTGGCTCACGCCTTTAATCCCAGCATCTGGGGAGGCCAAGGCAGGCAGATCACCTGAGGTCAGGAGTTCAAGACCAGCCCGACCAACATGGCGAAACCCTGTCTCTACTGAAAATACAAAAAATTAGCTGGGCACAGTGGCATGGGCCTGTAATCCCAGCTGCTTGGGAGGCTGAGGCAGGAGAATCGCTTAAACCCAGAAGGCAGAGGTTGCAGTGAGCCAAGATTGTGCCACTGCCCTCCAGCCTGGGCTTGACAGAGGAACACTCCATCTCAAAAAAAAAAATACTTAAAAGATTTTAAAGATTGCTTATGGTTGTAATTCCTTCTTATTTGACACACAGAAGCATCATAATATATTGGGGTTGGGGGACAGGAAGTTTTCAAACAGTTGTTCTCAATTTTTTTTGGTTTCAGGACTCTTTTGCATTCTTTTTTTTTTTTTTTTTTTGAGATGGAGTCTGTTGCCCAGGCTGGAGTGCAGTGGCGCGATCTCAGCTCACTGCAAGCTCCACCTCCCAGGTTCACGCCATTCTCTTGCCTCAGCCTCCCGAGTAGCTGGGACTACAGGTGCATGCCACCACGCCTGGCTAATTTTGTGTATTTTTAGTAGAGAAGAGGTTTCTCCATGTTGGCCAGGATGGTCTCGATCTCCTGACCTCGTGATCTGCCTGCTTCGGCCTCCCAAAGTGCTGGGATTACAGGCGTGAGCCACTGTGCCTGGCCTCTTTTGCATTCTTAAAAATTAAAAATGCAAAAAAGTTTTTGTTTATATGGGTTATATCTCTAGATACTATGCTTTAGATAAATATATATAATATTAGAAATGAAAAATGAGATATTTTAAAAATATTTATTTAATAATTTATTTTATTTTATTTTACTTTATTTTAAGACAGTCTCACTCTGTCAACCAGGCTGGAGTGCAGTGGCGTGATTCTGGCTCACTGCAACCTCCGCCTCCTCGTGCCTCAGCCTCCTGGGTAGCTGGGATTACAGACCTGCACCACCAAGCTCAGCTAATTTTTGTATTTTTAGTAGAGAAGGGGTTTTGCCATGTTGGTTAGGCTGGTTTTGAACTCCTGACATCAAGTGATCCTCCCGCCCCGGTCTCCCAAAATGCTGGGATTACAAGCACAAGCCACCGCGCCCAGCCTAAGAATTTATTTTAAAATAAGAATGAGAACAAATGGTAGCACAAATAATATATGCAAAATAAACGTTTTCCAAAACAAAAATAATTGGTTATGTGTATCATTTTTCTGTAAATCTTTTTAATGCTACCTTAATAGAATATGGTAGGATTCTCATATCTGCTTCTGCATTTAATAGGTTATGCTCTGTTGTTTTGGTTAAAGTATATAAAGAAATCCAGTGTTACATATATCAAGTTGGAAAAGAGAAGATTTGTCCTGGACTCTTTGGACCACATTTTGAGAATCACTGGTTTCATAGAAATACCTCCTTCTGTGAGTCACGGCCCTAGGTTTTGGTCTCTGCTGTCAGTAACCATTTGTGCCACTTTGGGCAAGTCACTAAAGTATTCTGGATTGCAGATTCCTCATTGAAACAAACAAAATAATTAACATTGTTGGATACCTACTAAGTGCCAGGCACAAGTGCATAAATTATTTAATTGAATCTTCATAACAAGCAGTTGTGTAGTGGGTAAATATTAACCTGGGAGGAACTGGTTCAAGATGCTAACATGGATGCGACTGATATTGCAGAATGGGACATGGAGCCCCGGAATGACACTCACCAGTTTAATAGCCACACTCTGATTACTTCTTTCTTTTTCTTTTCTTTTTTTTTTTTTTTTTGAGATGAAGTCTCACTCTGTTGCCCAGGTTGGAGTGCAGTGGTGTGATCTCAGCTCACTGCAACCTCTGCCTCCCGGTTTCAAGTGATTCTTCTGCCTCAGCCTCTCGAGTAGCTGGGATTACTGGCACGCGCCACCATGCTGGGCTAATTTTTGTATTTTTAGTAGAGACGGGGTTTCACCATGTTGGCCAGGCAGGTCTCAAACTCCTGACCTCAGGTAATCTGCCCGCCTTGGCCTCTCAAAGTGCTGGGATTACAGGCGTGAGCCCCTGCCCCCGGCCTGATTACTTCTTTCTGATGAAGGGTAGCAGTTTGGTGTGGGATACAAACCCAGTGCCCACTTTCCACATAAGCCTTTCTACTGCATTAATAGAATTCTTTGCTAATGTGTGCTGTGAAATATATACAATAAAGTGTGATTGGCATTAAATCACTGGTTTCTATTTCCACCTCTCCTATTCCTCCACTCCAGGACACATGGGAGGGATGAGGGAAAGAGCTGGTATCTGGGAGATAAAGGTAGGTAAAGAGGGGAAGTGATGCACCAGAAGATGAGGAACCCAGGCTGAATTGGAATATTGGTGGATGGAAGTGATGTTGGATACATGGAAGTGAAATGGGACTGCACTGTGAAGGGCGGCACATCATGAGGAGCCTCCCAGCCGCCTGGAACCCACCTGACTATTAGGGCTGGTCATGCCCATGAAGATTAGGGTTTTGGGTTAGGGTTAGCTTGCTGGCCCAAGGAAACCTTGATTTGTAGCCTTTGCCAATTTCCAGGATACAAATACCTCCACCATGGCTATCTTTAAGTTACCAACATCTGAACAAGCTGGGAAGAGATGCACACGAGTGGCTTTCAAGAGCCAGTGCCAGAGTAAGCCTCTTCTTTACACAGCAGAAGGAAGAAATTAAGGCCTAAAGAGATGAAAAAACTTGTCTGAGAACATACATGCTTTCTAAAGGATGGAGTTCCCATTGTTTGGGAGGATTAAATGAAATAATCAGGTAAAAGGGCAATGCCTCTCACAAACCAGGTGCTCCATAAATGCTAGCTTTATTATCATTGTTATTATTGCCTTTTGCCACTATACCTAGGGTGCCTTTCAGCTCTAACTTTATACAAGGTGAATTTCTAGGAAGTGGCTTATTTAGAAGTGCATGGGTGTATAGTGTGCTATAAAAATATATAATCTGTTTCTAAAGCCGTTATTTTACATCAGTATCCCAGAGTTGGAGAGATTATGCCCTTCTGCATTTATGTCTTAATTGATCTAATCATTCCCGTGAGACTTTCTGAATGAAGCTGACTAAAAAATAATGTAATTGTTCAAAGAAACTTAGGAGGCCTTTGACTAGCAATTCTTCTTCTAGGAATCTATTCCATTAAGATATTCTGTTTAGTCAGTAATACCAGTGATAGCAAAAATTTGGAAACACCCAAAAGTACACCAATTAAAAATTGTTATATAGATTTTGTACATCTATAAAATAGAATATTATGTAGCTATTTAAAAGAACAAGGCACTTGTCTATACATACTGACATTGAACTATCAAAGTAAATCTGATTATTTTTAGGATAAACTCAGTCACATTAAAAAAAAAAAACAAGAAAAAATCCATGTATAAATTCACTGTATATAAACAATAGAAAAAGGTCCAGACAGCTTATGACTGTGTACAAACTATGAATGGTAGTTTATCTGGAGGGAAGAAATAAAATGGGAATGAAGGTGATAAGCAATTTTTATTTTTAACTGTATATCTATTTTATTTTTTTACAGTGAGCCTGTAATTGTGCATTCCTTGTCTAATTTTAAATAAAACACTTTTTAAAGAGATTCCAGGATGTGATTAGATATATAGTTATATAGCCTTAACATACATGATTCAAGGTTTTCAATAGCAGACTTTGGAAGGGGTTAGAAAGTCTCAGAAAAAGAAAGAGATTGAAAGAAGAAAAGACCATATATTGACGTAGTGTCTCCTCTGCCAGGTCTCTTAGCAGTTCTCTTTTCAAATAATTTTTCTCCAATGGCTAAACTTGAGTTATTGAGCAGAAATTGTCCTTTATTCTATGGCTAATTGGAAGGACCAGTAGCTCTTTGAGTGGACTATATTAAAATTAACCTTGAATCCCATATATAAGCCAAGGCTCAGGTCTTAGTTTGTCAATACTTACTGAGCCACTTAGCTCAACTGGTGAAATCTGGGGTCAGCACGAAGCAAATTTCAAATTGTTAACCTCTTATTTTTCAGGGTTGTATTTGTATGTGTATGCATGTGTGTGTATACGTATGAGCTTGTGCATTATATGTATGAGCTTGTGCATATGTTGGAATAAGGGAGCTTCTGGTGACTTGGGCCAAGTAAGAAAGAACAAAAAAGGCACCGCTCTAAGATTGTTTTTTCACATCTTCTACAAAGTAATGATTAACTTGAGCTGACAAATTATTATTTTAAGGCTAAGAGTCATCAATACCTTAGCATAGATTAATTTAGTTAGGCAATTGTTTTTCTTTTTTCCTGACAACTAAGATGTAGGGGATAAGAAAACTAATCAGGGAGAAAGGGGAATAATTTGTAGTATGGGGCACCAAATTTTATGTGGGGAGGGATCTCTAGAGAAGCATGTGAGAAAAAGGCAAGCCTTTGAATCTGGGCTTGTCATTTGCCAAATTTTGCTTCCTAGGACAAATTTTTTAACCTCTCAGATGCTAAATTTTCTCAACCATAAAATAGGGATTGCATAAATTGCAGGACTGTTGTAAAGACATATATGTAAAGGCACCCAGCATAGAGACTAGTACATAGTGACTGTGCAATAGATTGTGGTTATAATTTGGATAGCAAGAAAGGGTAGCCAAGAAGACTTGAAAGAAACTCTGTGAATTGAAATCCATTTAAATAAGTGTCAATAAATACATAACCTTTACTTTAAACACTTACGGTTTGGATGATCTCCTGGGTGTCAAAAGTTTGAGCCAGCCACTTTCTGGAAATGGGTTGCTTACTAATAGGCATATCAGGAGCTGAGGGATACAGGAAAGGATGTAGAAAGAAACCAAAGGGAAACATTATTCCACAGTGACAGAGGGGAGCTATGATACCTGTTTCTCAAATGTATTCCTGTGGGCAAGACGACAGAAGAGAATATGTGTGATGGCTCATCCCCATTCTCTTTAAACTCAGCAGACAACCCCGGTGGGCATGTTAGGAGAGTCAGTCCCCCATGCCATCTTTCTCGAGCAAGAACCTGGTATGTTAATGCCAACTGTGCCTCACCCATAAATAGCAATGATGCTACAAATAATGAATTAGATGAGGGAGGCCAGTCCTCTGATGGAACTCTCAATTTAAATAGAGGGCATTTGCACTGAGAATGGAACTTGTGAAAGGCAGAGCCAACTGAAAGCAGGCAGGGAGATTAGTTTCTGTCATCAGTCATCGCTGACACTGGGCATTTCTGAGATTGTTGTGATGGTCAAGGAAAAAGCCTTAGAGGAGAAAATGAATCTTTTAGAAAGATGTGAGGTTGCTTAATCTGGAAGACAGAGGAGGGGTTTGAAGAAGGAGGAGAATAAGACTGGAGTGAAGGGAGAGAAAGGTTACTCGAAGAGGATTTTGAACTGACTGAAGCAAGGTGAGGAAGAAAAATGAGTTTGCAAAAGTTGAGATACAGCTTGACACTGGTAAGTGTGGTGGTGGTGATGCTGAGGACAATAATTACAAAGATTATAAAGATTATAACATTAAGCTACCCTTACAGTTTATATATTACTTCCACATTTATTCTTTCACATAATTCTCCCTGTGATACCTTGGGAGGACAAAAGATGGTAAACAAATCATCAGAATTCACTTGAAAAGCTGTCAATATCGTAAATGCAGAGTCAGATGCTATGTTTCTAAATTATTTCAGACTCATCACAACTTCAAATATGTTCTTAAGTGTCTGGCAAATCAAAGATTTTGCTATTAAACAAATTAACTATACTGCTTTTCTAGGACTATGGATTAACCATCACAAAAAGTGTCTTATCATCAGTCAGGTAGAACCTTCACATTCCACAGAGCAATGGTGAAAAATCCAACCCACTCAAAAATGGTCATTCAACGTCGGTAAACTTTCTGTACACACTGAAAAATGTCCCCCTCTACTAAACATTATTGTAAAATACTTGAAAATCTAAATTGAAATAGTTTCTATAAGAGCAGATATAAAGGATTAAAATAAAAATGGCAAGGACAACTGCAAGCAAAAGCATTGCAGAGTCAGCAAATATTACATTTAACTCCACATTAATTCTCAGAAGGAATTTAACGCAATTTCCTTCATTCTAACTCAAAAATTAATTTCTGTATACTGTCCTTGAGATTTGGATTGGGAATGAAAAAGAGAAAACTATTGAAAGTATGAAAATTTGACATGAATTAATCAGCCAAGAGTTCAGACACTGGGGACTGAAGATTAAACTTTATAGTTTAGAAACCCAAGGGCAGTACTTTTTCTTATAAGTGTACCTCACATAAAAAAAAAAAAAAAAAACCTCTACTAATATGTATATTTCATTTACAACATTCAAGTGAGGAGGTAATTTTTATGGCATTCCAAAAAGAAGGTACAAAGAGATTAAACAATTTATAGAAAAGTCAAGGAGGAGTCAACGCTAGAACAAGATGGCCCTAATCCCAGCATTATCAGTATTTTAGACACAAAGATAATCTCATTCCTCTACCCATTCATGTTAAAGCCTATGGAGGATGAGACATTTGAGCCTTAAAGACTCAGAGAAAGAAAGTTGTCATTGTCCATGGGGTTTTGGCACTCAGAAAGAAACCTTGAAGGTCTTAGTCGTTGCTGTGTTATTCCAGGAGTGATGGTGGTTGCACAGCCCTATGATCATCTCCGTCCACTGCTGACAGCCTGTTGAAGCTATCAGTCACTGCCTGAAAGAATTCAGTCCAGAAGATTAAAGTGTGAGGTTTGCATATAGGGTCATCTGCCCTGGTCTTCCCCAGGGAAGATGAACACAAGTACTCTATGGGGCTAACATTCAGTTTAGCCTACATGCCTCTGTGCAGTAAAGAGCTTAGTTTGTAAAAGTTGCCTAATCCAGATATATAGAGTATCTGTTCCTTTTCCAGAGAATAATCTAAAAAAAAGGGTGAGCAAATGAACCTATAGAATCTGCCAGCCTTCATCACGTTCAAGCCTAGTCAACTTATGAAACAGCCTAAAACACCACATGCTATGTTTAGGGACTGGATTCCATATCTCATAGAGTGAGTGAACTTTTCATTTTTGTCATACAAAATCAAGTTGGTGCACTTGATGTAAAGGGGAAGCCAGGGATAATTCACTCTGTGCTAGACTTTAAGGCCCTTGAGGACATAGTGATTTTGTTTCCCTCCACATCCCTCTAAGACTCTCATATTGCTTGATCTGTGGAAGATAGTCTTTTTACGTGTTCAATCAACAATTATTAGCCACCTCCTGTGTGGGTAACCAGACTGGAAAATAAAGTATAAGATACAGTCTTTGCCAAAGAATTGGAAAAACTGAACTTACAGAAAACAGCTGAAAGCATGGGCAATGTATAACATGATACCAGGAAACTAAGTATGCACCTAAATTTTAAGGGAGGGTCAGCATTACTCTGAGACTGGAAACCTAAGACACAAATTGCTTGCTCTGCTCTTTGGAGCTTTCCAAATATTCCATTCCCTCATTCTTCCTATTAGTGGAAAACCCCAAATAAAACAGAATTCGTTCACACTTAAAGATGTGATTTCCCACTTCCAGGAAGATAGAGTAGTGTACTTTCCCTATTCCTTTCACTAAGTACAACCAAAAACTCCAGACATTATGTATATAACAAACCTAAGAAACCTCTGAAAAGTGGCGAGAAGACTTTGGATTAAGTAGGGACCTCATGACCCAAGGAACAATACGGTGGTGAGTGCCCTGATTTTCTTTTTATTCATTTTTCCCAGACTTGGAACTAAAGAAACCAGCAACCCAGAAACACCAATGGGCACAGACAAAAAATGTTCCAACGAAAGCCTGCTCTCTAGCCAAAGGACCAAGAAAAGGGCAATCAAGCACAGAGAACTTTTAGACAATAACTGCTCTACTCCAGCCAAACACCAAAGAAAACACTGTGGCTCTGTCCACACCCACCAGCAAAGGCCAATAGGGACCCTACATTTCCAGCCTGATGAAGCTGTAATGAGGCACCCCCATACTTTTGTTGAGGTGGTGTCAGAAAAGGCAATGTGGGGAGCCAGGACTTTGATCCCCACTAACTGGTAACAAAACCTCGTGATAGAGCCCTGTCTTGTAAGATGTAACCTCATGTACCCTAGGTAAAAAGTACACGGGGCCAGGCACGGTGGCTCACACCAGTAATCCCAGCACTCTGGGAGGCTGAGGTGGGAGGATCACTTGAGGTCAGGAGTTCGAGACCAGCCTGGACAACATGGTGAAACCCTGTCTCTATTAAAAATACAAAAATTAGCTGGGCATGGTGGCAGGTGCCTGTAATCACAGCTACATGGGAGGTGGAGGCAGGAGAATCATTGAACCTGGGAGGTGAAGGCTGTAGTGAGCCAAGATCACGCCACTGCACTCCAGCCTGGGCAACAAGAGTAAAACTCCGTCTCAAAAAACAAAGTACATGGGATCTCTCTGCATTATTTGTTACCATTGTGTATGAATCTATAACTATCTTAAAATCAAAAGTTTAATTTAAAAAAGTAAAGGAATTGAGGCATTTGTGACCATTGAAGTGCCTCTACTGAGAGAGAACATTTCATCCTAGGGTAATCCACAATAGTAACCTAAAAGTTAGGAGTGCATATTCATTTCCTGTGGCTGCTCTAACAAACGACCACAAATTTGGTAACTTGAAACAACAAATTTTTTTTTCTAGAACAGTTCTGGAGGCCGGAAGTCTGAAAGCAGTATCAGTAGGTGGAAATCAGGGTGCCCAGCTTCTGGTGGCTGTGACATTCCTTGGCTTAAGGTAACATCACTCCAATTGTCAAACCTCTTTCTGCTTCATCTGTCTATTACCTTCTCGTCTGCACGTATGTGAATTCTCCCTCGGCCCCTCTCTTATAAAAATACTGATAGCATTTAGGACCCACATGGTAATCCAGAATAGTTTTCCTTTCTCAAATTCCTTAATTGAATCACAGCTGTAACAGCTGTATTTCCAAATAGGGTAACATTTACAGGTTCTAGAAATTAGAACCTGACATCTTTGGGCAGTCATTATTCTGCTTACCACAGTGTGCTAAGCAGTCCACTGTGCAAATGTGGTGTAATTTATTTAATAAATCTACACTTGGGGTGTTTTGTTTTCTTTACTATAAACATGAACAAGGATACTTTTGCATTAACAAATAGTTTTGGAATATCTATGCTGTGTCAGCTTCTCTTTTAGGCACTAGGGATAAAGCAGTGAAGAAAACAGACAAAAATCCCTCCCTTATGGAGATCATCTTCTAGTAGGAGAAGGCAGATATCGACAATAAATGAATGAGTAAAATATACAGAATATTAGTTAGTGATCATTGTCATGCAGGAAAATGAAGCAAGGAAGGGGGATATGAAATACAAGGGAGTTGCATGTTGCAATTTTATTTTTTGAAATGGGGTGGCACTCTGTTGTCCAGGCTCAAGTGCAGTGGTATGATCATGGCTCACTGCAGCCTCTAACTCCTGGGCTCAAGGGTCCTCCCACATCAGCTTCCCAAGTAGCTGGCACTACAGGTTCATGCCACCACACCCAGCTAATTTGTTTGTTTGTTTTTGTAGAGACAGGGTCTCCCTATGTTGCCTAGTCTGGTCTCAAACTCTTAGGCTCAAGAAATCCTCCCACCTTGGCCTCCCAAAGTGTTGGGATTACAGGTGTCAGCCACCCAGCCTGTGCTGCAGTTTTAAATGCGGGATCAGGAAGACCACAGTGAAAGGGTGAAAAATGAGCAAAGGCCTCAGTGGGATGGGAGATCAAGCCCTCTTTATTTACCTGGAGGCAGAGCAGTGTGGACAGAGCAGTTTCAAGTGCCAAGCTCAGAAGAACAGCACAGAGTCTGGGCGCCTGGAACAGAGTGAGAGGAAGAGTAGTAGGGACTGAGATATATCTCTTAGAACCCTTCTCTACTTATTTTTAGATAGGATTAATACAACGATTACTAATTTGTGAGTGTTTCCTTTCTGTACCTCCGCAATAGTTTTGGTCTCTCCTCCACCTCCTCTACCTTTTAGGAAGATGCATTCTTGGTCCAAGGCGGGAGAGCCTGGGTCGGAAAGGAGGAATACTTTGACAAAGAATGTTTGAGGATCACAGCTACCACGTATAGGGATAGTGACTTGTGGGAGAGGGTGAAAAGGGGCCTAACATGGTATGTAATTCTGTGAGCCCATCAGATAGGGTTTGGACTTGCGTCCCCACCCAAATCTCCTGTTGAGTTGGAGGAGGGGCCAAGTAGGAGGTGATTGGATCATGGGGGCAGGCTTCTGCCTGGCTGTTCTTGTGATAGTGAGTTTTCACAAGATCTGATGGTTTAAAAGTGTGTGACACTCCCCTCCTTGTCTCTTTCTCTCTCTCCTGCCACCATGTGAAGAAGGTGCTTGCGTCCCCCACGCCTTCTGCCATAAGTTTCCTGAGGCCTTCAGTCATACTTCCTGTTAAGCCTGCAGTACTGTTAAACCTCTTTCCTTCATAAATTACCCAGTCTCAGGTAGTTCTTTATAGCAGTGTGAGAACAAACGAATACACCATCCTTTCCATGGGAAAGTGCTTGAGTTATTCTGAAATTATTTTGAACTATGAATTTGCTTCAAGTTACATGAACTGTATATTCCAAGACACCATTTGGGGACTGAGCTTCATGAGTCATGGTGTTTGTTCAGGATAAATTCTGACAAGCAAAATTGCTGAGCCAAAAGGAATACTTTCCATTTTGATACACAGTATCAGATTTCCCAGAAAGGTGATATCATATTACATGCCCAGCAACAACTTGCTCCCCACAAGCTCACCCCACTGAGCATTAACTCTCTTTTTGTCTTTGTATGTTATGGGAAAAATGATTTCTCAACAATATATGATAAATCTGCATCTTGGCAACATGAGGGCAAAGGTCTTTTTCTATGCTTGTTTGCTATTTGTATTTCCTCTTTGGTGAACTGTTTGTTCATATCCTTTGCCTTTTTTCTATTGGACTATGCATCTTTCCTTATTGGATTTGCTAGAGACTTTTATATTTTCAGGATATTTCACTTTTGTCTGTAAAATACTGCAAGTAGACTTCCCAGTATAACAGGGGTTCTTGAATGTATGCAACAGAAAATAACTGGCTCCTTCCAGCAGAAAATGAATGTATTGAAATGATATTTGGTAGATCACAGAATCACTGGAAAAGCTAGAATTCTAGACTTTGAAAATAGAGCAGCACCAAAGGAAGCAGGGCCAACCACAAGCCCAAACAACACTGTAGGAACTGTCTGATGAGGACCCCACCAATACTGACACTGGATGCTGAAAGCCACTCCTGGCACCTCTGCCCACCTGGTCTTGGAGATTCGATGCTGATGCCACAAAAGTGGACTCTCTTCTGTCTTGATTCAAAGTCCTGGGCCAGAGTGTCTGATTGGTTGAGCCTCCATCACAGCCTGCATCCCCATTGCAAAGAGCGGGAACAGAGAGAGTGACTTTCAGAACTGTTCATCTCCAGTGTTGGAGAGTGGACCTTGCTCTTCATCCAGAGTCACACAGTGGAGAACTCCCCATATGTAAAAGGGGAAGCAGAGGCGAGGCAGAAACTGACAGAGACTGAGAGCCCTATACTCAGCTTGTTTAAATTTAAATTTTGTTTACAGTGCTTTTAGCTTCACAGAGAATTAAATTTTCTGGGTGAGTATATGAAAATATTTCCTTTATGATCTCAGATCTTAACAGCTCTGCTGTCTGCATACCCTCTCCCACCTTCCTGAATTCTCCCAGCTGAACCAAGTAGGCCTGCATTTTTTCTTTTTAAGGATAGTCTGAGCTTGTATCAAGGGCTTTGCAGACTATCCTTTGAGTTTTAAGGCAGCTCTGGTACCCCAGACCTTCCTCTCATGTCAGAAATGTCCTTGACCCTCAGACATGGGCTCTGGAGGCTAATTATCTCAGGTGGTGGCCTGTCACCTTCTAGGCTGGAAATCTACCACCTCTGAAAATGTTTAATTTTCAGTCTTTTAGACAGGGGACTTTTTCTGACCTGTTCATCAAAGTGTGTTTTCATGACTAAGGAGTCCCCTAACTCTCCTACTGCTATAGGTATATTTTATTACTCAGTTAATTTCGACTGGCCTCGTATCATGGGATACTTGACATTTCAATACCTTAGGCATTAAATTGAAAAACACCTAATTGATCATTTTCATACAGTAAGTTTAAGTTTCCCTTTCCTACTCAAAAGAATGCAGCGTAGTCTTAGGGACACTTGAATATTTTCTACTGGTCTTTGAGGGGCTCAGTCACCTTTGCTCTCTTTGTCTACATGGTTAGAAACCTGTCTGTACATGTTGAGCAGACTGGTATGCTTATCACATGCTAGAGAAGTTTCTGGAGGGTTCTCTGCCTGTTCTGTATATTTCAAGAAAGCCCCAATGCTGGTTCCCCATCCATGGCCCTCCTCCAGACTCAGTTGTGGAAGGGGGATGGGGAATGAAGCAGGTATGAAAACAATGGGGCCACACTCTTCTACAGCCAGGATACTCCTTGCAGAGAGAAGGCCCAGCATGGCATCATCAGGAATGGAGCCTAGGCCCTGGCACTCACAGGTGTCCTGGAGGAGTTGGAGCCCAGATATGGGACATCCAGTGTAGGCAAGCAAGAAGCTTGGAGACCAAAGTCCCTGTGGGTGATGGAGGGAAACTTACCAGAGAGATAGCATCTGGAATGTTTGGAGACTGGCATTAGGTGGCAGCCCAAGGAGGAGTCCAGGGCAGAGAGGCTGAAAATTGGAGGAAGGGGGAAGGCTCCTGGTCTAGGGCTCAGGGGCAGGGCTCCTGCCCCTGGGAGGTCTGCAGTGAGGACCTGTGGCCCCAAGCATCACCATAAGCAATCAGGCAGACAAAATGAGTCAAAGATGTGATCTTTAGAATGGGAGAACAAGCTGGGGCTGAGACAGAATTGCCTACGTTCAAATCCCCATTCTATCACTTATCACCTATGTAACTTTGGTCAAGTAACAGACTTTCTGTGCTGCAGTTTCCTCATCTGTAAAATGAGAATAAATTCCTGTAATCCCAGCACTTTGGAAGGCTGAGGCAGGCAGATCACTTGACTCCAGGAGTTCGAGACCAGCCTGGGCAACATGGCAAAATCCCGTCTCTACAAAAAATACAAAAACTAGCCAGGCATGGTGGCACGTGCCTGTAATCCCAGCCACTGTGTCCGGAATTGGTGGGTTCTTGGTCTCACTGACTTCAAGAATGAAGCCGCGGACCCTCGCAGTGAGTGTTACAGCTCTTAAGGTGGCGCGTCTGGAGTTTGGTCCTTCTGATGTTCGAATGTGTTCGGAGTTTCTCCCTTCTGGTGGGTTCGTGGTCTCGCTGGCTCAGGAGTGAAGCTACAGACCTTCCCGGTGAGTGTTACAGCTCTTAAGGTGGCGCGTCTGGAGTTGTTCCTTCCTCCTGGTGGGCTCGTGGTCTCACTGGCTTCAGGAGTGAAGCTGCAGACCTTCGCGGTGAGTGTTACAGCTCATAAAAGCAGCGTGGACCCAAAGAGTGAGCAGTAGCAAGATTTATCGCAAAGAGCGAAAGAACAAAGCCTCCACAGTGTGGAAGCCCACGCCCACCCGGAACTCCAGCTGGCCCGCAAGCAACGCGCGCAGCCCCGGTTCCCGCTCGCGCCTCTCCCTCCACACCTCCCTGCAAGCTGAGGCAGCCGGCTATGGCCTTGGCCAGCCCAGAAAGGGGCTCCCACAGTGCAGCAGTGGGCTGAAGGGCTCCCACTTTGGCGGCGCTACTCGGGAGGCTGAGGTGGGAGGATTGCTTGAGCCTGAGAGGTCAAGGCTGCAGTGAACCATGATTATGCCATTGCACTCTAGCCTGGGTGACAGAGTGAGACTCTGTCTCAAAAAAAAAAAAAAAAAGAGAGAGAGAGAATAATAACAAAGCCTACCTCATAGGAATTTTTTTTTTTCTTTGTGACAGAGTCTTGCCTTGTTGCCAGGCTGGAGTGTAGTGGCGCAATCTCGGCTCACTGCAACTTCCACCTCCTGGTGAGAGGGGACAGCGTACTGGCAGTCCTCACAGCCCTCGCTTGCTCTCGGTGCCTCCTCTGCCTGGGCTCCCACTTTGGTGGCACTTGAGGAGCCCTTCAGCCCACCGCTGCACTGTGGGAGCCCCTTTCTGGGCTGGCCAAGGCCGGAGCCCACTCCCTCAGCTTGCAGGGAGGTGTGGAGGGAGAGGCGCGAGCGGGAACCGGGGCTGCCTACGGCGCTTGTGGGCCAGCTGGAGTTCCGGGTGGGCGTGGGCTTGGCGGGCCCTGCACTCGGAGCAGCGGGGCGGCTCTGCCTGCCCCGGGCAGTGAGAGACTTAGCACCCGGGCCAGCGGCTGCGGAGGGTGTACTGGGTCCCCCAGCAGTGCCAGCCCACCGACGCTGCGCTCGATTTCTCACCGGGCCTTAGCTGCCTTCCTGCTGGGCAGGGCTGGGGACCTGCAGCCTGCCATGCCTGAGCCTCCCACCCCCTCCATGGGCTCCTGTGCGGCCGGAGCCTCCCCAACGAGTGCCACCCCACGGTGCCCAGTCCCATCGACCACCCAAGGGCTGAGGAGTGCAAGCCTGGCATGGGACTGGCAGGCAGCTCCACCTGCAGCCCTGGTGCGGGATCCACTGGGTGAAGCCAGCTGGGCTCCTGAGTCTGGTGGGGAGGTGGAGAACCTTTATGTCTAGCTCAGGGATTGTAAATACACCAATTGGCACTCTGTATCTAGCTCAAGGTTTGTAAACACACCAATCAGCACCCTGTGTCTAGCTCAGGGTTTGTGAATGCACCAATGGACACTCTGTATGTAGCTGCTCTGATGGGGACGTGGAGAACCTTTATGTCTAGCTCAGGGATTGTAAATGCACCAATCAGTGCCCTGTCAAAACAGACCACTGGGCTCTACCAATCAGCAGGAAGTGGGTGGGGCCAGATAAGAGAATAAAAGCAGGCTGCCCGAGCCAGCAGTGGCAACCTGCTGGGGTTCCCTTCCATAGTGTGGTAGCTTTGTTCTTTCATTCTTTGCAATAAATCTTGCTGCTGCTCACTCTTTGGGTCCACACTGCTTTTATGAGCTGTAACACTCACCGGGAAGGTCTGCAGCTTCACTCCTGAGCCAGCAAGACCACGAACCCACCATAATGAAGAAACTCCCAACACATTCAAACATCAGAAGGACCAAACTCCAGACGCGCCACCTTAAGAGCTGTAACACTCACTGCGAGGGTCCGCGGCTTCATTCTTGAAGTCGGTGAGACCAAGAACCCACCAATTCCGGACACACTGGGTTCAAGCGATTCTCATGCCTCAGCCTCCCGAGTAGCTGAGATTACAGGCATGAGTCACAACCCCCAGCTGTTTTTTTTTTTTTTTTTTTTTTTTTTTGGTAGAGACTGGGTTTCACCATGTTGGCCAGAATGGTCTTGATCTCCTGACCTCGTGATCGGCTTGCCTCAGCCTCCCAAAGTGCTGGGATTACAGGCGTGAGCCACCACTCCCGGCCAGGATTGTTATGAGAAGCAAATTAAATAATATATGTAAAGCGCTTAGAAAAGAGTAGGTGTTAAAAAAGTTATTATTAGTCAATATTATTATTAGCACAACTGAGATAATCAAAGCAGAAGAAGCCTTAAGGCGGTCTTGATGTGGAATCACCAAAGTGGTTTAGTTATTCTTCAGTTCCCTCTAAATAAGGACAAGATTGGTCACAGATCTGGGGTAAGGATAAACTACAGACAGGGCTCAAGTGGTAGAAGAGAGCTGCAGAGGCAAGGAGCCAGGAAAATTCTTGCAAATGTAGTTGGGAGAATCACATTTTATTTTCTGGCAACTCTGACACATAGTCATTGTGCCCTATGGCCTATCCAGAATCTTTGGGCTCCCTGGGGCTAGTGCTAGAGATGTGAGTCATGAGAGAGAAGAGTCTGGAAGGCCCTCTGCCACCCTGGGGCCTCTGCCGTAGGCTGGCTCCTCTAAATCTCCAGGGTGAGCAGTGGCCACGAGAGAGAGCACGCACCTCTGGCCTCATGCCAGCCCTCTTCATGGACCTGCTGATCACAAGTGCAGCTGGAGTGTGAGGCATCAAAATACATACCCTATTTCACAAGTCATGCCCTCATCAATCCCTCTTGCACACATTAAGACAAAAACATGGCATTAAAAATAGTTATTTACTGATAAGAACTTATGAACATAAAGAAGGAAACAGCAGACACTCAGATCTACCTGAGGGTGGAGGCTGGGAGGAGAGAGAGGAGCAGAAAAGATAGCTATTAGGTACTAAGCTGAATACCTAGGTGATGAAATAATCTGTACAACAAACTCCCGTGACATGAGATTATCTATGTAACAAACCTTCACGTGTACCCTCGAGCCTAAAATAAAAGTTAAAAAAAAAATTTACCATCATAATAATGGCTACCATCATTGGCAGTTTAATCATGTGCCAAGGTACCATGTACTATGTACGTAGCTAAGCGCTAAATATCGATTGCTTTTATTGCTCAGTTAATTTCAATTACTTCAGTTGGTCTTCACAACCTTAAGAGGTAAGTTACTGTTTCAGCTTTGCAGATGAGGACACAGGCTCAGGAGGGTTGAATAACTTGACCACGGTCAAATGGCCAGTAAATGGTAGAGCCAGAATCCAACTCAGGTAGTTCAGTATGGAGCCTGAGCTTTTAAGAGGAGGGGAGGAAAATGCTTTGGAGTAACGTTTCTAAATGAAATACTGCATTTTTGACAGCAGACAGTACTGTCTGCTGCCTTCCTTGGTGAGCTAACACCAACTTGAAACAATTGCTCCCTCCCCAGGCAGCATCTGCTTTGGTTCTCCAAGGAAATTGATTCACTCTGTGGAGACTCTCTTTGGGAGAGGCCAAAGTTCCTTACAGCTTCTGGGATCACAAAACCCTTTTCAACAAGATCCCTTAGGCCCAGGCTCCTAAAAACTGTGTAATAAATTTACCATCAAAACAATCTCACTTGATCCCTCTGAGACCATCATGCTACAAACAAAGGTAAGATGATATTCCTATAAATATTTCTCCTGTGAAATCATTAGAGTTTTTTCCCCTCCTATGCTAAACTGTATTCTTCAAATTTAATATAATTTCATAGTTCCCCTAAATCATTCATGGGTATATATACAACATTCAACTGTTCTACATCCTGTCATTTGAATAAGAATGATTATTAAAGTTTAGGCTGATTCTAAAATGCAAAAGCATTTTACTGTTTTTCATATTAAAAATGCCATAATGAAATATTTTTAAATGTTATAGCAATTATCTTTTCACCGCACAAACCTGCATTGTCAACTATGCCACATTAAAATGTTAAATCACTACTTTAATATCAATTTATAGAAGGAGAGAGAGAAAAACCGCTAAAATTCATCTTCTGTGTGGTGGGTTTCTCCACATCTTAGTACATGTGGTCTGTCATGGTTGAGACGTGCTGTCTTACACAGGAAACACCACAGATTTTAGAGGTCTTAGACTTGAAATAACAGGGAAGTCCAGGGATTGTGTATTTCTTCCTCATGTAAAAAAAAAAAAAAAAAAAAAATTAGGGGCCGGGCGCAGTGGCTCACACCTGTAATCCTAGCACTTTGGGAGGTTGAGGCGGGCGGATTGCCTGAGCTCAGGAGTTCGAGACCAGCCTGGGCAACATGGTGAAACCCCATCTCTGCTAAAATACAAAAGAAAAAGCGTGCGCCTGTAGTCCCAGGTACTTGGGAGGCTGAGGCAGGAGAAGTGCTTGAACTCAGGAGGCGGAGGTTGCAGTGAGGGGAGATCGTGCCACTGCACTCCAGCACTCCAGCCTGGGCAACAGAGCGAGACTCTGTCTCTCTAAAAAAAAAAAAAAAAATTAGGTTAATCAGCTATTTTTCTGGGTTCCCAGACCCAAACCTGCAGGACATTAATGGGATGCAAGCAAACCTGAGCAGCTGGGCTTGCAAAAATAAAATTACTTTCAGAAGCCATAATGCAGGTTGTATGCTTTGGGCATCAGTAGTGTGGTCTCCTCTATTCCTGCTAGGCCAGCTGCATTGAGCTCTCAGTGACGGAGGTAATGGTAGAACATTAGGGCAGTTCTTGTTGCCCTGGACAAGTGTTAATGAGGAAGAGGCATGGATATGAGAGATACCACATTCAGGCTCTTATCTCTCAATGAATCATGCACAGTTCTCACAATATTATCTATTAAACTCAGCTGAATGTCTTAGTCACACTGAATATAATCATTACACAGAGGACTTTGACCTGTCCCATTAGGTGATTAAAAAACAAAAAGTACATTTTTAATAGATTTCATAAAGACCCAATTGTATATGACTCTCTGGCTGCTTAAGAGAAGCTATTAAATGAAGTCCACATTGGGTCAGTACCTCACTTTTAAGCCCTTGAAATCACATGGTCTTATTATCTATGAAGTTTTCAAAAATGAGCTTGTTAACATCAAAACTGAAAATCCGCTAAATAGTACTCCTATAGTTTGGATATTTGTCTCCCCAAACCTCATGTCAAAATTTGATCCCCAGTGTTGGAGGTGGAGCTGCATGGGAGGTGCGTTTGGGTCATGGGGTGGATCCTGCTTGAATGGCTTGGTGCCATCTTCACAGCAATGAGTTCTCATTCAATTCATTCCCACAAGAGCTGGTTGTTAAAAAGAGCCTGGCACCTCCCCTCCCCTGCTTCCTCTCTCACCGCTTGATCTCTGCACATACCAGCTCTGCTGTGCCTTCTGCCATGAGTGGAAGCAGCCTGAGGCCCTCACCAGATGCCCAGTCTTCCAGCCAGCAGAACCGTAACCAAATAAACCTCTTTTCTTTATAAATTACACAGTCTCAGACATTCCTTTATAGTAATACAAATGGACTAAGACCAGTACCAACAGGTTATGTTATAAACAAATTGCATTGCTTCTCAGCCTTTTGGCTAAGATCAAGTGTGTAAACAAATTTCACTATTCATGAGGATTTTCAGTCAGAAACGAGTTACCGAATGGGTGCTTAGTAAATATTTGACTAACTGATTTTTGCTGGTGTTATCTCTATTAATACATCAAATCAGCCTTAAGGGATGCTACAGATTGAAGACCTGTAACCTACGATAAATTTACTTTGTGTTAAGGTGGACTTAAAGTAAAAAAGTAATGCTGTGAAATTGGAACCCTTGCACACTGTTGGTGGGAATGCAAAATGGTGCAACCACTATGGAGTATAGTATGGAAGCTCCTCAAAAAATTCAAAATAGGACTACCATATAATATAATTCAATAGTCCCACTTCTGGGTGTATACTCAAAAGAATTGGAATCAGGATCTTGAGGAGATATTAGCAGTTCCATGTTCACTGCAGCACTATTCACAATAGCTAAGAAACAACTTAAATGTCCATCGACAGATTAATGCATAAAGAAAATGTGGTATATGTATATATACAGTTGAATCCTATTCAGCCTTTAAAAAGAAGGAAATTCTGCAATATATGACAACATGGATAGACCTTGTGATGGTTAATATTAAGTGTCAGCTTGATTGGATTGAAGGATGCAAAGTATTGTTCCTGGGTGTGCCTGTGAGGGTGTTGCCAGAGGAGATTAACATTCAAGTAAGTGGACTGGGAAAGGAAGACCCACACTCAATGTAGGTGGGCACCATCCAATTGGCTGCCCATGCGGCTAGAAAAAGCAGGTGGATGAAGGTGGAATAAGCTGGCTTGCTGAGTCTTCTGGCCTTCATCTTTCTCTCGTGCTGGATGCTTCCTTGAATATCAGATTCCAGGACCTTTGGCTTTTGGACTCTTGGACTTACACCAGTGGTTTGGCAGGGGCTCTCGGGCCTTCCGCCACAGACTGCAGGCTGCCCTGTCGGCTTCCCTGCTTTTGAGGCTTCGGGGCTTGGACTGAGCCACTACTGGCTTCTTCCTGTCTTCTCAGCTTGCAGATGGTCTATTGTGGGACTTCATCTTGTGGTCATGTGAGTCAGTTCTCCTTAACAAACTCCCCTTCATATATACATACATACTACTAGCTCTGTCCCTCTGAAAAACCCTGACTAATATAGACCTTGAGGACACTATGCTAAGTGAAATAAGGCACTCTGAGAAAGACAAGTACTACATGATTCCATTTATCTGAGGTATCTCAAATAGTCAAATTCATGAAGTTAAAGACTAGAATGATGGTTACCTGGGACTAGGCGGAGAGGGAAATTAAGAGTTGGTAACCAATAGGCATAAAGTTTTAGTTAAATAAATTTAGTTAAATAAAACAAATACATTTTAGAAATCTGCTGTTCAACATTGTATCTATGATCAACAATAACATATTTTATACTTAAAATTTATTAGGAGGGTAGATGTCATACTAAGTGTTCTTACCACAATAAAATAAAAACTAAAATAGAAAAAGAAGTAACTCCTTTTACCTCTTCACCTCCCTCATCATATTAACATCTTTGTTTAGTTTGGGATATCCTAGGTTTAACTCCTCCGGAAACAGATTGAGATAAAGGTATGCATGCAGGGATTTTATTAGGATGTGCTTGGGAAAACAACACTTGTTAGTGGGTGAAGAAAGCAGGATTGGGCAGAGGGAGATGTTGAGCTGTGATGCAGTTGCAACAAGGCCTCAGCCAATCCCAATGGGAGTCTGAAAGGTAGATAGCCCCTCAGAAAATCCCTGAATTTGAGGCAAGGGAGCTAGGACTTGGTATCCCTCATCAACCAGTCATTGGTTGTGACCTACCCCTAGGGAAAGAGAAATAACACTGGGCAAGACACTTCCTTTTGTCTAAGGGCAATTCCTGGAGAGGGACTCAGCTATGAGCCTCAACAGGTAACACCCTAATAGTTGGGGGAATAAGTGCCTTGGTCCTGAATATGGAATTTGGATGGCATATGACAGAGCCCACTACACTGGATCACACCACAAATTCACCATGCGGGAACTAAAACTCAGCCTCCCCTCTGCAAGTTAAATTTTCCTTCTTACTTTCCTTTCTTTGTTATCAGCATCACCATTTTTCCTTACCCAAGGTAGTAGATGAGAAATCTAAAGATTTCTAAAAATTGCTTTGGGCGATTTTTAACAGTCTGTCACATTTAATTTCCAGCATATTTATCCTTTTAAACAATTTTAAATAATTCACTACAAAGTGAAATCTGGCATAAGTCCTATCTGTCTTTTACTCCCTGAATTACTGAAGAAGCCAAGACAACAGATTTCTAGGCAGTTTTTAGGGCCTGGGATGGGGACTAGTGATATAACCAAGAAATGAGGAAGTGGCTGGTCTCTGCTGTTTTTTCTTTCTATTTTAGAGAAGAAAGCTTGAATCATTGGTCGGGCAAATAAATACTCAACTATTCTCTGGAAAGTCCTCCTCTGTTTATAAGAATGCAAATGAATAACCTTGAAAAAAAAGTCTTGTTATTTTATATACAAAAAAATTTAACATGAGCTAAATGTTTTCGGAGATTGAGATTTAAAAAAAAAACCTATCCAGTACTTGT
The DNA here is from genome assembly GCF_000001405.40 of Homo sapiens. NCBI lineage: Eukaryota > Metazoa > Chordata > Mammalia > Primates > Hominidae > Homo > Homo sapiens. The sequence goes on from NC_000005.10 coordinate 81,831,045, forward strand.
GGGTGCAACCTCGTCTTCCACTAGTGTAAGTATTCTGTCAAAGACCTAGTTGCCACTCTCAAACACTGTACTCAAAGCACTCGCAGGGAAACACAGGAGATATTAAATTATAGTGTAATTAAATTAAATTATCACTTTGCTATCCCACCAATAAGGCTGAGACGGCACTTCTGTTATGAATCTTTGCTTGCAAATCCTTTTACTTTGGGATAAGAACTCCTTCCTGGCAGAAGCACTTTGGGCTTAAAGGTGAAGTTGTGGATTAGAGGATTGTACAAGGGTTCTTGCACCCAGAAGATTCTAAGGACAAAAATTAAAACTCACTTGTTTTGAAGATTTTTGATCTTGGGCTTTTGAATAATTTTACTTATCTGAAACATGAATCTATATAGTGCATATTGGATGATTTTTGCATTCTAAATATAAAGCTTCTTGAAATCTAAAAACAGCCTTTTTTTGTTGAGTAGTAAAAGGAATATTTTAATGTTAGGAAATTTTGGATATGCAGAGAAAATCACTACTTCTGAATGAATGGGCCAGAAACCAGTACTGAGGATCTGAAGCAAGAGCTGTAGGGTCCACCAGAGTTTATCTTCTCTACACCTACTATATACACAGCACTTATGAGATACCATAATGATGTTCACAGTGTGAAGAAAACAAAATCTCAGATTTTTAACAATATAAAAAAGAAAACAAGGCAGGAAGGCACTTGGGACTCAATGTTCCTCTTTTTAAGCCTTTAAGCTTCTTAAGCAAGTCCCATTGGATACATGGGGAAGATGAGTTTCCCCTAAGTACCACTCCTAAAACCTCTGAGGCCACAAGGAGCCTGTGAAGCTGACACAAAGAAGTGCCCCTGGTGTACTTTAGATGCATGTGTTTCTACCTGCACATGAAAGTGCACATTCTGATTGTATTAGGGTCCTTCAGAAAAACAGAACTTGTAGGAGAGATAGTTAGATAGATACATAGATAGATAGAGATATAGGTGTATAAGTATAGATAGAGAGAGAGATCTATTATGAGGAACTGCTGCACACAATTATGGAGGCTAAGTCCCACAATCTGCCATCTGCAAGCTGGAAACCCAGGAAAGCTGGTAGAATAAATCCCGGTCCAAGGGCAAGAGAAGACTGATGTCTCAACTCAAGGAGGCTGGTAGGAAGCAAAAGGCATGGTATCAATTCCTCCTTGCTCCATCTTTTTGTTCTATTCAGGCCCTCAGCAGATTGCATGATGTCCATACACACTGGGGAAGGCACCCTGCTTTACTGAGTCACTGATTCAAATGCTAGCTTCATCTGAAACACCCTCATAGACATAGTCAGAAATAATGTTTAATCTGGGTATCCTGTGCTGCAGTCAAGTTGACGCTATCACACTCATTGCAGGAGTACATTGACATGAATGAACCATATGTGAAGGCCCTACGGAATGGTTTCATCCACCCTCCCCTTACCCTTCAAACTCTCTCTGGAGTCTACCTGGGGAACCCACATGGCATCCAAGTGGCAGTGGATGAATGGATAGTGGCAACCACAGGAAGCCTGTTGAGACACATGTGACGATAGGCCAGCATCCTTGGCCAAGAGTCTTTATGCAGACCTGTTTTGTAGAAAACATGTAAGCAAGGGACTATTGAAGGAATGGCTTAAAGCAGAAATTCTCAAACTTCACCCTGCATCAGAATTCCCTGAAGAGTTTATTAAAACATGGATCCTTGGGTCCCATCCCATAGTTTCTGATTCAGCACATCATGGGGAAGGCCCTCAAATTTGAATTTCTAACAAGGTAATGCTGATGCAGCGGGTCCAGGGATTCTGCACTGAGAACCCGTAGTATAAAGAAAAGAGAACTTCTACTGTCTTCTTTTGAGGTTTTCAAATTCATTCAAATTGTTGGGCTCAGTGGTGAGGATGACTGTCAGGTGGAGGTGAGTGACTGTCCTCAGGTAAATGATTCTAATATCCTGAGATGAGCCAATGATCTGATGTTGGGAGCAGGGACTGTGGAATAGCTCTCCACCAGGGCCCTTGGAAATGAAACACAGAGAATTGATTTGCTCCCCTGCTTCTTTGTAAACAATACAACAAAGTTATATAGCTACACCTCTGGTCATACATGCGCCTGTTGTCGTCTGCTTGTTCCTGTTCCCTTGGGGAACTGCTCTTCCCCCACTCCAATCATATACTTCTGGTGAGCTTAGAATCATAGCATTACGCTCCTGGGCTACAGTGGTAAGTATTGACCTTAGTCTCTTGGCAAATATTCCTTTGGCATTTGACTAAAGCCTAGCCAATCAAAGTTTTTCCCCAGGAAATTTCTAAGTTTTATTGGTAGGGAAAGTTCTCATTCATTTCTGATCACAAAGCTTTAAGAATGTGTTCAACAGCTGCTGTCAGTCATGCCCTTTACCAGGTAGGTTGTGTGAGAGAATGAAAAAGACAGAAGGCAAAACAACAAGTGGAATCAAATCTTTTCAGCAATAAGTCTTTTCTTCTAGTCACTGAGAGCTTGGAGCTACTTGGGTTCTGCAATGATTTCTTCAGTTCTGTTTTTTGTTTTTTTGTCAGTATCTTTCAACTTCTATTCCTCTCCCATTTCCCCATCCTGTTCCTCACCCTCCCTTTTTACTTTTTGCTTAAAATATTTTAGTTGGATTTCTGTCACTTGCAAAGGAAAGAATCCTGACTAGTATGGATTAGTCCTCTAGTAATCAAACCCATCAAGGACAAGGCAGGTGGGAGGGTGGGGTGAAGCAAAGCCATGAAAGTACGTATGTGATGGGATTTCATACGTACCCATATGGCAGGCTTTTACAGCTGCAAGGAACAGAGCTTCCCTCAGGTTTCCTGAAAGAAAATGGTGGGACTAAAAGTGGAAACCACCAAAAAACAGATGGGCCTTAGGGCCAGCTCCTGTCTGGGTCATGCTCACCGCCTCTCCTCCATGTCATCTCTGCTTCTCAAGAGTGTATCTGTTCCATTCTCCCTTTACTCCTGTGCGGCCGATACTGTCCCCGTTTTCTAGTCCAAATCCCAGGAGGTCAGCTAATTACACTGCTGTCCCCATTGTGCAGAGTTCTTTGTTCTTGACCATTGTGGGTTGCCAGATAACCTCTTTGGATGACGCACCATCTTGGCCTATCAGGGCTTCCCCCAAAGAACAATGGCAAAGGCTGGGGAATGTAGGACGAGGTAGACACTCCATTGTGTCATGGAACATGTGTGTCCCAGAATACCAGAAAGAAGAGTCAGAGTATGACATGTCAAACAAATACTAAATAAAAACATTCACCAGAAAGTCTAAAATGCATCAGAAAGGGGTGGGTGCAGAGAAGTTATAGGACTTTCTGAAGTGGTCTGGGCTAGAGCCAAGTACTTCAGGTCCTGGAGAAAACAGTGTTACACAGATGGGTGCTTTGCAGCTCGCTCAGAAGCGCGAGGCCCCTCAGCCACAGCAAGCCTACCGGCCTTTGTTTGGCTTGACTTCTACGACCTGACTACGGGAAATTTGGGAGAGTCCTCCCATGTTCTACACTTTCCACCATGATTCCAGAAGGACTGATGGAATCAGTAAATGACTAGGGTGGAATCCCAGTCAGACCTATGGTGGAATCCCAGTAAATGACTTTGAGCAAGTTTCTTTGCCTTTGAAGCCTCAGTTTCCTCACATCAAGATGAAATTACCTGCTTTCACAGAATTGTTATGAAGAGCAAATAAGACAAGACCTGTGGGTCACTTAGCCTAGCTCCAGGCACAGATAAAGTGCTCTTTAAATGCTAGTTATCATTGCTCTGTCATCACCATCATCATCATCATTCTCATCATTTTCATTAGGATATTTTCAAGGTGAGTGAGTGCAATATGCCTCCAGGGATACATTTGTGAACAAAGCTTATCTCCCTACCTGTTCGCTGATACTAGTCATTTTTCTAACAAACATCCCCACTTACAAATGAAATTAAAATCTAAATGTATTTAAACTGTAAAGCTATATGTCCAAAGTGAGCACTGTGTTATACAACTTAGAAGGTTTTTATTTTAAAAATAAAGAGATGAAGGAAGGAAGGACGAATGGACGGAAGGAAGGGAGGGAAGGAAAAAAGGAGGGAAGGAGAGAAAGAAAATCCTCTTGTAAAAGTTCTCTTCACATATAAGATTTTATACTTTATTTTAAAGGAGATTCTTTTTGTTAATTAAGGTATCAGTACAACAATAAAACCAACAGAAAAAGATATCTAAAAATCTTTTCATTTTGTACAGCAAATATCCGGGTATATTTACCTTATGTAAAATCATTCATTTGGTCTAACATGCCAGTAGAATTATCAAAAGTTTACTTTAACAAGATATGAAAAGGTTGGGAGGGTGTGGCTTAAATATAATCTACAATTTTAAAATTTAATTTCACATATTGCCATGCTGTTCTATTACATATGCAGGAACGGGAAAGGCAATGTTCTTCAGACTTGAAAAAAATTAATCCACAGTTCTTGGCATGGACAACCAATGTTATATTTAAAATATACATATCTAATGTGAGACCCATTATCTAATAAAAGTCATGAAATCTAGCTTATTCACTTTGTAACTTATAATAACTGAAAGTTGATCAAAGAAAAGTAATTCCATTTTTATTACATTGTTACTATTTTTATGGGCAAAATTTAAAATGTATGATAAAAATTCAATATACAATAATTGAAACATACAGTCTGACCTCACATTGCTCTGATAAATCTGTTCATTTCTGGCCATTTTCAGTGTTGCTATAGTGAACAGTGTTGACAAGTGGATGAAAAAAGCTTATAAATGGAATTCAGATCATAGATAAAACTGAACATAAACTATCTCCCAACATTTCTGCATGTTGGGAGGCCCGGTTTGTGCCACAGATGGCCATCTCCCAATAATACATAAAACATTTCTTGCTGGAGCTCAGCACACATTGTTGAATGCACAGGTCATTTGAACAGAACAATAATTCAATTCACTTAATAATGACCTCACTGGGAACAAACACAGACACAGGATGATGCTGTTAGGAGAACAAAATTGTACTAGAGTTTTAAAAATGAAATTCTTAAATAGCCGCCATGCTCTCTTGTCAAAATAGCACTTAAATGTATTCAGTGTTTAGCGACCAGGCAGGCTCACTGAGTTTATTTTAGTCTCTTGAATTTTACTGCTGTGTGTCTGTGCCATGTTCCTTCAGTTTTCACGCTGGTAGCTTTCCTGGGAAGGTCAGTGGTGCTCACTGAACCTTTTATTATCTTACAGGCTGAGCTCATTGATGAAGAAGTCTTGAGTTCATCATTTTTTCTTCTCTAATAGCTGAGATGGCAGTCAATGAGAGTGACTGCAGAAAGTTTCAGAAGGACACATGGGAATCATTTAACCAGGCCAATAAAATCAGCTATTTATGTAAGTAACAGTTATTATAACCTCAACCATCAAGACTGTATTTCTCTAGAATAATTTTTATTTGGGGGCTAATTTTATTCCTAGCTTATAAGGCTTAAAATCCAGGATTTCCTACTTTGGCAGTAATGAATGAACTGAGCCAGGAGAAATCAGGATCTAGATGCTCTCTTTTCAGCATTTAGATGCTTACACCACTGATACACATGGGTTCAGGTACCACCTACCTAGAATTTTTAGTCAGAGGTTCATTTCTATATTCTAAAACTAAACCCAAGTGCTATTGAAATTAGGCACCTTACTGCCATAGGCTTAACTATTAATATCACGTTCTCTTTTGTCACTCACATTTACTGTAAAAGCACACTTAATCAACAGCAGGGACTTTAAATATGTTTTGCTTAATATATTTTATTAAAAAGACCTTTAACTTTTAGGATCAAATCATAAACCTAAAGAACAGAGGGGATTAAAAAAACCCAAAAAACAGAAAATTGAGATATAACCTATTCAAATCAAGATTAATTTAATAATGGAGAGCAAAAAATCATATAGGAGTCTTATCAACAATTGTTTCATAGTTTAATTATTTTATTCTTTATTCTTTTGTCCCCTTCCATCTGTCTTAGTAGGCTTGAAAAAACTCAGTCTACTTTCCCACAAAATCGTGCTTTTATGCTTGGGAAACACATTTCTCTATAGGAGCTAACCCATTAGCTTATTTCTGTACCTGCTTCATCAATATCAGCTGGAATACCCTGTAATAGTGGCAATTTATTAACCTCTGCTGTAAAAGGCAACAGAAAGAACACTCATGCTATTTTTCCACAAAAATGGTGGTCAGGAGAAAGGGTGTTTTAGAGAGGTAGTGATACAGGGAGGGGAGAGGGGAAGCCATTAATAAGAAGCAGAGTACATTTTCCACTGACATATATACAATTCTCAAGACTAAAGAGGCGTCTATAATCTAAACAGGACACCCCCTGTTCCTTCTTCATCTTCCCCTCCCTTCTTTTACAGACACTTCCCCCGGAAGACATAGCCCTTGCTTCACTGTCTGAAGGAGAGAAAATGCAAAAGGTAAATAGATAAATACAAAAGACAGCACGTAACTTAAGGACCATACTGATATTATAAGAGTTCAGAGAAATTGAGATTGGGAAAGGTCCTTGAAGAAATTGCAAGGCGTGAGTGCAGCCCCCTGCTCCTGTGAGGCTGAGGGGGAATTTTCCTTCCTCTCATTGCCCCCTGGGGTGCTATGTTTTTGTCCATCTCCCAGTATGAAGGAGATCCTTCTGCAGCGAAGCCCACCATTAGCTGAGCCCAGCAGCTCAGCTTCTCAGTTTTCCTGGCACTTGCCTGAGGGCTTGCAGACTGAGCTTGCAGACTGAGCAGGATGCTGGGCATCCACTGTGCCTTCTCAAGGGAAAGGGAGGGAGCTGGGGCACAGAAAGCCAAACTCCTCTCCAGGCAGAGGCACTAGGGAAGCGGGAGCAGGAGGGAGGAAAAGTCCATTGTATGCTGCTAATAATCACAATAATAACATTGAAACAGCACTTACTACGCCCAGGACAGTTCCCAGCAATTTACATGGGGTATTAACCCAGGTAATCCTCACAACAACCCTATGAGGAAGTACTATTCATATGCCCATTGTACAGATGAGGCACAGAAAAACTAATGAACTTGCCTAAGAACACACAGCTACTTAATTGGCATAACAGAGACTTGAGCCCAGACACAGCCCGACTCTAGCACCTCTGTTGTTACATGGTTCACAACTCAGGCAGCACATTAGAATCACTTGGAGAGCTGTTAATCAATACTGATACCTGTCCTCAACCCCAGAACTACAGATTTAATTGATCTGCAGTGGGGCCCAGGGCATGAGGACTTTTTAAGTGTCCCCAGGTGATTCAAATGTACAGCCAGGAGAGAGCCACACTATTTAGGCTCTCTCTACACGGTTATCTCAGGACCTCAGCACCTCTGCTTTCCTCCCTGTTACTCAGACTATTACATTACACCCTGATCTTACACTCTGCCACTCTCCATTTTTCTTCCCTTGCAGTGGTTTTAAAATATGTCCACAAATTCTTGAACACTCATCTCTTCGAAAGGTAGAGATGACTCCCCTCCCCTTGAGTAGTGACTCTCTTCTAATAAATGTAATTTAGCAGCAGTGAGGGTCTGTGACTTCCAAGACCAGGTCATTAAAGACCTTTGCAGCTTCTTCCTTCCTGGTAAGTTGTGGATTGCTCCCTCTGGGGGAAGCCAGCTGCTATGTCATAAGATCACTCAGCCCTATGAAGAGGACCTCCTGGTGAGGAACTGTGGACTCCTGCCCACAGCCAAGGAAGAATGGAGGTCTTCCAGCAAGTAATCACTGAATGAGCCAAATTGGGAGTAAATCTTCCAGCCCCAGGCAATCCCTAAAATGACTAGAACCCTGGTGGACATCTTGAATGCTACCTCATGAAAGACCTGAGCTGGAACCATCCTGCTAAGCTGCTCCCAGATTCCTGACCGTCAGACACTGTGCAAGATCATAAATGTCCATTACTTTACACTGATAAACTGTGGGTTCATTTGTTATGTAGCAATAGATAACGAATACAGCCATCTTCAACCCCCACCTCCAACTCGCAAGTCCTCCCATATTGACTTGGAGCTGGGAAGTTGCCAGTGCTACAATAGAAAAGTGTCTGACATCCTAAGGTGGAATTCTGAATGCATTTACCATAGAAACATAGCTGCATGAATATTTATATATGTACATAAATGTATGTAGATGCATAGAAGAAGTCTGGAAGAAACAAGTCACACTGTTAATAGTTGTAGAGCCTGAGATAGGAAGGGGAGTGGGAGCAGGGGTTGGGGAGAAAGCCAAAGGGAATTTTTCTTGCTGCTCTGCAGGCTACTGTGTCATTTGGACGTTTCACACCAAGAATATATCCATGCACCACTTAGGTAATGAAACATATTTTTCCTGCATAAAAGTGAGGGAGGTTTAAAAAAATAAAAGTGGCATAATCATACCCAAGGCTGGGTTCTGTTGGAAGTAGAATACTAGAAAGTTCTGCAAGTACATTGTGGATACAGTAGTAATTTTGTAGCCTGTCCTGAGGGCCTTAATACCAGGTAGAACACTGTGAGAACAACAGGCCTTGAATCCTGATCTCCACATGTGCTTAATTCTTGACTCTAACACTTAACCAGCTCGGCAAGTTATGAAACTGTTCTGAGCCTGTTTCCTCATCTGTAAATTTGGGATAATGATTTGAGAATTATAGAAGCTAAATATATACATCACCTCATACAGTGAATGGTCTGGAGTTTGCAGTCACCAAGTGATAGCTGTCATACTGTGGGAAATATGATGCTAGTTCCAAACACGTACATTTTGGGATCATTACCTGTAAATAAGTTAAGGGTTCCATGAATTATATATTTTTGTCAATTCCTCTTTTTTTGGGGATGCAAACAAATTCATGAAACAAAGTAGACTTTCAAGACTCATTTACCGCATGAATTTTGCAAACATTCCAGAGGTCAAATATTTGTTTTCTATTTAAAGTGATAAAGGCATGAAAAAGTCATATTCCTGAGCTACAAGAGAGAAACTGAGGACAGTGGAGATGAGAATAAAATCCCTAAAGCTTAAAGGATGCTGGATCTGGATTCTACTGGATGTTGGTGCTGAAGAGTGGGACTGTCCTATCCTTTTCACATATGTTAGAGGTCACACACAGGGAGCCCACAGACCCCAGCATGCCAATAAACGTGTTTCTTGTGACCCATACAATGTTTCTGAAAAGCATTTGAATTAGTTACCCACATTTAAATTGGGAAGATTTCACATAGAAATAAAGGTTTCATATTGCTCTTAAAAAAACTGACATAACTGGCTATCACGGGCCAACTGGCTAGAACTGAATCGTGGATTCCTCCTTAGTTAGGGTGAGGGTTCTTCAAGAGGCCATAAACCCTACTTGGACTGGCCCGAATCCCTCATTAGGGTTATCTACTTGTCCTTTAGGCATTCAGTTTGCTCCACTGAAACTTTGGATGTTTATTCCAATCTAGTAAGAGTGTTGCTGGGATGGGATGACCACATGCTTCTATAGTTATAAAAACTGCCCAACCATGCCTGCAATGAAGAGATCCCAGAAATAGAGGCCATCTTTCTCTGTTTACTTTTTATTGAACCAAAGAAGAGGAATGTGGAGCTCTCCAAAATGTTTCCGTGAGGAAATGAAGAGCTGTTATTTATAATCTACTATACTTCTACAGTGAGCTAATATTTATCAGGAAGACCTCCAGTCTCTCAAATGGTCTAAAGTTGCGTGTCATTTCAGCCAACCTATCTGCATCATCTTTTCCATTTGAGTAGTCTGGGATTCTTTGCCTCTGCACATGCTCAAATCCTACAACTGGAAGAAAAAGCTGAACTATGACCCTTGCCTTTGATATATATAGAGAGATACTTATCGAGTTTGGTGATATTGAGTTCATTTTTAATATCACGGAGTCACTTGTGAATCAATACCTGTCCAATATTTGTCTAATAAATGTTCCTCTCTGACAGTTATTAAAAACAAACAAAAATAGGTTCTATTTCCTTAACTCTGCTTGAGGATCTTTCAATAGCAAAATTATCCCCCATAATTAACAAAAGCAAATATGAGTTTGCTTTTAAAAGACTCATTTGCTAGTCGTTTTTTTAGTCTAGGTCATTTCTGGCCTAGGTTATTTTTTGATATTTTATTTAAAAAATTTTCAAACATACAGAAAAGTTGAAAGAATGGCACAGTGAACACCCACGTATTCACCTCAAGATTCAATAATGAACATTTGCTATATTAACTTTACCACATATTCATTTATTCTTCTTTTAACCTATAAATTTTGATACATTTCAAAGTAAGTTGCAGACATCAGTGCATTTTACTCCTAAACACTTCAGCATTCATAGCACCAGAGTTCAATATTTATGTTTTTAAAAGTTTTAACTGTGGTAAAATATACACAACATAAAATTTACCTTTTTAACAATTTTTAAGTGTACACTTCTGTGGCATTAAGTACAGTCACATTGTAGTAAAACCATCACCACCACCTATCTTCAAAATTTTTCCTTTTCCCCAACTGAAATTCTTCACCCATTAGACACTAACTATCCATTCTTCCCTCCTCTCTGCCTTTGAAAACTACCATACTACTCCCTGTCTCTATGAATTTGACTACTCTAGATACTTCATATAAGTGGAATCATACAAGATTTGTCCTTTTGTGACTTTCTTATTCCACTTAGCATAATGTCTTCAAGGGTCATCCATGTTGTCACATGTTAGAATTTCCTTCCTTTTTAAGACTGAATAATATTCCATTGTATATACATATCACATTTTGTTTAACCATTCATCTATCAGACACCTGGGCTGCCTCCACCTTTTCTTTCCAAGACTGTTTTTTTCAGAGCAGATTTAGATTTCTTCCACTTTTTGGCTATTGGGAATAACGCTGCTGTGAATATGGGTGTACAAATATCTGTCTGAGTACCTACTGTCACTTATTTGGAGTATGTACCCAGAAGTGGAATTGCTGGAGCATATGCTAATTCTATGTTTAATTTTTTTGAGGAATCCACGGTTTCTTTTTCATATAACATTTATACCTAGTGAAATGCACATATCTGAAGTGTATAGATTTTGTTACATTGTAACAAATGTATACTCTAGTGGATTATTTTTCTTTTCTTTTTTAGGTCCATCGATATATACATATAAGAATTTTTCCATTAGAATGCTACACAGTCAGTGGCCAAAAGCCTGTTGGAAAGAGTGTGGGCTTAGATGACATCAAGACATACAGTTTTAGAACCTACTGGCCTTATCTCTTCACATATTTTGAAGTCTAAAAAAGGATCTCACTGTCCTGAAATCAGAAATTTGCAAAAATCATCATCTCCATCTTCTACTACTGACTATAAACATTTTACCTTGTGTAAGCAATGACCACAATAGTTCCAAAGAAGGAGTTTTAAACAAAAGAATGCATGTGGGGCTCAATTTTTAGCTCCCACCCATTACCAGAAAGAGATGATCTCTCCCTACATCCATCATGCAGATTTTTCCAGAGTCTAAAAATTCTAAGCAGGTAGTAGCAAATTTATCATACAGATCAGTAGTTTATAATATTGAAAGTGAAAACAACAATGAATATAGCATATTTTTTGCTATCAGATTGACAAAAAGTGACAGTTTCACTGGGAAAAGTGTGGAGAAACAGGCATTGGCAGATGCTGTAGGTGACATAAAATAGTAGGGCAATTTGCTAATAATCTGTTAACATTTTTAATATACATTATTCCTAACCCAGAAGTTTCACCTCTAGGAATTTTTCTTACAGAAATACTCATACGAGCGCACCAAGGTATATTTGTACATGGTTGCTCATTGCCACGTGGCTTGTAGGAGCAAAAAATTGGAAACGACCCAAATATCAGTCAGAAGGTAGCTGCTAAAAATAAATCCTGATATACACACATTTAACTGGTATAACTTGCTTTACCAGCTTGGACACAAATGAGGTTACATCTTTTTTATTTTTTCAAATTACATTAGGCCCAAACATCTATGTGCCAGATTAGTGCCAGAGGAAGTCCACTGCCTGTCTCCTCTCTTAAGGCCTCTTCTCTCTCCCTGAATTGTCCAAACACCCTGGGGCTTTTACTCCTTGCAAAGCAGCGAGTCTTGCTTCTAAATGCCTCCTGGAGAGAAAACTAGAGAATCTGATTAGTCTATTAGGAGCCTTATTTTCAACGTCTGTTGCTTCTGTTTGCCATACTGTGACTGTTGAAAGCTGCAAAAGTAATAAATAGGGAGTAGTGTTGTAAAATAAAGATGGGGGAAAAAAAAAGGCTTGATTGAGTCTGTTTTGAAAAATAAAAGTAAAGATCTTACTTGTATTTAAACATGAGCTATCTTTGACTATATATGTGTGTGTGTGTGTATATATATATAAATTTAGCATATACTGTAGTTGCAACAATGATTTAATTTTTCGAGTAAACAAAGAATGAATCAAGTGTTGATTTGGTGCTTGGGGGGATACATTTTCTAACAAAATTATTTGAAAGCAAATTTTGACACCCTTCACTTCACACTGACTTTTATATATAGCAGAATGACAAGGGTCACCTTGAGGAAAAGTGTGAGGGCTTAATCAATTTTGCTGAGACCCTCTCTTAATTCTTTGATATTCAAGTAATTCTTCTTTTGAAAAATGTATCCTGTTATCATTCTTGTTTTTCTCATCTTTAATTGTTAACTGGTCTAACACTGTTAGATATTCATTTGCTTATGGAACAGTTCTCCAAAATCATTTTCAATGGCTTTATAAAATCATGCATCTTTTGCAAGAGTAGCAGTTTTACATTGCAACTGAAATGCATTTTATTTACATTATATTGTGGGATGTTTATAACATCTGCAATCAGGAAAATTGACTGGCTGAGTGGGGATAGAGGCTGATATTAAGTTGGGAGGGCTATTTAAGTGAGGACTAATTTAGTAAGTGGTCAGTTCATTAGTGGATATTTTCCTGTTATGACCAATTTCTGCTTTCCTACACAACTTAGCAACTACTTGGATTGAGATAATAATGAATAGCTGGATAATAAGAAACTTCCGTACTACGCAGTACTAGAGAGGAATTAGGTGTGTATTGACATGGAAAAACATTCACAATGCATTGCTAACTATAAAAAACAAGTTCCACATGAATAGTATAACCATGTTTCTATGAAATAATAACAAATGTTAGTATATGCATAAGAAATATAAACAAATAAAACAACCTGGAAGATACTCCAAACTATTAGCAGTCATTTCTGATGAATGTGTGGGGAGTGGGGAAAATGACTTCATCATTTTTGAATATGATAAAATCTAATTTAAAATATTTTTAACTAGTGGACCAGGTATAGTGGCTCACACCTATAAACCCAATGCTTTGGGAAGCTGAGGCAGGAGGAACGCTTGAAGCAACATAGCGAGACATTGTCTCTACAAAAGAATTTTTAAAGAAATTAGCTGGATGTGGTGGCACATGCTGGTAGACTGAGCTACTCTGGAGGCTGAGGTGAGAGAATTACTTGAGCCCACAAGTTCAAGATTACAGTGAGCTGCTATGATCATACCACTGTACTACAGTCTGGGTGACAGAGTGAGACCAATATATATAACATACATATATTTAAACTAGTGTAGCTGAAATAGAACCAAAGTTGAAGAAGAAGAAGAAGGAAGAGGAGGTTGAGGAAGGGAAGGAGAGGAAGGAAGAAAAGGAGGGAGGGAGGGAGACAGACAGGAAGGAAAAAGGAAGATGGGCTGTCATTTGATTAGTGTCCAAACAGGGTATTCCTAGAGTTTTTATTAGCCCATTTTGAAGGGATGTGAAAGGTTTTTTCAATTGCAACCTATTGTGTTATAAATACCCCAGAGCTCATTTTCAAAATAACCAAATCACAAACATTTGTTGAGAATCTGTTATTTTCAAGGTACTATGCTGCACTTAGTGCTCAGAGGAATACAAGAATCTATAAGACTTCTAGCTTCTCTCAAAAAGCTAACAATTTAGTTAAGAATTCAGGAAAATCTTCACTTGAGATAGGGAAACTGCATCCAGCCTTCAGTGACCAAGATGGCACAGCTGTGTGATGGTGGAGAAACTGACTAGCTGACGCTTAGTCTTTGCTGCTGCCTAGTATTCTATGGGTTTAAGCATTAGATGAGAGTCAGGACTGAGTGCAAGATATTTACCTTCAGAGAAAAATGTAATTCTTTATTTTTCATAGGAAGGGAAACCCACAGATTGGTTCAAAGGCCAGTTAGAGCTCCATTCAGATTTGATGAGAGTATCAGGGGGCTTTTGACATGGATACTCATGAAGTGTGATGGTGAATAGTAGGGTATGTATTATTATTATCGCTGCCTCATTTTATAAACAAAGAACTAAGATTAACTCAGGTACACTCTGCTGCTAAGAGCAGAATCAGGATTTAAACCCAGTACCTCTGATTCCAGAGCCTGCATTCTTAATTTTTCAGATCCACTCCTTTATCCAAATGTACTGTCTAACTGCTAGGGTCTGAGATCAAAGGATGACCAGATCGCTCTTGTGCAAGGAAGAGATGTTCAGCATGGTACTAATCAATGTGTATATTTACTGTGTAGTTTACCCCAGAAGAAAAGAGGAAACCGGCTGCGTAAATGGAATTTGGAGGAAGGTAATACCTCCTGCCAAACAACATCGCTATCCGTGAAATCTCTACAGTCTTTCTGGATAAGAGGTTGCCAAGATTTCTGTAGACATGGTCTTCCTTTCCACTCCTGGAAATAATCCCTTTAGGGCAGAATTGAAACACATTAGCAGGTAACACTTTCTGCCTTTGTTCTTGTAGAGTGAAAAGAAACTGGGCCTTATATCCACTGTTGGGATGGTACGTGAAATGCAAACTACTCCTCTTTCATAGAAAATTTCTGGAAGTCATTGCCTTGAAAAGTTTTTAAAAAGTATTCTCAGCATCCTAAAATAATGGAAAATAACTTGTGAATAATCAGTGCTACGGTTTAAATGTGTCCCCCAAAAAGCACGTGTTGGAAACTTAACCCCCAATGCAGTAGTGTTGGGAGATGGGCCTAATGGGAAGTATTTAGGTCATGAGGGTGAACCCTCATAAATGGATTAATGCTGATTATAAAAGGGCTTGAGGCAGTGAGTTTGATCTCTTACTCTCTCTTGCCAATGTGATGCCTTCTACCATGAATGATGCAACAAGAAGGCCTTCACCAGATGCAGCTCCTCGAGCCAAATAAACTTCTATTGTTTATAAAAATTACCCAGTCTGTGGTATTCTGTTATAGCAGCACAAAAGGAACTAAGACAATGAGCTATAAATTATTTTTCCCTTCTTTGCTCTCTTTATCTCTGAGAATGTGAGGACTTAGCATTGAACATTGCAATGATTTATGGACAATGTCAAAGGTCTCTGAAAAATAATAATTTGCCATTTTGCTGAGGCAAGCATCAGAATCCTAAACATTATTGTCTGAGAACAAATCACTTGATTAGTGAGTGGGCCCAGCCATCCACCTGGTATTCACATCACAAGCAAGATCTTACAGCTTTCTTTAATTGTCATGTCTGCAATAAATCCTGTGAAGAGATAATAACTTTGTTTCTTTGTGAAAAATGGCCCTGTAAAGAAAGTCAACTGTTAGTGCTTGTGTTGAAAAGTGATGGCATTTATTAATTTGCATGATTATATTTAGATAATTACATGATTAGATTAATATTTAGAGTACAATTAGGTGCACAATGTTGACGGCTGCTTGATATACTTAGAAATTTGGAGGGTCTCTGTGTACAGAGACATTTCTCTATAGCCTGGCACATGTCTTCTTGGAAAATGGATGGCAAGAAAACTTCCGGCTTTACCTGTTGGTTACGGAAAAAAAGAATATTTTATATTACTGTGATCTTTTGGGAGGCAGGCATCTTTAGTAAACCAAATGTTCTGTGTCACTGCTAGGGTCTGAAATTGCTGTTTGGCAACAAAAGCTCTCTCGGGTCAGGGAAGCAGTTGCTTTCCCCTAAATTTTTCTTTTAAAAAATCCTCTGCAGTTGACCTCATTGTTCACCATTCTGCAGATGAGAAAGGACTCAATTGTTTTCAGCTGAGAGTTCCACATAGCAATCACAATAATGCCAGAATCATACAAACCACTGAATTAAGGTGGCTCCCCAACCCGCTATCACCAGGCTGTTGACAGGCGAAGAGCTGAAGCCATCTTTGATATATATTTCCCATCCTCTCTTCCCTGGAATGTTATTAGGCACATTAGGTTCTAACTGGAGCACTAATCATTGAATCATTTATTATTCTGCACATGCCCCTTACTGGTAGTCAGTGAAACTCAGATGAGAATACCCCACCCAGGATTTGATTGTGATGACACATGGCAAGATGTCAAGCATCTCCAGAGGCCTTAGATGTTTGGCCTATTGCCATTTGAGAAATGGCCTCTGATTTTCATTTAGACTTCATGAGGATGTTGCAAAAAATTGTTCTTATAACTGGTGCTATCTGTAATTCTTAATGGTAGTCTTGGAAATGTGGTAGCATTGTACAGTTGGGCTTATAGTCTCTGAAGAATCTTTGCTGTCTCAGAAGAACTCAAGGAAACTGAATTTCCAGACCTGGCAAAGATCCATTTTTTAAAACTGCTTGTTTAGCCTTGTTGCCTTGAGTCAAATAAAGCAAGTTACTTTATGAAGCATGAACAATGGCAGAAACATATCATTAAAATGTTAATTTAATTTGACTTGTTGAGGTAAGAATTCAGACAGTTTGGTTTACCGAAAAGAGACTGGGATTAGTGGTACTGTTGTTGATCTGGAATGAATCTGGTCATGTGAATGAGAGTTCTAAGGCAAAGAGAATGGGTGTAGTTATGAAGACTTTCTACCTTTGCTGTAGGTTCAGGACTAAAGTATAAAATGTGCTTTCTTCAGTTGTTCATTTTGTACTTTTGACACACATTAAATCCACTTTTAAGAGGTAGGTAAATTTAATATGTATTTGGCTGATAAGTTTAAATTTGTGATCATATGTTTTTCATTTATTCCTCCCTTTTCCTCACTTCTCTGAACCAAAATGGGATGAAGGTCTCATTCTCAAATGCTGTGATCTTGTTTTGCAAATCACCAACGGGTCCATCGTATAAGTTAAAACTTTGCAGGCCCAGGTGTCACAAGAGTATTCTTTTCTATTTGCCAAGATAAAATCCCGACTTATGGCTTGGGACCATATTGTAAAATGTAAATAACATTTTAATGAGTACTATAGAGGAAGACTTTGCTGGGCCAGTTGCCCACCACTGAAGGGCTGGATTTAAGTGTACCTTGGGTTATAATGAAACTAGTTTGGTGGTCTTAGCCTCCCTAGTAGACATTTTCCCACATTAGAAAACCAGCACAGGATTTCATGCAATTCCGTACAAAGGACAATTGCAGTTCTGCTCAAAACCAGAACTGGAGTGTGGATGGGGTAACTAGAGGAGAAGCTAGAGGAGGAAGAACAACAGGGAGCCTTTCAATCCAAAGTTAAACTCCTGCCTAGATTTAGGAGGAAAAGGGAAGGGGAAAAATAATTGCATATGTATTTTTATTTCTGTCCACATTCTGTAATCTCAAATACCATCTGAAGATATCTTCTCCTTTCCATTTCCTGCACTGTCCATGTTCTTGACTCTGTGAGAATATGTATTTCAAAAACTTTGACTAAAAGCATTGTGTTAACCTCTCTATACTAGTAACTCCAGCTCCTGGAGCTGTAGGACTCAACACCCACATCTCAACTAGATTCCATAGAAATTGTATTCATGTGTTTCTTACCTCTCCTGATTCCAAATTCATCTTTTCTAACTAGCTGCATCTCACTTGTCCCTTAACCAAGGTGCCGTCCCAGTTCCCATAGGGGGCCCTTTGTAATGACAGGTACACACCTTCATCTCTTAGTTTTTGCACTAGTCTATATGGAAGTTAATGCCTAATCATATACATTTGATACTCTATTACTGTTCTAATTGACTGACTGAAAGTATAAGCCAACCTTTTAAAGCTAGAGGAAGAAAACCCCAAGCGTAAGATGCTACACTCCTGACCTCACTATACTTCAACGAAAGAGAATTATTCAGTCCTTTTTCTCTTTGGAAAAAGACTCTGGCTCTAAATCCCTTAATGATTCTACCTGATTTAAATCTGACTATAATCCTGCATGGTAAATTAAGATTCTGCACCTTTTCACCCTTGCTTTTGGAATAATGTGTCTAACCCAACACCTGCCTAAAGAGATCAGATCCTCTAAATGATCCAAAGCCATTCTGCTTGGGAATGGAAACCGTAGCATCAGCTCCAAGAGAAGCAAATGGTGCTAACTCCCTCTGACTCGGACAGTGCTTCCACTCATGGGGGCTTCATAAGTGGTTGCATTTAGAGACCCGCTCCCTGAAAAAAAGGATATCTGTTTCTTCCAATTGCATGTGGAGTTCCCTGAACAGTCATTACAGGTCTCTTCCAGCATCCCCTTCCCTTCAATGTCCCCCACCCCCATTCCCACTCCCAGTAAAATTAGACAAGCCTATATTCTACTTAGAGGAAGAAGGTATTGTCCCTGGGAGGTTCCCAGGTCCCCAGCCATTAGAAGAAATCTCCAGGTCTGTCTCAGCACAGTACTTCCCTGTAGCAGGATAATGTGCCCTTCCTGGAGCTGGGCCGACTTTGCCCTAAGGTTACATTTCTACACAAAGAAGCCTTTAAGGGTGCTGTTGCAGGCCTCCACACTGGAGGTTTATATCTGTCAATCTTAGAAAAAAAGGAGGCTGTAATAAAACTGCAGGAGCCAGCAGTGGGGGATTACAACTCCAGGATCAGAGGAGGTCTGCCTCACAGCCCCGCTAGATGCTGAGATTGGCCTCTCTGAGGATGGAGAACAATAAAGCGGAAGGAATTTAAGTCAATTGGCTGCTGGATTGCATTAGCAGGACTCAGAGAAGGGGCACTTGCTGAGGGTGGTGCCTGGATTCTTGGCCGCTGCCCTTGTGCCAACCAAGCTGGGAGATCCAGAGTCTGAGGGAATGAGAAAAGTTCACCCAAGTCCAACAAGTTGGGGAGGCCTGTGGCATGCAGACACCCAAATTGGAGACTGTGTGTGCTGCAGCCATTGCAGCTCCAAGTGTAATTTAGTTGATTTACAGTTAATATGAGCAAATATTAATTAAGGTTTCAGTGAGTGACCATGATAGGCAGAAAAACAGGAAATACATCAGAAGGTGTGCTGGAACACTTTGCAAAGAAAACAGGAGGAAAAGCAAAAGTAGTGGCCTCTGGGAGCTGGGCAAAGAGAGTATTGGGGGAGTCTGAAAGTGGACCTGCCTGGTGGAAGGCATGCAGGTGGGGGAGGTGGAGTAGAGAATAGAGAAGAGAATAGCTGAGACTAGAGAGGACATCACTGACACCTGCCCAGCAGCTCTGCAGCCTTGAATTTGGCAGTGTGGTCCTGATGCCTGCATGGAAGGCTTGTTGGACCCAGCTTGAGAGCTTCCTAAAATATCCTTGGGCCTGATGCAATATCACTTTGTGATGGCACTGCATTGCGATGTGGTGACAGGATAACCTGGTGGTGGAGAGGGAAGGCCTTTTAT
This sequence comes from Homo sapiens, assembly GCF_000001405.40. NCBI lineage: Eukaryota > Metazoa > Chordata > Mammalia > Primates > Hominidae > Homo > Homo sapiens. Next base: position 81,850,742 of record NC_000005.10, read on the forward strand.
GTCTTCATATGATTTCATCTGAGAGAGGCCAAATGAGCCCGGCACTCCCAAAGGAGAATGGGTGGGTTGGAAGAGTGGTTAAGCTCTCTGATGTGGAAGGAATAGAGTTCCCGTCCACCCACCCCCACGACAGAGGGCTAGATGCCTGGGAGATGCTCAGTTAGGAGAGGGAAACTCTGGAGGACAATCCCAAGGGGCCTCTCAGCAGTTCACAGGGGCTCTAAAACGCTAAGGGGAGGAAGAGCAGTGTTAACATCAGCCTTCACCTGGAGAAGGCAGCACAAAGAACAGGGCAGCTTCCCCCTAGAATATGCCCTCTGAGTAAGGGAAAAGGAGTTGGATTGGGAAAGGAGAGACGACACAGGCCTAGTGTGGAGAAAGCCACCAGGAGCTCCAGCACTCTCCAAGGTTTGGCCTAGGTCATCTCCAAATAAAAACAGTTTGCCTAGCTCTAGGCAAGCCCTTGTTCTGCATAATGATTTGAATTTTGAAATGTGACTTAAACCTTGCAAAGGAATGCAACTCTTTTCTCCCTCCCCCAGGCCATTCTATCTTTCTTAGAGGGCCAGAGGTGGATCAGAGGGAGGAAGGTTTAAAATTTTAGCCCCTTTACCAAAACATGGAAAGTGTCAACCACTAAGTCTCCCGCCATCCCCGCCCCCAATGCTCAAAGTGTTCAAAACTAAAAGCTACAGCATCTTTTCAGCAAGTAATCAGCACAAGTTGAAAGGCACATGCTGTTGCATTTCTGATCAGATTGTATGTTAAGCAGGAAAATATACCCCCACCCCAACCCTTTTTGGCTAAATGCATGTCTGTTTAAAGAAGCCACCAGGCAGTGCCTCTCACTTTGTCTTGGCAGGGCACAACCATCAGACGAAGTGGGAGGAAGAAACATTAACTTCAACAGCTGTTTCTTGACCCCGGCTGTCAGTCTTCCCAAGAATAAATTTTGGAGAGTCCTATTTGAAACAAAGAGGGAGTTTTGGGGGAGAGAAAAGTTGGTTGGTTCCAGGGCGACCGCCCAAAGAAGCAGGGAACAAGATGTTTGCAGTTACCACGCAGCCTGCAAGCCTCTGCCGGGTGCAGGGATGGAGCAAAGTAACTTGAAAGCTCCCCTCTCGGCGCCCTGTGCCTGCAGCTTCCCCCCCTAACGCGCGCCCAGATCCAGCGCCGGTGGTAGGAGCCGTAGCTCGACTACAGTAATTCCCCAGCTCGGGCGGCTTGAAACTGCTCGGGCTGAATAGCATTTGCTGTTCCGTCCTGCGGCCGCCTCCCGCCGCGGCTGCCGCGCTCCCTGCAAAGCAGCTCTCATTATCCCGGAAGTTGTGCTGACACAGTCTCGCTGCCACCAGAAGTTTGTCAACATCAAACTTCTCCTGTGTGGGGTACGTTCACCTTCCACGAGTATTTAATCGAGCCAACAAGCAAACAAACAAACCCAAATAAACCTGCCCGTGATGTTGTGGTCTTTTTTTTTTTTTTTTTTTTTTTTTTTTTTGCTTTCCTGGAAAGCTGGAGCTGTTAGGAATGTGCTGGTGGGGTCTGAGAGTGCCTGTGGGGTGGGCGGGGGGGTGGGCGGATGGAGATAAGGGAGACGGCCCCCCGGGTGGGGAGTGAGGAAGGGGCAGCGGAGGCGGCAGGCGGGCAGCTAGAGCTGGGGGCGGGAAGGCGGCTGGGGCTGGGGGCCGGCGAGTGGGTCCTGCAGCCTCTTGGCTGCTGCTTGTTTGGAGGATGTACGGACAGGGGCGAAGGTGGCTTTGGGTCCCCCGACCCCGCAACAAAGGTTATATGGAAGTGATGGCGAGGCAAAGCTGGGAGGGCCGGGACGCCCACTGTGCTCTCCACACTCCTGCAGGACATTTCTGCAGACATCTCACGGCATCTTTCGGAATAAAGGGCATTGGGGTCATAAAATGTATTCTGAGACTTAAATTGCAACATTAAAAAAAATTCCATAGGATTGGAGGGCAGGGATGCACCATCATTTCTGTCTTTGAGAGGTCTCTTCTGGTATCCTTGATTAAGACCATTTGGTCTAAACTTAACTGACTTCCTCAGCCAGGTCTCGGCGTTTAGTTCAAGTTGCAGCAACACAGTTTGATGTTTGTGGTTTCCAGTTGCTCCCCTGCTGAGACGCTCCAGGTGCTCCACCAGCGCCTGGGGACTCTGATTAACACTTTCCATTCCATAGTTTTACCCGGACAGGGTCAATCCTGCTCAGATGATGGAGAGGACAAGGTCGGCCTTGCAGAGTTGAGACACAGGCATTCATGAAGGGGTGCTACTTGGGGGCCACAGGCTTTTGTGGAGGGGCTGGAACTTCAGACACTGATAATAACTTTGTATCTGCTTCGGAAAGCCACTAGTACTGCACTCAAACAGGGGAGAACAGAAAGGGGGTTGCGGTAATACCCCACGTGGTGTCCAGGCAGATGGGGCGGCTGAGAGAGTTCAGTATCTGTCCACCTGTGGGTGCAGCCACATTCTTCTCTACTCTTCAAAAATAAGTCGGAGTGAGTAAATATCTCTGAAGAGATTAATATTACTCATTATCCCACTATGATATTGTGGGAGTGGGGAGGCAGGTTTCATCCATTTAGGAAGCGAAGAGCTGAATTTTCTCTTCTTGTTGGTCATCTGTTAGTGAGTATGTTTTTAGGAAAATTAGGTCTACAGTCATGTATCTTCAATAGCAAGAAGCAAGATGCTTTCTCCTCTTTTTCAAACTGCCCTAAACTGGAAAATTGTATCAGTCTTAAGGGGCCAGCTTACCTTAAACAAAAAAACAAAATCTGAAGAAAATATAACCGGGGCGTTTCTTGAAACTGGAAGGTACTTTGGACAAACAGAAATCAAATGCATTAAAATACAGTTATAGAGCAGGCAGTCCTTAAATGCGCGCGCGCCCACACATACACACACACACACACACACACACACACACACACACACGGTGGGGGGATGGTGGCAGGGCAGAGAGAAATGTGTTTTTTGAAAAGTTTGGCTATTCACTACGGTAAAATTTTCCCCTTGGCCATGCCTCAAAAATTTCCCTTAATTATTTATTCAGACTCCTGTTCTTCGGGTGGTATTTCTATTTACTTATTTTCTTATAGTCCACAAAGTACTACTCAACATATTGGACCTCAGTGTGGACAGGTGAATGAAGGACATGTGGAGAATTCCATTTCCAACTCCATGTGCATGAATTATTTGCCCTGGTTGTTCATCTGTCATAGTGTAAAAAGCCTGATTTACAAAGACTGGAGGCCTTTCGCAGAACAAGGTATTGTATGCTTCCTATGGTTGGGCTTATTTACAAATAAAACTATTTTGCATTTCTGTCTGAAATTCCCTACTTGCACAAGGATAATTTTCAGAGTTTTCAGTTTCTAGTTCCGGAATGGGAGTGGGAAGCACGAGGAAACAATTTCTTTTTACAGTGATGTGAGCTCTATGCTCATCTGGATTTAGTTACTTCATAAGGTAAATATCACTAAATGTGCATTGGGGTCTTTAGAGATCTAAGGCGCTGGATGGGTGAAAATAGTCTACTGTGAAATGCTGAAGAATGTCAAACAACTGAATTCATTTGCAGAACTAATTGGGTCAACTATGGTGTTCTTTAAAGTGGAGATTGATTTGAAAAATTTGTAAAGTATTTTCAGTTTAATTTCAGTTACATTTAGGTTATATTAGTCAGCATGACTTTTAGAATTTTATCCTAGAAATTCAATTAAAACAGATCTTTCTGAAAAATATATACTTTCCAGTGAATAGTGTCCACTAATGAAAACATAGGTTTTGAATTTCATGCTAATTACATTTTTAAATAATGAAGTTCTTGTCATTATTTTTATTTAAAGGCAAAATATCTGCATAGATAATAGCCAAAGCTAACCAAACTGCTTTAAAAATTAATGAATATTAATGAAGTTCAGGAATAGCACAATACTGCCCCTGCCTGCCTCAGGGAAACAAATGTATTGACTTCATTCTCCTAAAATAACAACCCTTAGTTATTGATGGTTAAAATAATTTTATTGCTAAAAAGATGGTAGATAATGCATTTTTTGCAATTCTTAAAGACTTGGCCCTGTTGAATACACTAAGATCTTTTATCATTTTACATATCTGAATGCTATTTCTTTTCATTAATTTGCTGTCTTAACATATATCTTTCTCATTTTTCTAAGTTCTCCTCCCCCCTCGTTTTAGTAGTTCACATGAGCAACTCAGAGTTTTCAGGCCTTCTTCTATATTTGGTATATAGATAATAGCATCATTAGTCAGCGCTTTCATTCATCTAAATTTGTCTAAGCATATTGGAAGCTGCCCATGAAATTTTCCAATGAAAGTGACAAATGGACGTCAATCAAGTGGCCCCACCCATTTCAACCTTGTTTTGTATGATGTGTGAATGTTTGTGTATATTTCTTCCATAAAGATAGGCTAGGCTATTTTTTGATCTGGACATCTGCCTGCTAAGGCAAGTTTCCCAGGCAGATCACTGGTTGGCATTAGACTAAATTTGCAAAATTTAACACCAAAAAATGACAAAAGAAAAGAAATAGTATATGAAATTAAATAATGGCAGAATTCATTCCCTTAAGATAAATAATTTTTGATGCTCTAAATTTCAAGATTCTACAGTTTTACTTTAAATGAATTTGTAATGAGAAAGGTAAAATCATTTCAAGTAAGCCAGCAAATTTGGGTCAAAATGAAAGCAGTTCTGTGAGAGAGAGATACCTGCTTCCTATAGGGCTGTTTGGGATTTTCTGTCTGCTAAAATATATATGTATTTTAATACCTATGCATACTATATTCTCTCTCTCTGTCTCGCTGTGTTTGTGTGTGTGTGTGTGTATTTGTATTATGCTACATTCATGTCCTATTTCTATTTTCCTTCTTTGTTTTTAATAACCAGTCCAATCTCTAATGCTATTTTTTGGGTGAATGTGCTTATTAGGACTTGCTGCCAGTTTTAATCTGAGATTACTTTGACTGCACTTGAAATCTGTTGCTGTTTTATAACCTGTAACATGTTTTTACATGTTTGGGAGTGCTACTGCTGCTGCTGTAAAAAATTCTGTGTTGAAATTATAATGAGTTTATGTATTTAGCCAAAAAGTACCGTATGCTGAAATGAGACAGGAAAGATTCTAAAATCCTAAATGGGTTAGTAAACCCTTGATAATAATTGTAGTTTTATAGATAAAAATATCTTTAACGTTTTCACACAACATAGAATAGGTTTTTTTCCTCAAGTTGTTATAGAATCTCTTTGTCCATAAGGAATATTAAAGAAAAGTTTAGCATTTGAAGTTATTCTATTTGGGAATGCTTTGGAGTGAAGCTAATCTTTACACCCAGGACCACAGATTGCAATTTCACTTACCATTATCCATGGCAGGATGTTTAATTTTACTCCTGCGACCCAAAGAATTTTTAGTGAATTTTTAAAAGTGGAATGTGGAAAGTATCTCCAGCTCATTGCAAATGTGGGAATTAGATAAATAATGCTCTAAATGACCATTTATTCTATGACTTGTTATTATAATGAGGAGACATGAAAAAAAGTTAACTAAACTGTGGGTTTAAAAGTTTAGAATATCTTTTGACTGTGGCTGTAATCAGAGTCATCACGGCAATTACATTTTAGCATGTCATGATTTCTTTGGTCCACAATTGTTTTTCTTTCCAAATGTGCTGTATATAAAGGTAAAATTGAGATTTTTTCTAATGGCTTATTCTGCAAGCTAAACTTGTTTTCTAAAAACCTAATCAGACATTTCTTTCTGTTTATATGGAAATAAAGAATCTTGAATTAGGAAAAGAACCTGGTTCTCTTGCTTATGATTTTGGAAACATAGCAAAAATTTTTAATATATAGATTTATGTTATAGGGATAACTGCCTTTTTATGGTGGGCGGTGGGGGGTGCGGGAAGAAGCCTCGGTTTTGTTAATAAGCAATACCAACCTGGCTTGGAACTACTACTAAGAATTAGATATGAAAAGGATCAAGCTGCTCTAACTTAAATTTCCAGATATGTAACATGTGCGATGGCCACTTACCTAGTGGAAAAATAATATGTTTACTTTCCTACAATTTTCTGAATGCATCCTACTTTGGAGATTTACATATGATGGAAATCTCTGTGTTTAGGAGCCTGGTGTGGGAAATCTGACCTGCCAGGATTCTCCAGCCTTGCCATCCTTCCTCCTAGCTGGTGGTTCCTTCTTTATGCCACACGCCTGATTCTTCTCCTCTAGTCTGTATCCTGTAGTGTGCCCCCATCAGGCCTCCTCTGGCAGAGCACAGATTAACAGGTTCAGCCTCACTTAAAAGCTCTTTAAAGATAAAATTAGCCAGGTTTATTTCCGCCCCCACCCCCAAAAAACTATTTTTAGTCAAAGGATCTTAAGGATGAAGAAGTTCTAGAAGAGGCCTGTAAGCAGAGGCTGCTTTCAGGTTGTGGTTCCTGGAGAACCCACAGCCCAGGGCCCAGAAGCCCTTTAAAGTATTTTATGACCACTGGAGGGCTCAGAAGGAATCCCTAAATGCCTTTAAAAGTCCCAGAACCCTCCCCATTTAGCCCATGCTTGTAACCATACTGCGCCATTCCCATAACAAGGGCATGAAGAAGCTTTTGGGTAGGCTTGGAAAAATGACAGGGATGGATGTGTCCCATCTCACTGTTCCAAGGAGAAGATTGGAGGACAGGCAGCTGAAGGGACAGATACCCTGTCCAGACACTTGACAACTCCTGGGCAGTGAGCCAAGCAGTGGGCCAAGCACTGGGCACAGCTCCAGAGGCCGGGCCTATGCCCAGGGCACTCAGTGATTTAAAGCTGGCAAAAGAGAACGCTCCTGTCGGCAGGAAACTGAATTGAACAGATTGGGAAAAAGCAAAAACAGGCTGCCCAGGACGCTGTCTCCCTGGACTCAGTTTTCAGTTGTCAGCGGCAACCTGGGGTAGAGCAGATTCTGCATTTCCTCCTGCCTAGGAGGCTGGTGGAGGTGGGACCGAGTCCAGGGAGTATGCAGCACGCGAGGACCCAGCACAGGGAGGCACAGAGGAGACGCCTGGCACATACCCCACCGGGGAGAAACCTTGGCGTGGCAAAGTCATCAATTCAGTATTTTCCAGGCTAGCTTTGCCTGGGCTCTGGAGTGCCCTCTCAAAGTGAGTGCTGGGATAAGAACAGGGTTTTTCCTGTGAGTCTTGATGCTTCATAATTTCTGTAAAATGTTAGCACTTCCTTGCCCAGGGATTTATCTCAAAAAGTATCTTAAGAGAGTAAGAGAAAGAACAAGATTTTCTCAGCCTTTTATTTCATTTCTACTTTTTAGTGCTTACCCTGATTTTATAAGAAAAAGAAAAATTGAAGGCTAGGAGAAATCCCCCCTCCTGTTGCTATAGCATACTCATGCTTTTGATGTGCTGAACCACTGCAGCTATTTCTCAAGGGTTAAACGTTGGAAAGTCAGTCCTACTTCCCTACTCCTAGAGGAAGGCAAAATAGTTAGTTTCAGAGAATTCTGGACCTGGGGGAACCTAGGCATTGGGTTAGAGCCAAGAGAACATGAAAGAGAATGAAGCTTTGGATTTGCAGAAATCCAAATGGGCTTCAGGTTAATAGTGGGGGATTTGAGCTGATGGCTCACATAATTAACAGGGGGAAAAAACCTCCAGATTTTTTTTCCCTTTCTCTTTAAGTAAGAAATGACAATGAAACTCAGTAGTCATCTCAGACCTCCTGAACCAGCATCTTGGGTGGGGTGGGAGTGTGCTCAAGAATCTGCAGTTTCAACGGTTTCCTAAGTGATTTTTATATATGCTGAATTTTGAGAGCTACAGCCACACAGCTTAAGAATAATGTCATCCTTCTATGGTCCCAAATCATGAAGGGAAATAAAGACTTCATCTGAAGTCATTTCTGTATTATTTTTGGAAGCTGTAATCATTTTATAGGACATTTACCTTTCTAGTTGCCTTCATGTAGGGCAGATTTTATATTGGTAATGCTTGGCAGCAAAGGGTTACTGAGTAATTTAGTCTGGCTCTTAATAATTATAACAGCAAAAAAAAAATTGTGCTCCTCAATTTTCTGAGTGCTCACATAGAGTATCCCCATTGTACAGATGCGGACATTTGGGCATAGAGAAGTCAGGCAACTTTTCCGAAGTCAAGGTGAATGGTACAGCCAGGTTTCCAACTAAAGCATGTGGGGGTTAGAGATTGTTACATAGGTAAAGCTCCTGACACATAATAGTCGCTCAGTGAATAGTTGGTCTTACTATTACTAGGCAATGGAGTACAGCAAATGGTGGCTCATCCACACAGAAATAACCAGGAATTGACTGGACTTTCCAATCAGCAGCATGGTTGCTTTTTTTTTTTTTTTTTTTGAGACAGAGTCTTGCTCTGTTGCCCAGGCTGGAGTGCAGTGGTGTAATCTCAGCTCACTGCAACCTCCACCTCCTGGGTTCAAGTGATTCTCCTGTCTTAGTGTCTCGAGTAGCTGGGACTACAGGCAGGTGCCACCACGCCCGGCTAATTTTTGTATTTTTAGTAGGGATGGAGTTTCGCCATGTTGGCCAGGCTGGTCTCAAACTCCTGACCTCAAGTGATCCACCCGCCTTGGCCTCCCAAAGTGCTGGGATTACAGGCGTGAGCCACCACGTCTGGCCTCCATGGTTGCATTTTGTTGGACTTGCCCACCTAATTCATCCTTACTTTGTATTCAGATGTCATTTTGTGGTCTCTATACAGTGCTCTGATTTGGGACCACAATGATTAGGTGCTGAGTAAACCACAAGGCTAGAAACCTATTACTGGGTTTATCTAGTGCCTATCTGGATGAAATTTTAAAATTGTGTCTAAATACCCAAGACAACTGGCTGAATTTTTCTTGACTAACGTACACAACATCTAAGGAAAATTTCTTTAAAAGGGTAAGTAGCGATGATGCTGCATGGCATCTCCAGAGCTTTGAAGTCAGTTTTAAGAAATTGATTTGGTTACATCATTGCTTTATGAAGGCCGTAAAGTCTGTCAGCGCCTCCTGGTTCATCTCTCTAGACAGACATTCCAACATGCCTCTCACATGTTGTTCCCTGTGCTCGGAATAGACCTTCTTTTCTCTCTTCCTGGAATGCTCCAATTCATTCTTCAAGGCCACATCTCAAATGTTACGTTCTGTGTGAGGTCCCCTCATCCCAATTCCCCAGAGAAAATTACTCTCCTCTGTGCTCCCACAAAACACAGTCACACTGGGTTACAGCACTGTTACAAAGCACTGAATTGAAATGATCTGTCTTTTGAGTTCTTTCTGGCCAAGAACTTTGATTTACTCATCTTCCTGTGTGTCACGAACTAGCACAGTCTATGGCACAATTTTCAGTGCTATATAAATGCTAGTTAAATGAATGAAAAGTTTTAAGTCGTGTAGGTTTTTAATTTATTAATATTAGCCCACTTATGCCTAGTGTTCCATTATTGGAACACTAAGCATGTGGGAGTTATTTATATCCTGCTGCTCAAGGTCATTGCCAAGGTCTGATTGGAAAAATTCAAAAAATTGCAGCCTCAGGCATAAATGGGTTAATAGGAGTTTGATTATACAAAGTCATCTCACTGGTTTTCAGTGGGCTGACCTAGAAGTTCTTGGTCATTCACTGTGATAGAAGAAATGAACTCAAAGAAACGAGCCTGCCTTCATGCACTTACATACTTTGTGCTGTCATCTGTAGTGGTGGAAGTCATACTTAACAATACGATCTGGGTTAGGTTAAAGACAACAAACATCAGAAGGAACAATGCTGCAACTGTGTTGCTAGGGATAGAAACCCAGTGTAGATGGCCTTGGTTTAGCATCCTAAGTTTGGAGTTAAAGATGGACTGGGAACATTTTAAAACCAATAATGTCTGAAAACTGAAAAATTTTCAGTTCTTCCTTGTTCCAAACTATGCTATATTTTCCCCTCCATTATTCTCTACCTTTATGTAAAAATTCTGCTCTTCATGGCAGTCTTGAGCTAGTGGTATATAGGGAATTAAGAGGAAAGTAAAGTGAAGTAAGGTCTTTCCATCATTTCTCTTTGGCTAAGACCAACACCTAGTCAAGAAAGCTGGTATCTTATAGTTCCAGTGGTGACCAGTGGTAGAATGCCTGAAGATTCTGGGCCCCGTATGCTGTGGCCACCACCTTTCTTTCTGGCATTATCTAACAAAACAGGGTTTCTGTATCTTTCTCTTCCAACCACACATGTCTGATGCTTGATGTGCTTCTTCTTAGAGACAATTTGCATATACTGTTCCCTTTGTCTAGGGAGCTCTTCCATTCCCTTTATGTCAAATTAATTTTTTCTTATCCTCAGCTTAATCATCATTTATACAGGGAAACCTCCCCTACCCTCCCTGACTAGGTAATCTCCTTTCGGTAGCCTCTCCTTAATGGCAAGCATCACAGTTACAGCTTAGCATTTATTTGTAAGATTATCTCATAAATGTCTGCTTCCCCTATAGTTTTTGTTCTGTTTTGGATATGGAGTCTCACTCTATCGCCAGGCTGGAGTGCAGTGGTGCAATCTCGGCTCACTGCAACCTCCGCCTCCTGGGTTCAAGCGATTCCCCTGCCTCAGCCTCCCGAGTAGCTGGGACTACAGGCATGCACCACCACGACTGGCTAATTTTTTGTATTTTAGTAGAGACGGGTTTCACCATCTTGGCCAGGATGATCTCGATCTCCTGACCTTGTGATCTACCTGCCTTGGCCTCCCAAAGTGCTGGGATTACAGGTGTGAGCCACTGCGTCCCAGCCACCCCTATAGTTTTAATGAGGACAAAGACCTCATCCACTTCTGCACCGTTATATCCTGCTTCATAGCAAAGTGCCTGATGCAAAGTGGGCCTCAAATAATATTAGTTGAGTGAAGTCAGACAAAGAAGCAGGCTTTGGTGTGAACTGAACCAGAAGCAGATACGAGAAAAAAAAAAGGTTTCCCCAGATACACTAGAGGTGGGAGACTCGTGAAACGGAAAGCAGCAAAGGCTTGGGTTGCATATCCATTCATTAAGTACCTCTGATGTGCCAGGCTCTGAGCTAAGTCATAAGGATACATAATGAATGAGACACTGAGCCTTGCCCTCATACTGTCTTTAAAGTGTCTCTCAACCATGTACAGGCTAATGATAATGATGTTGATGTAATAATAATGTAAGAGTGACAATGTGTATTGTATATTGAGCTTCTACTATATACTATATACAGCATAATGTAGGTGCCTTATATTTATCAATTCATTTGATTTTCACACAACAACCTGAGGTAGGCATTTTACAATCACTAGATTATAGTGGAAGAAATAGAAGCCTCAGAGGATTTCTTCCTCAATATTACTCATCTAGAGCTGAAACTTAATGAGAGACTCTGGTCTGGATGACTTAGAAGCTGTATTTTTGAATATTAGAGAGGGGAATAAAAGTTGGGCAGAAGTGAATCTGAAATCCCCCTAAATTCTCAAACTCTAATGTCTTATCCTCTGACAACAGCCTCCTGTCCTTCTAGGTCTGACTTTCTCTCACCCCAACCTCAATCAACCCAGCAGAGATCCTTAGAGCCTCAATGTTTTCCTTCTCCTGTCCACTGGCCTCCTTCCAGCCCCACTTCTGTCCTTACTTTCACCAAGTCTTGATCCCATCACAGCCCTCTACTTCCACTGCATCCATCAGTGAAACCTCAATGCTTTGATCAACTTTCTTTGCTCCTGCACAATTTGATCTTCTCATCACCCTCATGGAGTTGTTAGGAGGATTCAGTGAGTCAGTACATGCACTCTCTAAGAACAAGGCCTAGCATTATTACATGGTATACATGGCAGTATTGTTATTTACCCATGAGTAGCTAATCACAGTTGGATGGAATCTTGGCTGTGCTCTTAGTAGACCTCAGCTGGATCCTAAATGGTTCTGCCTGTCGATATTGTTACTTGGCAAAGTTAAGCTCCCAGATATTTTTGAGGATGATTCCAAATCTCTACTGTTCACATAGTTTCTACTCAGCTCCCAATACCCTTGGTGTCAGCAAATGATCTTGGCGTCAGACATCTCTTGTGGCTTGTTCTGCATCCATTCTCCTTTTATTCTGTTAATAAAACCGCTCATGCACCATTCTCATGCCTGTGGTTTGGGTGAACGATCATATCCTCTTGTCCATAGTGACTGGTTCAGAGATAGGCATTTGACCCAATGTGAGCCAATGAAAATTTTTCCTAGGACCTTGAAAGTATGACTGCAAAAGAGACACTCTTGGCCGGGCGCGGTGGCTCATGCCTGTAATCCCAGCACTTTGGGAGGCCTAGGCAGGCGGATCACCTGAGGTCAGGAGTTCGAGAGCAGCCTGGCTAATATGACGAAACCCTGTCTCTACTAAAAATACAAAAATTAGCTGGGTGTGGTGGCGGGTGCCTGTAATCCCAGCTACTCAGGAGGCTGAGGAAGGAGAATCTCTTGAATCTGGGAGGCGGAGGTTGCAGTGAGCAGAGATCATGTCACTGCACTCCAGCCTGGGCAACAAGAGTGAAACTCCATCTCAAAAAAATAAAAATAAATAAAAAGAGAGAGAGAGACAGTCTTTCCTGTTGAGATCATTGCTGCTAAGTAGTATAAAAGAATGGAGATGTAGTCATGGGGATAGAGCAGGCCTGGAAATAAAATAAAATAAAAGCAGAAGAAAACAGCCGAGAAAACGACAGATTCTTTTATGCCATCACTTGAATCTCTGGCTCTAGCTACACCTCATGACAATACACCCCTTTTCAGTTTTGTGAACTAATACACTTCCTTTTTTGACTAATATACTTGCCTCATAGTCACTGATAAAATGGGGGTATTGCCATTGCTATTCTTGATGCCTGCTTCATCAGTACGTTTCTCTTCCTGGCTCACAGAATGAGTGCTGCCCCCCTTATTCAAGGCTCACCCCTGTTCCTTTGTACACATTTCACATTCATTGGTGCCTTCCAGATTTTATCTCATAATTCATATCTCTCTTCTATCTTCAACTGTTCCCTTTCTACTGGTCCTTTACTTTTAGTCTAAAATGTGCTCATTTTCCTTTTTACCCAAACTACTCAGCATTAGCTTACATCATTCTCTTCACTTCCTTACCTTCTATTCTTCTCTGTGTTTACTGCTTTCACCTTCCCCCGCTTGTGGGTCACCAGTGATTTCATACTGGCAGATGTGATGGCATTTTTAGACTGGAGCTAATGGGACCTCTCTTTTACATTGGACAATGTCAGTCACTTTACTTCTTAGAGCTCTCTATCTTGTTCCTAGGTTCCAAGACACTGCTCTCTCCTAGCCCCCTGAAAACCTTCCTAGTCTCTCTCTCTGTCTCCCTTAAAGGTTTCCCTGCTGTCCACTGCTCTTCTCATGCTACATATTCTCTTTGGGCGATCTAACTACTCCACAGTTTTATTTTTTCCCTTATACTGATGACAGTCAGATCTATATGTATCCACTCCCATGCTCTACTTGGAATTTCAAATATTTTCTGTATGTTTACACCTTGATGTTCCAAAGGTATCTCAAATTCAACATAATAAAAACATGACTTATTATCTTAATAAAAACATAACTCCCAAGTCTGCTTTCTCTGCTATATTCTCTATCTCAGTTTACAGTATCACAATTTCAGCCATGCAAGCCAAGTTCCTAAGTGTCATTTTTGTCTTCTGATCTTCACTCTCAAAGCATTGTTGACCTTCCAAAATATTTAGTGAGTTGATTTCTCTTCTTGTAGCAGATGCTGATGGCCATCTACCCAACTAACATTCTCCTTGCCTTCTCGCTCTAATATCCGCATGACTAGTAAAGCTATGTGCTTGAGGGAAAGCTGGCATTAGTCTCAGTCCCAGCTCCAAAGAACGAGTCTTGATTTGTCTACTGTAAGTCAATTGTGACCATTCTTGTCAAATTTTTAGTTACTTAGTTATCTATAAAAAATATTTGACTCAGATATGAGGAAAAGAGTCATCAGATTTTAATTAACAAAGGCAAAAGAACAGGAATTATAAGGTTGGGAGGAAGAAGGAAAAAAATTCACATTCTGGGAACAGTAAATCTTACTTTATATTTTGGGTAAACTGATTAGCCAGCAGCTGCTTTTGTTCATTCTGCTGCCACATTTTGCAAAGTCTTTTACCCTCTCCACCTTCTGCTAACTCAGGTATTACATTCTTTAGGAAAACTTCCTAGCAAACTCCCAACCCCTGCTACACACCCCAGATGAATTAGAAACCCTTTCTTTGTTTAGGACACACACACACACACACACACACACACACACACACACACACACAAAGAGTTTGCATGCTAGATACTAGATTACTCTTTTTCTAGTTGGGGGCTTAGGGGCTAACGTTTAGGGAAGCCAAGAAATGTGCTACCACTAAATGCAGACCTAGTTGGGTATGGTGAGATTTTTTAAAAAGGGAAGAAAAGGCCATATTAGTTGCCTCTGATTAGTTCTGACTAGGAACTTTGGTATTCTGTCATTCTAGAAGTTAGATTATCTCATATACCTCATTTGTGAGATGTGTGATTACTAAAGTTGAACTCCTAAATAACTGGAAAGAAACTCTCCTAGGAAACATATACAACTGGATCTGTCATTTATTTAGCATTTTATTCAAATGTTATAAGTGCTTCATAATAGCCTTGTTAATTAGTATTTGCCCAAAGGCAACTAATAATTTACTGGACAAAGTGTAAAAGTTCCCATTTTATTTATTTCCTCTACGTATTTTGTATGGAGGACAACAACCCACAGACCTTCCATTTTTTTTTCCTTTTCCTTTTGCAAGTTTTCAAGTATAATGAACGCTCATCATACCTTTCACCTAGAGTCACCAATTATTAACATTTTGCCATATATGCTTTGTCTCTCTCTTCTTCCCTCTCCCTTTCCCCACATGAACACATACCCCCTGCTTGCTTTTTTTGGCTGAACAAGCTGAAAATAAGTTGCAGACATCATCACTTCACCCCTTCATCCTTAAGCATGTGTCTTCTAAGAATAAGGACTTTCTCCTACACAGCTGCAATATCATTGTCACACTCAAAAAATTTAGCATTAATACAATAAAATGATCTAATATACAGCCTATATTCAAATGTCCCCCACTGTCCCAATTCTGATCTTTTAGCTGGTTTTTCCCTCCTGGATGTTATCAAATATTGCATTTAGCTGTTATGCTTCTTTAGCCTCCTTTTGTCTAAAACAATCCCTCCCCTTTAAAGAAAAAAAATTTCATGACATTGACGTTTTTAAAGAATCCAGATCTGTCATTTTGTAGAATGTTCAACAATATATATCTGAGTGGTGCTTTATGGTTGGATTCAGGTTAGGCATTTTTGCCAATACTGCAAAAGTTGTATTATTTTCTTCTCGGTGCGTAGCATGAGAAGGTTGTTTCATTGTTGGTGATATTGAGTTTGAACATTTTTCTTTTTTGTACATTTACCAACTGAATTATTTATTATGGGAACCTCATAGAGATGAGACCAATATCTTCATTTACTGATCACTTAGTAAAGCAAAATGGAGAATAAGATAACTATATTTTTAAAAAACCTAAAATAAAATGGTCGGGTTTCAATTGTTGGGGTATTTTCATTAAAACATTTTTAGAATCTTACGAAACAGAATTATCTTCACAGTTGTCTCAAATCTGCAGTTCTCTTTGTTCACACAGATCTAGCCAGCTAATGGCATCTATTATCTCTAATTCACAGATCAGCACAAAAATCAAATGGCTTAAAGGCAACACAGTATAATGGTAAGAAGAGATTAATCCAGAGTCCAGAATCATCAAACTTTTCTCATGACCTTAAGCAAATCATGTGCTTTTCCTGGGCCTCAGTTATCTCTTCTGTGTAATGGAGAGACAGGGCTTCAGGATCTTAAAAATTTTTTATCATTTTAAAGGTTCATTCATATGTGTAGTTAACTGCTGTATATTCTGAATTGTATTGACTCCTAATTATAAGTGCTTATGCCTTGTGCAAGATCAAATTAATTATTTTTACCTGGAGAAAATAGTAGAATTTTGGAAATAACTAGGAGGTATAGAAATTATGCCACCAGCCTCCCACTTGATGTAGGAATCCATCTGATTGGTGGCCATTTAGTCTGTGCTTGAACACTTTAGGTGATACGTTGTATGTGCCTGAAGCAAAGTGTGCAAGTGTGGATTCTGAAGTTCTGCCTTAGACATATTAGGTCCTCCCTGATGCTCTGTGAAGTCCCTGGTCTCACCTTCTCTTGACCCCCCAAATCCCTTCCTTCATTCTTCTTCAACAATACACCTGCATATCTATCCCTGGAATTCACAGCTCAGTTCTTCTCTGCCTCTGTTATCTGGGCTCTTGGTCTCCCCTTTGACACCCCTTCTATCCTTCTTATTGTTCTTGAATAACACGAGGAGATAACATCCCTGGACAATTCCCTTACCTCCTGTCTAGTCCACCAGTTTCTTCTGACTGTATTTATCTCTTGCCCAGCATGGGCAATCACTTCAGCGTTGCCCTTACAATTTCCTCAACGCCCACAGCATTTCTAATTATACCAGGTATACTTGAACATTTATTTATACGCCAAATACTGCATAACATAGTTGCATAATATAGAACAGCTGTGCAGGGACACAAAAAAATCAACTTGTGAAAAATTCTGTAAGGTAAGTGTACACTTTTGAGAATGAAAATGTGTATTTTACTATATTGTAACCTGACCAAGTACATACCACTGACCAAATCATATACCTTACTCATACAGAATAATACTAGCAACTTTTCCAGGTGAAAATGAGATAGTTTGCCAATTTGCTAATGTGAGATCGAAGATACTACATACATAATCTTAAATGCCTTAAAATATCAAGGGCTGCAGACATATGAGGTAACAAATATTCCCTCTGATGTGTAGAGATGTGTTATGATTTAAGGTGAAGATGGAATATAATGATTATAGATCATGAAATGTGACCCTGAGGTATTGGAATTTTGCAAGAATAAATAAATATATCATATTTCAAATCAACATACGTTTAATGCTAATGTAAATCATGGGCATCTTTCTTCATGTTTTACTGTTTACATGTTTTACAAAGACTTTTTTCCAGCTGGGCGTGGTGGCTCATGCCTGTAATCCCAGCACTTTGGGAGGCCGAGGTGGGCAGATCACGAGATCAAGAGATTGAGACCATCCTGGCCTACATGGTGAAACCCTGTATCTACTAAAAATACAAAAATTAGCTGGGTGTGGTGGTGTGTGCCTGTAGTCCCAGCTACTTGGGAGGCTGAGGCAGGAGAATCGCTTGAACCCGGGAAGTGGAGGTTGCAGTGAGCCAAGATCGCACCACTGCACTCCAGCCTGGCGACAGAGCCAGACTCAAGTCTCAAAAAAAAAAAAAAAATTAATTAAAAAAAAAAAAGACTTCTTTGCAAGGTCTTAATGTGAGTGGTTATATCTGGAAATCAGAGTAAAATATTAGTTCTAAGAGGTGAATGATCTCTGTTAGAGATCATTCATTCCATAAGTGAGGAAATTGAGACCCGAAGGGGCAAAAATCACTTTTCCAAAGTGACACAGCTCTGGTGGAGCCATGTCAAGAGCCTGATTTCAAGGTCAAGGTACTTTTCCCAGTGATTTTCGAACTGTCTTTCTGGGAGCCTTAGAGGTCTCTGGAGGTGCCTTCAGGCCACTTTAGGGAAGATAGTTGATTGTTTCTCACTTTCTTCAACTAGAACCACACTACTTTTGAGTGTTTTATATATTGTGATTTCATTTAAAGATTTGAATTACAGAAAAGCATCCTAGTGTTAAAATATATACATTTAAAAAAATTGGTAACCATGCCTAACTCATCCAAATGTTGATTAGAAGTTTTTTCCCTGTAGTCATTACTCAATATTAGTATGAAGTTCTAAATTATTTGCACTTCTTATATTTTTGTTTAAATTGGTTCTTTAAGTAAATGCATCATAAGTGGTTTTCACAGATTAAGATGCAGCAAAGAAAATTGAATAAAACTCTCTCTTTGCTATCTTCATAATCAGCCAGCAGGCTACTTATTGATTTCACAATAAAAAGAAATAAAATATGGTAGAGGCCATGAGATGAAATAAAAACCAAGCAGGTTTAGGTTTCTATAAACTCACCCAGCACTCACTTGGTGGGAGCATGATGTATTGTGTATAAATGGCTAGAAGACTATCAGATTCATACTCCTGTGTAGCAGGAACATTGATTTCCACAGCTCTATTCCTTCTCAAGAATTTTTTCCCCCAGGAACACAAATGTTGATGGATATCAGGTTAATAACAGCATACATTTCCCTAAGTTTTCTTGCATGTTACTATAAATAGCAAGACTCCCCTTTCAAACATTATGATGATAGTAGCTATCCATGTCTTCCTTGGGTCATTTTAGTCCCCATGAGCTTTCTGATTTTCTAGTTAGCTGATGTTTGTGAAGTTAGACTATTTAGTGACTAAAATTTTTTATTGATGATGTGTTTTCCTTAAATTCTAAAAAGGATTTGATCACCAAATAAATTTGAATAGACTGCTAAAATAACATCCAAGCATGCACATTTTTCGAAGAGGTTGTTTTCTCCTTTGGGATAAACCTAGTTTGCACAATGCTAATTCACAAACATTTTGGATTTCAGTTACGGACCTCTTTCCTGTGTAAGAGAAGTTAAGTTTAATGAAAATGCAAGCATATCTCAAAAATACCAGAAACATGGATTTCTCTTAAAAAAAAAAAAAACCATACCTTTTTCAAACTTTCACAGAAAGTTAAGATTATCTGAGCTATAATTTCACTCTTTTGGCACTTTAATAGGCATATAGCTTTCCTTAATCCAGTTGTTTCCCTTCACTACCTGTGGTGATGTGGTTGCACTATTACATGCCAAAGATGTGCACTAAACTGGCAATAATGTCTCTAAACTAATCCAGCAAGAGGAGAAAAGTGATTAGAAAGGAGACAGTTCCCAATGGAAGATGGATAAGCTATTTCTAGAAACTACTATTACTACTGAAAAAACTAATTGCTTTCGTCTCGTTTGGGAATATTTCCTCCAGTTCAAGAAGGAGAAAGTGTGAAGAAACCTCACCTTGCTTCCGCTAATAATGCTTCTTCCTTGAAATTGCAGAGAGCCTTGGTCTCCAAAGCAACTTTTTGAGACAATAGACTATCTGTGCTTAAGAGAAGAAAGATTAGAGTGTTTCTGTGTTTTTGAGTGATTAGATCAGTAACTCATTTGTTCATTTAATAAGTATTTATACTGTGCCTGCTATGTGGCAGGCACTGTGCTATACAAAAATAGCTAAGATAAAGTCTCTTTACTGGATGAGTTTACATATTAATTCTACTATGACTCCAGTAATAATAGATAATAAGAAAAATGACTATGGAAGTCCCAGGAGAAGGAGCACCTTTATATATCACTCTGGTGTCTTTTAGGGCTTTGCAAAATTTGTTTTCAGCCAGGTCTACCATAACTTACATTGTTTTTGCTTTTTAGGCTAATAATTTATTATGGATATGGCAAATACATTATATATTTTAAGTTCTCTAAAGTTCAATGTAATATACTAAAAATGCATCATGAGATCTGGGGATTTTGGGCCTGAAGATGGAAAACAAGAGCCTCACAGTTCTCTAAGTTACTGTTCTTCTTGGCATGGTATTATGGAAAGAACATAGGATTTGATCTAAATCCAAGTTCTTCCAGTCATTAATTGAATTAGTAAGAGCAATCACTTAGTTTTCCCCAGTGTTGGTGTCCTTATCTGTAAAGCAGAGCTAAAAATAATATCTGCCTTGTGAGGTTGTGAGAAGCAATCGAACTAATATGTGTGAAAGCACTCTGCAGAATTTAAGGTTCAATAAAAAATTGCTTTCTTAGAGCAAACATACAACGATGTCCATTCATCAACATGGCAACAATATCGTTGTATTCATAGTATCAACCTTTCCAATAGAGCACTTGTCAGAATCCCTAATTGCAAATGACTGCAGTGCTGTGAGTATTCTTGGTAATGGCCACAGGGCTAGTTAACACTTTTAAGTAATAATTATTAGATTTCACAGAAAGAAATTTCTATTTCTTTTCATGAGGAGGTTACCAACTATTTAAAATGTACATAAAACTGGATTAATATACTACAAATGCAAGCTGAAGGAGAATCATCTCCAGGATGACGTGACACGGTAATAAAAACTTTTGTCCTGAAAGGAAAGGAATTGTACTGGTTGAGATGTTTTGGGTTGCAAATATCCAAAGACGCAATCAACATTGGTTTAATTCTAAAATATATTTATTTTTTATTTAGCAGGAGTCTAGGGCTTGTTAAGTAGCTTAACAATATCAGGGCTCTAGGTCGGCATCTTTGTCATTATCTTCATCTTCTGTCATGCTTGTCACCTCATGGGTAACAATACAATATACGCATTTCAGCTCCAGGCCCTGACATCAATGTCTCAGACAGAAGAGGAATGAAAGGGGCACCCTACAAAAAAACCTCCTTAAATATGTACCTATTCCTTTTGTCAGAAACCAAAATATTACCCAGAAAGACCCTTGAGAGTTGCTGTAAACTGGTTGGTCAAAACTGAGTCATGTGGCCACCACTAACTGCATGGGAAGCTGGGAAAACAAATATCCAGCAAGAGGGATTATGGCTATACCGTTAGGGTCTTAAACATCATGATTTATTTCCAGGGCCTAGGCACATTGTAACCAAACAAAATCAAGGTTTTAATAATTAGGATAAAGAAGGGTGAAGGAAAACTATTGGATAACTGCCTAATGGTGTCCTTCTGAGATATTTTGTATGTGTGTAAATATAGATAATAAGCCAGACCGTATAAAAAAGAAATATTGTCCTTGCTCTTTAGAAGAGAGATTCTAAAAGCTATAGCCTTAATTGTAAGGTTCTCATAAAGAAAGCCTAGTAGGGCAGCAAATACAGTATTATATATGATAGCTAAATGTACCTGAGTAAAAGCCAGTTGCCTCATATCTCCTCTGAAGCACAATTACCCTATGACACGGTGGTTGCTTTCTTTCTGGAGAAGTACTGATCCTTTGAAATGGTTATTTTCATGTTTTGGCCAACAAGTTCTTATCCATCCAAGTATGAGTTCTGTGATTAATTACAGAGTATATAGCTCTTGTCAACCCATCAGCCTTTTCTCTGAAGCCACTTAAAAATTTGGTTTTTAACCTAGACTGAGCTTTTATAATACAAGCAGAAACAGTTAAGAACCAACTCATACCTGCTAACTCCAGTGAGGGCTGTTGTAATTTGTCCCCATTCATGTTATATTTCATTGATAGCTGACATTATACTGCCCTCTCTTCCATTAAAATTAGATGTAAGTTGTGATAAACTGCATTTTTATAAATGCCATCTCTTCAGCCCCTGCCGGATCTAGCTAGAGACACAGCATCTCATGATTCCACCGAATAGCTTCTGAGATGGAATGTTAGTTTCAGACAGAACACTAGCTGAGGAACAGTCTAGGAAGATGACGATGTGTGTTAGTTCAGACTTTGGATTCCTAATAAATGTTAGAGAGTCATCAGTCCTAAGGATGACCTCTCTCAGCGGTTAAAATAAAAAACTTTGCATTTTACTCCCTCACAATTTTAATAAATTACAGTAATATTTTTGTTACACAAAATGGATGAAATGAGCCCATTGACAAAACAAACAAGACATATATTCAAAAGAATAAGTTCATACAATTACAACTTTTCCCCTGTCCTCCTCCTATTTAGCTTATGCCATCTCTCAGTCTGGTTTCAGATATTAGTAAGTAACGAGATAATACACAGGAAACGAATAGCCCCTCCTCTGTCCTGTAAATCATAAAAGTCATTTACAGGAGCTGAGTGAATGGAGAGAGAGGTCTATGGCAAAAGAATTGAGCCTTAATGGCCCCTCAAGAGCTATAACTGTCTAGTCTCTCTACTAGTCTCTCTCTCTCCCCCCAATCTCTTCTTTCTCAGTATCTTCCCACCCTCCTTCTCTTTCCCTCTCTCTATCTTTCTCTTTAGCTCCTTGTCTCAGCTTACAAATCTCTCAAGCCGGGGAGCCTGCTGCCATACTAAGAAGTGGTTGGTCAGTGTGTTTTAAACATTGAATGAAAATTCTCCAAAGTATTTAGTCACTGCTTAGGGTAAACTTTACTTTTTATGCAATGGGGCACTTGGTGACTGATCCTTCTTGGTGGCCCCTGTGTTTTTTTTGTTTTTTGGGTTTTTCTTTTTTTGTTGTTGTTTGTTTTTTTGAGACAGAGTCTCACTCTGTCACCCAGGCTGGAGTTCAGTGGCGTGATCTCAGCTCACTGCAGACTTGACCTTCTGGTCTCAAGCGATCCTCCCACATCAATCTCTTCAGTTGCTGGGACCGCAGGTGCCACCACCACGCCCAGCTAACTTTTTGTATTTTTTTGTAGAGACAGGGTGTCACTATGTTGTCCAGGCTGGTCTTGAACTCCTGGGCTCAAGTGATCCGCCCACCTTGGCCTTCCACGCTGTTGGGATTACAGGTACGAGCCACCATGCCTGTCTTCTGTTTTTCACCTGTGCAGCGTTCTGGAAGATGTTAATTGTGTGGTTCAACTCCATATTACCCATGAAAGAGGTCAGAGTCATGGAAAAACATGATAAGTAAGTTAAAAGGTCATCAAAACATTACTTTAAAGTGCATTTTCTACTTATATTTAAATAAGACCACTGGGGTAAACTGGGATTTTTCAAAACTTCAAGATGGGTAATGGATCGCTCTATCAGCTTCTAAAGCAAGAGACACCAGGAGTTATTCTTCTTGATTAACTTTACTACTTTCTACTACCTGCTTTTCTTCTTTCAACTTTAGGCTAGGAATGAACTCTATCACTTTTGAAAGACACCAGCAGATCATCGCCATCTAAACCTTGTTTAGACATTAGAATCACCTGGGGAACCTCAAAAAAAATTGATGTTTGAGTCTCTCACAGAAATTATGATGTTATTGGTCTGAAGTAAGCTCTGGGCATCCAGATTTTAAAAAACATCCCAGGTGATTATAATATGCAACAAAAATTGAGAACCATTGATCTAGTCTTAACATTTTACAGTCTCTATTAGCCTGAAGCCATGAAATATGTAACTTATTGGTGCCATTTATTCCAGGGACAGAGAACTAATTTTTGTCTTTAACACCTCCTTTTAGAGCTTCTGCTGTCCCAGAACAAACAAGGCCTATAGTAACCAACCATGTCAGTCAGGGTTCTCCACAGAAATAGAACCAATAGGAGATATGTTATATATTTAATATTTGTATAATACTTATATATTTATATATATGTAATTTATTTATTATAAGAAATGGGTTCATTGATTATGGAGGCTAAGAAGACCCAAGATTGCCGGGCACAGTGGCTCACACCTGT
Source organism: Homo sapiens (assembly GCF_000001405.40). Taxonomy (NCBI): domain Eukaryota; kingdom Metazoa; phylum Chordata; class Mammalia; order Primates; family Hominidae; genus Homo; species Homo sapiens. The sequence goes on from NC_000005.10 coordinate 81,874,275, forward strand.
AATCTCAGCACTTTGGGAGGCCGAGGTGGATGGATCACGAGGTCAGGAGATTGAGACCATCCTGGTCAACATGGTGAAACCCTGTCTCTACTAAAAATACAAAAATTAGCCTGGCATGGTGGCACGTGCCTGTAATCCTGTAATCCCAACTACTCGGGAGGCTGAGGCAGGAGAATCACTTGAACCAGGGAGTTGGAGGTTGCAGTGAGCCAAGATGGCACCACTGCACTCCAGCCTCGTGACAGAGCGAGATTCTGTCTCAAAAGAAAAAAAAAGAAGTCCCAAGATCTGCAGTCGACAAGCTAGAGACTCATAAGAGCTGATGGTGTGCTTCCAGTTCAAGTATGAATGCCTGAGAACCAGGAAAGCTGAAGGCATAAGTCTTAGTCTGAAGGCCTTCAGGCTTGAGAGCTAAGAAAAGCCCATTTTTCAGTTCAAGTCCCAAAGCAGGAAAGGATTAATGCCCCACCTCAGCAGGCAGGCAGGTGGAGTTCCCTCTTATTCACAGGAGGGTGAGCCTTTTTGTTTGGTTCAGGCCTTCGACTGATTGAATGAGAGCTACTCATATTAGGAAAAACAATCTGCTTTACTGAGTTTACGGAGTCGAATATCAACCTCATCCAAAAATACCCTCACAGACACACCTAGAATAATATTTGACCAAATATCTGGGCACCTGATGGCTCAGTCAAGTTGACATATAAAATTAACCATCACACCAACATAGTACTTAAATAAAGAGGGTGGATGGCAACTTTAATGGGAAATTAAAAGCAAGTTAAGCCAGAGATAACTCTTATGTGTTTATAATCTGCAGCAGATAACAGAGATAATTGTCAAATTTTCAGCTTGTTCTAGTTCCAATTGTGCACATTCTGTTGAAGAATTCTACTGAGGCACAGGAAGACAGCATATTCCTCTTCCCAATCAGTTAACTAATTGTCTGCTATTGGTGCCTTCAGCTGCCCCTTAGAAGAAGCTGGAAGGAAAGAATGGAGAAAATAGAAGAGCTTAGATTGTAATTATAAGTCTTATGAAATTTCCATCCAAGGGCTTGAATTATCAGTGTGTAAAAGTACTCAATAAATATTTTGGAATGAATGAATAAATAAAATTTAAAAATGGGACTCAACTGTGACTTTTTCAGATAACTTCCAATTTAAGGAGATATAGGACAAGGCAAGAAGGGTGGAAGAAGGCATAAGAGATCCTCACGTGGCATTATCAGGATAAAATTTGTTAATGTGTAAGTGTTCTCTTCTTCCTCACTGTAAGGTGAATACTTTGCTACCTTGGTTTCTGGATCTTTTGAGCTGCAGAATTGGGAGAGTGCATATGAAGAAAGAAGACTCAGTAGATAGGAAGGAATAAAGGAGAAGGCTATAGCCAAGGAAGTTAGGTTGATCTTAATAGAATGAAAATGGGCAGGCCATTTTGTGGGCTCTCATAGAGTGGTGTTTTAGGATTTGGTGACTAGAAGATTTTAGAATAGCTGTGGGATGGGAGAGAATTGGAAACGAAAGGGAAGCTGATCTGGAGACATGGTTCCATAAACTGAGAATTAATTCTCCTTTGGAAGATTGAGATTAATAACAGATTTAAACAAATTCATTTTGGCATCAGGATTATGCTTCTTTAAATACAGCTCAGTTCAAAGGTAAACCGCATGCAGCTCTAGGATTTATTCAGTTTTCATGTTGAAGTCTAGAATCCTCTCTATAGCACTTTTCTCCCTTTAAATTATGTAATCTCTTAACGACTCCACACAATCCAAGTTTATTTCCCTTCTTAGAGAATGGGTTATTCTTAGGGTTTATTTTTAATTTAGAGATGGGGGTTAAGAATCACCATAAGATAAATGAAGCATCTTTTCTCATTGGTGGTTCACATAGTATGAATATGAGAATGCAAATTAAGCAAGAATCATTTATTCTTATAAATAAAGGTGGAAGGTAGGAGGCTAAACTTAGGTGTGCACTGGGGTTCCAGGCCCTTTATATCAATTATTTTTATTTTATTCTCATAGCAGTCATGGAAGACAGGTATTGTTTCTCTTATTTTACTTAAGGTTACATAACTATGAAGTAGTGGAATTTGAATCCACACTGTAAAATTTGCTGTTCTACTATACCCTGCATAATGGGATCTTTATTATCTGGCCAGGTATTTATTTATTTATTTATTTATTTATTTATTTGAGACGAGTCTCACTCTGTTGCCCAGGCTGGAGTGCAGTGGTGCCATCTCGGCTCACTGCAACCTCTGCCTCCCAGGTTCAAGCGATTCTCCTGCCTCAGGCTCCCGAGTAGCTGGGATTACAGGTGCCCACCATGATGACCAGCTAATTTTTGTATTTTTAGTAGAGATGGGGTTTCACCATGTTGGCCAGGCTGGTCTTGATCTCCTGACCTGAAATGATCCACCCACCTCGGCTTCCCAAAGTGCTGGGATTACAGGCGTGAGCCACCACACCCGGCCCTCTGGCCAGGTTTTTAAAATTCCATATAAGAAGTCATTGGTCTTGCAGGGCATGGTGGCTCACGCCTATAATCCCAGCACTTTAGGAGGCCAAGGTGGGCCGATCACCTGAGTCAGGAGTTCAAGACCAGCCTGGCCAACATGGCGAAACCCCATCTCTACTAAAAATACAAAAATTAGCTGGACGTGGTAGCGCATGCCTGTAATCCCAGCTACTAGGGAGGCTGGAGCAGGAGAATTGCTTGAACCCAGGGGGTGGAGGTTGCGGTGAGCCGAGATTGCACCACTGCACTCCAGCCTGGGTGACAGAGCAAGACTCCATCTGAAAAAAAAAAAAAAAGTCATTGTAGATTTACTGAGAGTTACATCCTTAGGTGTCCCCTGCTTTCTCTAATAAAACTATAAGTGAATGAAAGTAATATTTGTGAAAGCCTTATGAGGAATATAGCTACTTTTCCCTCCAACAAAACATCAAGTAAACAACTATTTTTTTTTTTTCAACAAACCATTTTCCAACTCTTTCATTCTGACCATTTTGGAGGCAATGCCAGTTACTTGGTAGATCCAGAGATGATGCAAGCCATTCAGATTGTAGAGGAAGAGACTATCTCTATTAGCAGATGACATGATCTTGAATATAAAAAATTCTAAGGAATACACATACACAGACACACACACGGATGAGAACTAATACGTGTTCAGCAAAGTTGCAGGATATAAGATTGATATAAAAAATCAGTCATTTCTACGAACTAGCAATGAACAATTCTAAAATTAAATTAAGAAAACAATCCATTCAAAATAGTATCAAAGCAATGGAACAAAAGTACTGAAAGTGTTGATTCATACGTTAATGTCAGCCAGAAGAGAGTCTTCAGTGGTACTCCACAGATCTCAGTTCCTGACTCTTGGCTAAATATTTTTGGTCAAAAATTTAAATGAAGATATAGCTAACTAGAAGATATTAATATAAGATATCAGATAAGCAAATGAAACAAGCTGGAAGAAATAAATGGAGTGAATATTTGGAGTGAAATTTAGCTTATACATGAGTGCGTAAGTAAGAAAAGAGAAAGGCTGGGTGTGGTGGTTCACGTGTGTAATTCCAGCACTTTGGGAAGCCAAGGTGGGCAGATCACTTGAGCTCAGGAGTTTGAGACCAGCCTGGGCAACATGGCAAAACACTGTCTCTACAGAAGTTACAAAAAATTAGCCATGTGTAGTGCCACATCCCTGTAGTTCCAGCTACTCGGGAGGCTGAGGTGGGAGGATTATCTGAGCCTGGGAGGTTGAGGCTTCAGTGAGCTGTGATTGTGCCCCTGCACTCCAGCCTGGGCAATGGCTGAATGAGACCCTGTCTCAAAAAAATAAAATAAAAAGGAAAAGAGGAAAAGAAAAGAGAAAAGAATTTTACATTCATTTGAAATTAAGGTGAGAGTTTCAATTCACAATGTAGATTTATGTAAATTAAACTGTATGCCAAAAGTCAACAGTCCTCTTCTTTGGGACATTATGTAAGAATCTTGAATGGACAGAAATAGTTTTTACTCTACAAAGAGTTATTACGCAAAAACTATGAGCTAGGTGCTGAACTTGACAGTGGGATGGAAAACATCTTAGTCCTGGTCTTTAACCTCAAGTTTGTCATAGTCTAGTGACAGTCTAATGAGGCATAGTATGGGTCAGGGTCCCAGAAGGAAATAGATGGCACACTCAAAAAGGTAATTTGAAGAGTACTTAATTGTGGAAACATTTATAAATGAATGGCTAAGATTAAGAAAACCACAGATGTGATGAAACACCCAGAGACCAGCAATATCAAGAAGTTGGTACTGGGCCAGCCTGGTGAGACCTACAGCCATGGGCCAGGGCTGCTGGAGAGGAGCTGTGGCCTTATCCAGGTTCCAGAAATCCAGAACCTACCAAACTGTGGCCTGGCTGAGAGGAAGGTGGGAAAATAAATACCTTAACATCTTTTTCTCCCCACCTCCCCATCTCCCAACTTCCATTGGCCAAATCCACCTGGAAGCCAGAGGGCAAGGGACTGTGGTTTGGGCTGTAAGGTCCGTAGACATCAGCCCCACAGGGCACACAGCGGGATGGAGAAGGGGAGAGAGTGAACTTAGAGGGTCAAGGAGAGAATACACTACATAGACAGGTAAAACAAATAATTACAATTATCTGTAATTGTAAAAAGACCAACAGTCCTATATTTAAGATGGGCCTTGGAAGTTGAATGAGGGCTTGACACATTGAGATATTGATCCAGAAGGAATAGCATGTACAGACAGGGGCATAAAAGAGAGTGCCTTGCTTGGGAAAAGGTAAGAAGTTCCATGTGCACAGAGAGTTGAGTATGAAGGGTGGAGACTGCGGAAGAAGTTGTAAAACAAGGATGGAAAAAGATGTTTGGTGGGCAGGTCACCTTGTGAAGGACTGTCTAAGTTAGGCTATAGGTTTAGCTGCTGTGCCAGAGATCCAAAATAACAGTGGCTTAAACACAATCAAAGTCCTCTGTCTCTCATATTTCAGGCTGAGCTCGTGGGCATCTGTGCTCTGAGAAGTCAGCAGCAGCCCAAGCTCCTTTTATCTTGCTGCTTTGCTCTCATCCCCATGGTTCAGGACAATGTCACTATGCCCACATTCTGGTCAGCAAAATGGCATACTCTTTCCTTTTATAGAAACAACCTAGAAATTGTATATGCCATTTCTGCTCCCATCTTACTGGTCAGAACTTCGTCACAAAGCCACATCTTACTGCAAGGGAAGCAAGAAAATGTAGCCTTTGATCTGAGCAAGTTACGTGCCCCGATAAAACTTGGGCTTTCTATTATTATGAGGAAGAAGACAAGGTAGTGAAGAAAACTGGCATTCTTTGCCATAAATATCTTATTGTTTTTTCAAGGTGAGATCCAGCAAGTCATAAAGAGGATGGGTTCAGCGGGAGCTCGGGAATGGTAGATGAGAAGGGAGTAGTTTCTGTGTTCCAAGTGTTGGATTAGGAGTCTGCTTGAGTAAGTCGAGTGGTAGGAGATGAGATACTTAGAGAGAAGGACCTTCAAGGGCCACAGACTCCATGTCTCATATGTGGAAACCACTGGAACATCCAGAAGGCTGCTGTCACTTGATCCTGCACTGTGGCTGCTGTTGCTTTTCCCATCCCATGTATGTAATAACCAGAATAAAATGGGGACTATTCACTATGGTCATATTCTGATCCCTGCATGGGCTTAGAAAGGAACTTTTTTACTGCATAGGATTGCAAAACTTGGTGCTGGATGAGGGATTTACACCTTCCTTTCAAACACGGGCCACTGCTGGTAGGCATAGAACACTGGATGTGTTGATTGCTAACATGATTTATGGCAGTCTCTGTATATTCAGCTACATTCAATGACCTTTCTTCCACAGTGTCCTCTACCTTGATAAAATCACTTCATTCTATGTCAAGTCCTTTTAATCCTTTTTCAGAATCAAGTACGAAACAATTTCCAGTGCATTCAACTCTAACTTTCTTTGCTCATTGTTTATTCCCTGAAGACCGAATAATACATTTAGAAGTTAAAAAATTGCAGGCTGCTGCTTTGTACACAGTATCTTTAACTTTTTTGTCCAGGTTTTCAGTCTGGCCTCAAATGAACCTTTCTTTTTTTCATTTTTTATACGTAACATTTAGCTCTCCAGAGTTAATCACTTGTGTCTTCAATTAATCATTTACGTCCCCCAAATCATGTGGAATCGTCTAATTGGGCACATGAGGGTACGACTGTACATGCAAGAAAGAATGGTAATGAAGCAGTTATGCATAAAAGTAGTATTTCCAAAAAGGGAGGTAACATAAGAAAGTACCTAGAACTTTGGCCTCTGGTGGATGCATCCATGCATCCATCCATCCATCCATTATTCATTCAAAATTGTGTTCAAAAACCTTGCAGTCAATCTCTAGAGAACCTACCAGGGTTCAAAGATTATTATCAGATGTTTCCAGTTCTTGAAGAGTTTCTATGTCATAACTGGAGCAGACTCAGTTTTGAGGCATGGCTGAGAATAAATGAAGGAAGGGGGATTACGCACCAACTGTGTCTTAACTACTATGCAAAATATCACAGATTTGTAGTAGAAGAAAGATGCATAGATAACTGTATCCCTGTGTCATCCATGCTATTAGATTGGTGTAAAAGGCATTGTGGTTTAATACTACATAATAAATATAATAAAACTAGGAGCCCAGAGAGGGGACAAGTTGACTCTGCCTGGGATGGAGGAGGAAAGCTTTTCAGAGGAGCCCAAGTTTCACCTGGGTGCTGATGGCTAATCATGAGTTGCTCAGATAGAATGGTAGAGAAGACACTGTAGGTGAAAAGAGCAGTGTGCACAGAAGCATAGAGATGGAAGATGCAGGGCAGTTTTGGTCAATGTCAAGGGTTCCGTGTGTCTGGCTTGTAGGTCGCGGGAGATGAATGCTAAGAGGAAAGAGTAGAGAGGTGGGTTGGGATTTTGTATGCCAACCTGAGGCATTTTAATTGTATTCTGTAGGTAAGGGGGAGCTATTGAATGTTCATAAGCATGAGAGTAACATGATCAGATTTATGTTTTGGAAAGATGGCTGGAGAAAATAAAGGGGGAAAGAAACTGAATTCATTATTTTTGTCTAGCAAATACTTATTGAGTACCTACTATGAGCCAGGAATCTTCTAGGGGCTAGGCATACAGCATTGAATAAAACTGGCAAAAACTTTTGCCTTCACGCAGCTTCAAGTGGTGGAGGGAGACAGTTTATAAACAAAAATATATAATCATTCAGGTGGTCATAAGTGCTATGGAGAAAATGAAGCAGGGAGGGAAGATAGAAATAGGCTTTGCCCCTATGTAACCTCCCACTGAGAAGGAAGGGAACATTTGGGCAAAGACCTGAAGGAGATGAAAGGGCAAGCCACGTACACATCTGTGGGAAGAACATTTTAGGCAGAAGGAATTGCAAACATAAAGTCCTCAGTGTATTATGAGAGCTCTGCAAACCCCAAGGTGACAAAAGAGACGGATTAAAGACTTGAATTCCTATGTTTATACAAAGGGGCATTGAGCCAAAGAAATACTGATCACCTTTTATATATCATTCAGAACTTCCAGTCATTTGTTTAAAAGTATTTGAGTATGACAGGCTAGAACAAGATTTTCTTTCATAGGTCATTGTTGGGCCAGAATTTTGGAGAGAGGTAACTGTGTTTTCTCCTATCACCATAGACCAGCAGTTTTTCATTTAAGCAGTAAAGTCCAGTTATTATTCTGAAGCCAACAAAATGTATTTCTTTGTCTCATTGTAGTTTTAAGCCATTTGTTTCATTTTTAGATGCTCAAAATCTTACTTGATGGCCACATTTAAGGGAAATTGCCTCCAAACATAAGAAATACACTGGCTTGGATGGCACACGTGGAAATTAGCAAGATGAGTGGAATTGGGAATGTGTCTGCTGATCATGATCTAGCTGAGTGTACTGCACACACAAGAGATAAAAATGAAGCCAGAATCTGGAATGAGATCATTAGTGTATACCATCCTGGCACTGTAGTCAGACCACACACATATTTAATGCACTGAACCCACCTTGAAATGCCCTCAGCCTTAAGGGAACAAAGTACTAGAAAAAATAAGGGGGAGGGAAGGATGCTGAGTGATCCATAATGCTGTCAGTGTCACAATCCATCCTGAACAGCAGAATAAAGTTAATAGGGAAAGTTCTTTAGTGCTTGTTCAGCTGCCTGCCACCCAACTCTGTGGCAGAAAAGCAAGGAGGAAATATATACATCATTATAGAATGTATCAATAATAAATTATAGAAAAGCCTTTCATATAAGGAGTAGTTCCCTGTATTTATTTGAAGTCTCAAGCATTAGGATTGTGTATTTGACCACTAACTGCCAAAAATGTAGACACAATCTTAAATAATTTTAAAAGACTATTGATATTTTAGTAATAAATTAGATTAACAATGTGAGTCAAAACTGTTGAAGACAGAAATTGTAAAATGTCAAGAGAAAGAAATAATATTTTTCCTTGTGTCCAATAAATAAAAATTGCCTTGGAATAAACACTAACCCTATTTATAGCATACATAAGAAGCATCTCTGGAAGTCAAATAGTCTATCTGAATTATGTTTCGGCTCAGAGAATTTCATGGTTAGAGTAGAACATTTTCATTCCAAATCTATGTATCTTTTAGTTCCTAAAAATATTTCCTAAACTCTTCCAGCATTACACTACTTGGTTCTAGAGTCAAAAACTCGTATAATTCAACTAACAGCTATCAAACATTTATTTAAAGGTCAAACACCTTCTATGTGCAAGGTGCTGACTAGGCAAGGTACTGGAGGAAATTCAAATTGAGTAAAACTTAGTACCTGCCCCCAAGGAGGGTAAGGAGGTCGGCAAAAAGTCAGCACAAAGGGTCAGAATATGCTCAGCGGGGTTCAAAGGAGGGAGATGACCATGGGTTAAAGAAGTCAAAGAAGGCTTCAAGGAAAAGTGATGTCAGATTTTAATAGGCAAAAATGGGGTTGTTTTGAGTGGGATTGGGCAGGCAATTCGGGTAAAAACAAGGGCGTATCTGAGAAGAGCGGTTCCCATTTTGCTGGAGTATGATGTATCCGTATGAGAGTCGTAAGACAGAGCTAGGAAGGTGGACTGCAGGCATGGAGTCTCTGGGCTCAGATGTCAGCCTGAGGAGTCAGGACTAGATTCAGCCAACAGTGGGACTCCACCAAAGTCGATGTGACATGATGTGACATGACGCTGCTCTATTTATGCTCTGATGCCCATGCTTTTGTACTCAGTTGCATTTGCCAGCTGAAAGGGTGAGGCTGGTTGTCCAGCCCTTGCGGGGAGAGACTGATTCTGTACCACAGATTTACTTGGAGGACAGAGCACAGTAGGGGTCATTTGGGTCTACCTCCCCCTTCCCTCTTGGGCCCCCCTTGCACACACAGGGGCAGTCTAGCTGCTGAGTGTGGTCTTTGTGTCCTGGATATTAGATGTCATCTGAGCTCCTTAATATTTTTCCGAAGTGAAGAAAAAAAAGGTCACCCACAAATATTTATTTAGTGCCTACGAGATGAACAGCGGCAGTTTGCCCTGCTCTAGATCGGTGGTAAAGTAGCAGTTCCAGCCAGAAGCCAAATAAAAGCTGGAGCTCATGTCAGAAGAGGAAAGGGCTACAGATGTACACCGCTAGACAGGCTGTGGACTCTCTGCCTCTGCAGTACTGAACTATTATATATTGTCTTCTCAGCTAATTTTTTTAAGGTCTAATTTAGGAAAAGCAGGGAACAGTATTAGGTATTTAGAGAGATTCAAAAGAAATGGTAGCCATTCCTGAAATACAGAAATTCAATAGAAACTTTAACCTATAAATAATATGCACCATATAACATATGATATAAAAGTTGCATATAAAGTCCCAGAATGTTTTCTGCCATTCCTAAGGGATGTTCAGCACATATAAACCTTGTTTAGGTGTCATCTTACTGGTAGGGGGCTGTTGTGCTCCATTTGTCTGTTCGGAGAACCAGAAGCTTGGCTGCAGTGGTCAGTTGGGTCTACAGATTTTTTGTCTGTTTGTTTGTTTTTTACAGAATCTAAAATGGTTGTTTAACTTGAGACTTTTTAAAGATACAGAAACCTTAATTAGGAATGATTGTAGAATGAGATCTTTACAGTAGAAGCTCATATTTGATAAGACCAAAACCAGTAATGAGCCAATTAATAAAAATATTTGGTTAAAGTCCCAAATTCTAAAAACTATAATAACATGGCACATGCAAATTCATTTGACAATATTTAAATGTAGAGTCAAGACCTCCCCTCTATTCTAGTATAAATCTGTATTTTGAAGTCTTTTTTGCATAAATCACATCCATAACACATCTCTCTCCAGTTTCAATTTATCTAAAGTGAATCAGACATTTCTCAGACATTCTTAATCTAGACCATGTTGGGGTTTTTATGATTCCTGTTCCAGTCTTTTAAACTTTTCTTACTAACACCTATTGTAATAGTCATTTTTTTTTAAATCGAGACTTTCCAGAGCATTCAACTCTGTTTCAGAACAACAACTATACTCTTTTCTGCTCATCTAGTTTGACAATTTTCATAATATTTAATTAAAATATGCTTAATTTAATTAATTAAAATACTACAATCACAAGTCTAATTAACCCAAACAGGCCTGGGAACAAACACAACAGACTCTTGGTTAGTAAATAACAGCAGAAGTGGGAGCAGAAGTCCTTGGATACATTGGAGAGTAGTTACTGCCCTCAAGTGCCCAGCATGCTGTGCATATCAGAAAATTCGGTTCACAGAGGGAACGGAGAGCGTCTGTGAATCTGGCAAGTTGGTTAAGTTGAAGTCAGCTGAGAACTTTGGTATAAAGTTATCTAAGCAGTTAATGTGTATTTAACTACCTAATATATGCTGTGTGCTTCTGGATTAACATCATTAAAGGACTGGTTAAATTCACACGGACATACACATACCTAAAAGCAGAAATATTTTTATCAGGTGTACATAAAGGAAATGTTAATTCTGGCCCTGTTGGAAGCTTCCTTCTCTCTGTGAATATTCTTGAGTGTTCTATCCTGAATGTCTATTTGTGGTGTAATATCTATATATCAGTACTTTCGTATTAATCACAGAAGTTTAAAATATCTCAATAAAATATAGATAGTATTTACTTTACAGGCTTTTATAAGAATTAGCGAAACAATGCATGCAGAGTGTTTAGCTTTAGCCCTCTCTGTCCATTTTGCTTTTGAGTACAATTATCCAATGTTCCGGCTTTTAGTACAGAGTCTACAACTAATAAATGTAGAAGGAATAATAGAAACAGGAAATTATTATTTTACAACCACCATAATACTTATTTCATCAAAAATTATTAATGGATGCTAAAATCATTGGATGAAAGAACATTGGGAAATAAAATGTTCAAACAATTTTACCTCATAGATTCTTATTTATTACTAAGGGAAAATGTACATTTAACAATGGAGAAATCTGGTGGCTACTGCCTTCACCAAGAGACATACTTAGCACCACCAATGAGGTACAAACTCACATTGAGAGGTCCCTAATTTGATGCACACAATGTCATCTGCCCCTCCTGAAAAAACCCAAGTTTAACCTAAATCTAAGTACGAGAAAATAGTCAAACAAATCAAATTGAGAAACACTTTGCAAAACAAAACATCGGTAACAAAATACGTGTATCAATGTTGCAAACTAGAGAGAAAGACTGGGAACTGATGTAGGTTAAAAGAGACTGAAGAGGCCAAACACGGTGGCTCACGCCTGTAATCCCAGCATTTTGGGAGGCCGAGGTAGGCAGATCACCTGAGGTCAGGAGTCGAGACCAGCCTGGCCAACATGGAGAAACCCCCTCTCTACCAAAAATACAAAAATTAGCCAGGCACAGTGGCGGGCGCCTGTAATTACAGCTACTCGGGAGGCTGAACAGGAGAATTGCTTGAACCCAGGAGGTGGAGGTTGAAGAGACAATTGAAGAAATTTGAATATGGCCTGTAATATGTAATGTTATCATATCAATGTTAAATTTCCAGTCTTACGGTTATGTAAGAGAATGTCTTTATTATTAGGAGAAAAGTGTCAGCAAAATAATGTGTATGCATATAAAAGCATATATATATATATATATATATATACACACATAAACAAATACACCTATACATATGTACAGAGAGAGAAAGCAAATGTAACAAAATGTTTAGTAATTGGGAAATCTAGATAAAGGTTATATGGAGGTTCATCTCACTATTCTTGGAACTTTTCTGTAGCTTTGTAATCTTTCAAAATAAAAGCTGGGGGAAATAAAGGCATATCTGTAGCTTTAGTACTGCTTTTCTTTTTTTTTTTTTTTTTTTTTTTTTTTTTTTTTTTTTTTTTTTTTTGAGACGGAGTCTCGCTCTGTCGCCCAGGTCGGACTGCGGACTGCAGTGGCGCAATCTCGGCTCACTGCAAGCTCCGCTTCCCGGGTTCACGCCATTCTCCTGCCTCAGCCTCCCGAGTAGCTGGGACTACAGGCGCCCGCCACCGCGCCCGGCTAATTTTTTGTATTTTTAGTAGAGACGGGGTTTCACCTTGTTAGCCAGGATGGTCTCGATCTCCTGACCTCATGATCCACCCGCCTCGGCCTCCCAAAGTGCTGGGATTACAGGCGTGAGCCACCGCGCCCGGCCTGCTTTTCTTAATTTACAGTTACACAGAGCTGTGCAATGTTAGACCAGCCAGTATGGAATCTGCAAAATTTTCCTCTGCTATTATCCAGAAATAGGTTTGCTTTGTGATGTGCAGTCTCTCCCATAGCCACCACCCACCCATACTAGAACTTGCAAAACCAAAAATTGTCTCTTGCAGAATAAAGCAGAAACAGCCTTGACATCTTTAAGTAGATTATATGCAGATTTTAAGAAAACTTGCTAATGGCAGAAGATATAGTAAAATGCTGGACTTCTCTTAGGGCCTCAGAGCTGCTTGCGGGGATCCCCGCTAACTGCACGGAATAGTAAGCTAGTCACCGGGGTTCCCTATGCAATATATCTATACATCACTGAGAAGATCAGGAACAATAAACTGACCAAAAAGCCAACATAAGAAAAGAAAGGTTGATGGCAATCCTGTGAGACATGTCACTACCGAACCAATGACGACTCCTTCAGGAGAAGGTACCTGACCACACAGGCCAGAAAAAGCTTGCTCAGCTGGAGGCATCTCAGTGGAGATTCCAGCGCCCAAGAGCGAAGGGTCAGCCCTGCCACCCGCCAACAGAGTAACGACGTGTGCACAGTGGCGCATCGCCACCATGGAAATGTGGCGTTTCCTCACCTCACAAGCAGTCTTGTCGGCAGGATCCAAATATAAGAAAGGGAGTCCTAATATCTTTCAGGTCAGGAAAACTACCAAGGTAAACTCCAGATCACAAGATGAGAAAATTCAGACAGGCAAGAGGTACGAGGGAGTGGTGGAAGGCTAACTTTCTGCCTGGAGGGTTGACTGTGACAAGCCCAGTTCTTAAGAAGAATACTTGAGAGTTACTGTCTTAGAGCTTGACAAGTTTGTGTTTAGTAATTCCCTTCTTTTTCAACCTAAGGTCATACTTTTCTTTTGGTGGTAGAGAAAAAGAGAAGCTGAAGACAACAAATGATAGTGAAGAGACTGCTCCCCACCTGCACAGGCTATGTCCTGTAGTCTCAGGATCAGAGCAATGAGAACGGTATAGGAAGGTTATAGAGCCTCTTGCTTTTGGTGTGAGAGAATGGTCATGTTTGTTTGAGCCAGACTTTAGTAGTCTAGAATGGGAAGACATTTTGAACGACAATAACAAAAAAGTCAGTCTTAAGGAGAAATGTAAAAACCAAAAAGCCAACATGAACAAGCCATGGGAAGTACTAAACATAGGCACAATTGTTGCTGCTCCTACTTTATTATATGTGGATTTTCTGCTTCTAGAATCATGTCCTTCAGGAATCACAAACATTCTCAAGAATAGAAAACATCAAAAAATAAAGGAATGCTTTAAATATGGTAACGCACAGGGGATAATAATTTCTAAACTTTCTGAGTACTTACTCTGTCCCAGGCACTGTTCTAAGTACATTATCTCATTTACTCTTGAATTCTGTGTGTTAGGTGCTATAGGTCCCATATTACTGATGGAGAAACAGAGGCATAGAGCAGTTAAATAGTCTACCCATGGCAGAGCCAGGGTTTGAAGACAGGTGGCCCACATGCTCTTAACTCACCATTTTTGCTTAGCCTTCTAAGCAATATCTATGAAATCATGCTTTTGCTAGTCTATAGGGTTTTAAAAATTTAAATTAAAACAAACGCATAACTATTAAAATCTCTTGGGTTGCAGCAGTATGAATGGCCCACTTTGGGAAAGAATATGAGGCTCCTATTTCTGGCCTCAGAATCACTTGGGTGTAGTAGTGAGAAAGGCAGATTCCTCAGTCACACCATAGATCTACTGAATCAGAACTGTAGGCAATGGGCTGCCTTTTAAACAGGCTCTCCAGGACATTCTTGTGCAGCCTAAAGTTTAAGAACAATCCCATTATGGGTCCCCCTAAAGGACGTATAATGGTCAAGGGTTCGCTATTGAATCTGAGATAATTAAAGAATTTAAGCAAGATAATGGGGATAAAATCCAGGACCGTACCAGACCACCCTAGGAGAAAGCTGTGGAGACCATTAGAGATAACCTGGATGATGGTGGAGGAGAAAAGCTAATGGCTGCAAAATAAATGAAATCCCTAGTTTCTTTTGTACCAAGAATGATTCCCCAGGAGAGTTGCTTTGCGGTCTTGTTTGAGTGACAGTTTTGACTGCTGATAAATCTTATCAGAGAATGTATTAAGGTAGCAGTGTGTGATGGTCAAGGTTAAGGTGCCTAGAAAGGGAGAGATGGAAGGCTTCCAGAAAATCAGAAGTCCACAAAGAAGAGGCATGACTGCAGCCCAGGGCCCAGTAGAACCTGATGGAGGGAGCCATTTAAGAATTGGAGCTGTGGGCAAAGCAGAAGTTGGCTGACCCATGGAAATCAGAGGTACAACTGGAGCTGCATGAAGAAAGCTTTCAATTTTGTGTATCTGCTAGGAGAGAATTTCTGTGTAGGGAGAGACCCAGCCTTTGCTGAGAAGATGTTTTGGTAAGCCAGCATGTAAGGAAGCCTTAGGGCTTGGTTTCAAGGTAGAGAAGAAAGCTCTTCTGCATACTAAGCAGGTGGAGTTGGAAAAAGCCTCGGGGAGGGGTAGCTGTCAGAGGAGGGGTTTCTGCAGTCTCCTGAGGATAGAGAAGAGGTGTCTATATGGATGTCTCCAGTGAGGTGCTGACATTGTGTGATTTGACCTTTTTGCACAAATTACCAGTAAAACACACATATCAACAATATATGGATGACTAGATTCCTGCAAGCTGGGGTGTGGGGTGATATAGTTTGGCTCTGTGTCCCCACCTAAATCTCATCTCAAATTGTAATCCCCATATGTCGAGGAAGGACCTGATGGGAGGTGACTGGATCATGGGGGCAGTTTCCCCTTGCTGTTCTCATGATAGTGAGGGAGTTCTCACGAGTTCTGATGGTTTAAAAGTGGCAGTTTCCCCTGCACTCTCTCTCCTACTGCCATGTAAGACATGCCTTGCTTCCCCTTCACCTTCTGCCATGATTGTAAGTTTCCTGAGGCCTCTCCAGCCATGCAGAACTAGGAGTCAATTGAACCTCTTTTGTTTACAAATTGTCTGGTCCCAGGTAGTATCTTTATAACAGTATGAAAACGGACTGATACAGAGAATTGGTACTGGCAGAGTGGGGCACTGCTATAAAGATAACCTGAAAATGTGGAAGCAACTTTGGAACGGGGTAACGAGCAGAGGTTGGAACAGTTTGGTGGGCTCAGAGGAAGACAGGAAGATGTTGGAAAGTTTGGAACTTCCTAGAGACTAGTTGAATAGTTTTGACCAAAATGCTGGTAGTGATATGGAAAATGAATTCCAGGCTGAGGTGGTCTCAGATGGAGATGAAGAGGTTATTGGGAACTTATTGGGAACTGGAGCAAAGGTCACTCTTGCTATGCTTTAATAAAGAGATTGGTGGCATTTTGCCACTGCCCTAGAGATCTGTGGAATTTTGAACTTGAGAGAGATGATTTAGGGTAGCATTTGAAAGCTACAAAGCATTCAAGACGTGACCTGGCAGATTCTGGAAGTGTTCACAAAGAGATGGTCTGATATTGGAACTTATGTTTAAAAAGGAAGCAGAGTGTCAAGGTTTGAAAATTTTGCAGCCTGACCATGTGGTAGAAAAGAAAAACCCATTTTTCTGGGGACGAATTCAAGCCAGCTGCAGAAATTTGCATAAGTAACAAGGAGCCGAATGTTAATAGCCAAGACAATGGGAAAAATGTCTCC
This sequence comes from Homo sapiens, assembly GCF_000001405.40. Lineage (NCBI taxonomy): Eukaryota > Metazoa > Chordata > Mammalia > Primates > Hominidae > Homo > Homo sapiens. The sequence continues at coordinate 81,890,734 of NC_000005.10, forward strand.
AGGGCATTTCAGAGATCTTTGCAGCAGCCCCTCTCATCACAGGCCTGGAGGTCTAGGAGGAAAAAAATGGTTTCCTGGGCTGGTCCAGGGCCCCCTGCTATGTGCAGTCTTAGGACTTGGTGCCTTGCATCCCAGCCACTCCAGCTCCAGCCATGGCTAAAAGGGGCCAAGGTACAGTTTGGACTGTGGCTTCAGAGGGCGCAAGCCCCAAGCATTCGTGGCTTCCACAAGGCTGGGCCTGCAGGTGTGCAGAAGACAAGAGTTGAGCTTTGGGAGCCTCTGCCTAGATTTCAGAGGATGTATGGAAACACCTGGATGTCCAGGAAGAGGTCTGCTGCAGGGGTGGAGCCCTCATGGAGAACTTCTGCTAGAGCAGTGCATAAGGGAAATGTGGGGTTGGAGCCCCACTGGAGCACTGCCTAGTGGAGCTGTGAGAACAGGGCCAGCATCCCCCAGACCCTAGAATGGTAGATCCGCTAACAGCTTGCACTGTGCACCTGGAAATATCACAGGCACTCAGCGCCAGCTGGTGAAAGCAGCCATGGGGGCTATACCCTGCAAAGCCACAGAGGCGGAGCTGCCCAAGGCCTTGGAAGCCCAGCTCTTGCATCAGTATGCCCTAGATGTGAGACATGGAGTGAAAAGAGATTATTTTGGAGTTTTAAGATTTAATGACTGACCCATTGGGTTTCAGACTTGCATGGGGCCTGTGGCCCTTTTGTTTTGGCCAGTTTCTCCCATTTGGAACAGGAACATTTCCCGAATGCCTGTACTCCTATTGTATCTAGGAAGTAACTAACTTGCTTTTGATTTTACAGGTTCATAGGCAGAAAGGACTTGCCTTGTCTCAGATGAGACTTTGGACTTGGACTTTTGGGTTAATGCTGGAATGAGTTAAGACTTTGAGGGACTGTTGGGAAGGAATGACTGGTTTTGAAATGTGAAAAGGACATGAGATTTGGGAGAGGCCAGGGGCAGAATTGTATGGTTTGGCTCTGTGTCCCCACCCAAATCTCGAGTCAAATTGTAATCCCCACATGTGGAGGGAGGGACATGTTGAGAGGTGATTAGGTCATGGGGGTGGTTTCCCCATGCTATTCTCTGATAATGAGGGAGTTCTCATGAGATCTGATGGCTTAAAAGTGGGAGTTCCCCTGCAGTCTCTCTCTCTCTCTCCTGCCACCATGTAAGACATGCCTTGCTTCCCCTTCACCCTCCATCATGACTGTAACTTTCCTGAGGCCTCTCCAGCCATGTAGAACTGTGAGCCAATTAAACCTCTTTTGTTAATAAATTACCCAGTCTCAGGTAGTATCTTTAGAGCAGTGTGAAAACAGACTAACACAGGGGACTGAGAGTTGCCTTGGTATAGTCAGTGCTTAATCAATTAACCCATGCAGACAAAGGGACAGCTGCTAGGTGGCTTATACAATCAATGGAGAATTTGCAGGTGTGTAGACCCAGCTAGAGAATGGAGATGGCTTTGTTTGAACACATTGCTGGGGTATGTGTGACAATGCAGGTTTATGAGGGTCCTGAAAGACACCAAATGAGGCCCAAGAAATTGAGTCCAACTGGAGGTGGGCTGGAAGAGAAGTATCTTGTGAGGAAACATTTTTGGAGGAATTTCACTGAGAAACAAAAGTAGAAACTTCACGGGGCTACTGCCAGGAACAACCAGGCTACAGAGTTTGTAGTTCATAAGTACCAAGATGGTTTTCTGCTGATCTGGGAGGTGTTGGGCGCAGACAGTCGAGATGTCAGAGAAAAAGCAGCCGGTAGACTTAGGTTTCTTAGAGGAAGATGACGAGTTTGAAAAGTTCCCTGCCGAAGACTGGGCTGACTTAGATGCAGATGAACATGCACATGTCTGGGAGGATAATTGGGATGATGACAATGTAGAGGATGACTTCTCTAATCAGTTACGTGATGTTCTTTCTGTTTTATCATAGAGCTGAACTAGAGAAACATGGTTATAAGATGGAGACTTCATAGCGTCCAGAAGAAGTGTTGAAGTAACCTAAACTTGACCTGCTTAATACATTCTAGGACAGAGAACCCAGGATGGGACACTAAAAAAATAAGTTTATTTCATTATCTGCTTGGATTTATTTGTGTTTTTGTAACACAAAAAATAAATGTTTTGATATAAAAAAAATAAATAAGTACCAAGATGATGCAAAGGAAGAAATTTTCCCCTCAAGATGGACAAATATCTAAGCAATTGGGAGGTGCATTCTCTGGTAACATGAGAGGTTTGTACAAGCATGAAGCCAATCAATGTAAAGTGATACCTGTCATGAGACAATGTAGAAACCTTGCTTTCATTTGAAGAGGGTTTGATAAAGAAGGCAAAGGGAAAACATGGAAAGAGGATCTGGCACCCTAAAATGAGCACAACCCTAACATGTGACCTGGAAGCGGTTCTCTTTCTGTTACGGTGCTGTAGCACAAGGCCCTCTGGACCCATCGACTCAGTTACTTCCTGCCCAGCAGCCCCTGGTCTTTCAGTTTAACTATTTCACACAGATTTTCCAAGTGCCTTTATTTTCTCAAAGTCTGTTATTCCTCCTCTAAAATTCAGAAATGTGTAACTTCTATTTATTTTTAGCCCCTTTTCTACTATATATGCATCATTTTGAATTTTTATTCCATTCTTAATACTAGGGGTTCTCAAGAATTTTCCAACCCAACTTGAACTTTGGATTCCCATTTCCCTTAGTTTTTACATGAAATCTTTCAAAAACTGTATACCTCCCACCACCCCCCCAAAATTCAGTGTAGCTAAAAAGGAAGGGAAAGGAGGCTGGTATTCTATGGAACTGACTAAGGCGAACACCAGGTTTTAGGATGGGTGAGGCTGTATACTCTGGTAGATAACACCATGGAATTTGACTTTACTCTTCCAATTTAAATGATACAGGTGTCAATGAAGATATGAGATGATATCAAGTTTGTCAAGATTCAATGAATATGCCTCTGAGGGCTTCCCTAGATTTCCCCATGTAAATGCATTAGGGAGATGATGAAGGTCAGCTCTCTAAGATGTGAAGTTGGCTAGGCTGAGGGAGCATCCAAAGGGGACTTTTGCTGTATTTTGTACCTCCTACTATGTCATCCTGAGACTCCAACAAAATTACTTTATATGGTGGCAAAAATGGCTCTGGGCTAGCATTGTCATCTGGATCTAGCATTCAGGGGTCAGGAACGGTTTCTTATGTTACAGAACTATGTTGCCAAACCAGCCACGGATTATAGAATCATCCCTGGGCACGGTAAAGTGAACAGTCACACCACAACATTGTGATGAGGACCAGTCTGTGGGCCCATGCTATCACACAGCTGGTGGGCCAAGAAGCCTAGGAGGCACTGAGCAGGGCAGGTCTGGCTTGGCCACCACCAGTAGCTCAGCTGTTTGAGGAAGGAGGGCTTGCAACTAAATGTTCAACGGTGAGGAAGAGGAAGGGAGGCAGTGCAGATCTGGTGTTGCAGAGCAGTTCCAACTGGCCCTGACACATTGCTGAGATATGCTGCATATTGCAGGGAAACATTGTGATTGATACTGCACTCTGAGCACCACAGCTAGAAGGCCACTCTCTAGACCCTCCGTGTATTTCTGCTACCATAGTTGAGTTCTATACTTATCCAGACTCAAGACTATTTGTTCCCCAGACTGTTGCATATCAGCTAAACTTATCATTATTCATAAGTAAATTAAGTTAAATATTATATAAATATATGAAATATGAATGCAAAAATCAAGGCTGTCCTTTTGAAAACCTGGTCGAATATTTTGACAAGATTCAATAAAAGTAAGTTGCTGGGCAATGATTAAAATAGAAAGGCTATTATAAAATTCTAGAAGGATTCTGCATTCAGTTTGTCCAATAGTATCTTTAAGTTTTTGGTTCCCTTTAAATGAGTTATCATTGGAAACAGCAGAGGTTGTATAATGAGTGCACTTTATGCAAGAAAGACGAAGCAGAACTCCAGTCAACTCACTGACATTCGAGTATAATAAAAAGCCTGGGCCTTATATCAAAAGCTGGACACAGTTACTTTAATTTAAAACAAGCATTCATATGTCTGTCTATGTTTTTTTCTTATGATTCACCTCTTTAACCATTATCTTTCATTAACCAGCCAACTCCCAGTCCTGATTGCATTGGAGAAGAAGCCCTCTGTGGAGCCTCCACTCTCATTATTCTATTGAGATCCATGGAATTAGGAATTCCCATCCTCAGTTTCTTCTTGGAGGTACAGAGCAGTAGCATTCCATGAAGGAGGAACTTCAAAAGAGATTGTGTAATTCAAAGGTTTGTTAATTTCAGCCTAATCATGACCAAAAGAAAAAGGACAAGTATTTATATTTATCAGCTGAAAATGGCACTACTATAGCAATAGCATAAACCCAATTACAAATCCCTTATATAAAAGCTTGGAAATTAAGATTTTTTAATACATTTAGATGTTGTTTCAGAATTTGCATTCTTTACATTTTGTCCATGAACGCTTTGTTAATTATTTTATATGACATAATTTCAAAAAGCCTTAATTCTAATTTGCAAAAATTAGGATTGCCCTACATTGGAAGCAACCCACTCCTGAGGTAGCATAAGTCTCTTGAAGAAAACTCTGTTCTGGGCAATGCCTCTCTTCTTGATGGCATGGTCCTCTCCCCTGAGCTTGGTTTTGGCATAGAAGCTTATGCTCATTGTAAGTGGTGATCTTTCTGAGTTTTTTCCCCAGAATGAGTCACTTCTTTGAGCTTTTCTCTTTCCTCATATGCTATAGGTCTCTAGTAATATCACTGGGCTTCAGTTTGTTCAAGTTCCTCAATATGAATCTTGTGAATGACTTTGCAGGTTACCTTATTTTTAAAGTACAGAACCAAGATATTTATCTACAAAAGCATTTAACACCTCTAGGCAATTAGATTTCTTCAACATGTCTCTCTTCATCACTAGGTTTCTAATGAGAGTGTCAAACAACTCTAGACCCTTTCCAATACTTTCAGATGACCTGTTATAGTCCTTTAGATTAAATATGAGGCACTGATACATGTTATCTTGGCTCTACCAAGTGTCTTTGGCCAGTGTTTCTCAAATTGAATTCTAGGACTTAGGAAGGCCAACAGAGAGTTCTAAGGGCATTACAGAAATGAGAGAAGCAGAGACAAAGACTGCAACAAAAGGAACTGTTCCCCTCTCCCCTGGACCCTTCTGTTTGAATTTCTTGCTTTTATTCAGAAATAGCTCATTTATCTGAAGGTCCCTTATGCGGTGAAGTCAATCAACTGGTATATTTGTAGCACCCAGAAATTGAGCAAAAAAGGCCTCCAAACTCCAAAACTTTTCAAAATGTCATGCATGGTATTTGGACCTTTTACTCTTTTGTATAACAGCTTTTACTGAATTATAATTCACATACCTAAAATTCAATCTTTTTTTTTTTTTTAATTGAGATAGAGTCTTGCTCTGTCACCGAGGCTGTAGTGCAGTGGCGTGATCTTGGCTCACGGCAACCACTGCCTCCTGGGTTCAAGTGATTCTCCTGTCTCAGTCTTCTGAGCAGCTGGGACTACAGGCACATGCCACCACGCCTGGCTAATTTTTTTTTTTTTTTTTTGTATTTTTAGTAAGGATGGGGTTTCACCATGTTGGCCAGACTGGTCTCGAACTCCTGACCTCAGGTGATCCGCCTGCCTCAGCCTCCCAAAGTGCTGGATTACAGAAGTGAGCCACCATACCCAGCCTAAAATTCAATCGTTTAAAGTGTACAATTCAGTGGTTTTATACACACACACACACACACACACGGTAGTGCAAACATCTCGACCATGTAATTCCAGAACATTTTTATCACCCCTCAAAAAACTCAAACTCCTTAGCAGTCACTCCCTAGTCTCCTCTTCCTCCAACCCTAGGCAACCACGCATCTCCTTTCTGTCTCCATGGATTTTCCTATTCTGGAAATTTCATATAAATAGAACTGTGCAATATGTGGCCTTTTGTGATCGGCTTTCTTTCAGTTAGCATAATATTCTCAAGTTTCATCAATGTTGTATGTTTACATCTGTGAAGTACTGTATGATATGTCAGTACTTCATTCCTTTTTTGAAATTGTGGTAAAATAGACATAACAAATTTATCATAAGTATACCATTCAGTGTCATTAAGTACATTTACAACATTGCACATTTACAACATTGCACAATCAGTATCATTATCTAGTTCCAGAACTTTTTCATCATCTCAAACAGACACTCTATACCTATTAAGCTGTCACTCCCTATTTCCCAATCTTCCCAGGCCCCTGGAAACCACTAATATACTTTCTGTCTCTATAGATTTGCCTTTTCTGGACATTTCATGTAACTGAAATGATATAATATGTGGCCTTGTGTCTCTGGCTTATTTCACTCGGTATGTTTTCAAGACTCACTCGTGTAGCACATATCAGTATTTCTTTTTATAGCTGAATAATATTCCATTGTTTGGATATATAACATTTTGTTTGTCCATTCATCTGTTGATGGACATTTGGGTTGTTTTTACCTTTCAGCTATTGTAAACAGAACTGCTATGAACATTGTAAATAAGTTTCTATTTAAACATCTGTTTTCCACTCTGTTAGGTTTATACAGTGATGCCCCATGCCACATAACCACATAATGTTTCAGTTAATGGTGATAGGCCTGCATATACCATGTTGGTCCCCTAGGATTATGTTAAAATAATAGTATACTTTTACTATACCTTTCCTATGTTTAGATAATTTAGATACACAAATACTCAACATTGTGTTACAATTGTACAGTATTCAGTACAGGTTATACCATATAGCCTAGGTGTGTAGTAACCTGTACCATCTAGCTTTGTGTTAGTACACTGTATGATCTTTGCACAATGATGAAATCTTCTAACAAAGCATTTCTCAGAACTTTTCCCCTTGGTTAAATGATGTTCTGGATACTAGACCCTTATCAAGTATATAAAAATAAAACCTGTGTTTGATTAAGCCACTCCAACTGAGTTTGTTATATGCAGCCATGAAATCCTAAATGAAACTCACCAGCTTTTCTGAGGATCTGATGGGAAAACACATGTAAAGCCTGACATATAATTCAATTAGTGTTGTTTTTATTTTTACCACATTTGAATTCACTTAAAGAAATGAGCCCTACAGCACTCACTAGGTCTTAAAGATATTATTTAGTAAGTGCTTATGAATTCCTATTATGTGCAAGACACTATGTGGACATGATACAGGGTCAACGGCATAGTATGTGGCCTGTGCAATCACAAAGGACCCTGTGCCTGTTTTAATTCTCTGCTGTCGTCATCTTGAAATTCTTAATAAGTTTTCAACAAGAGGCTGCACATTTTCATTTTGCATTAGGCCCTGCACATTATGTAGCCAATTCTGTTATGATGAATAGGAAATTCTTTTTGTTCAGAATAATAACTGATGTTTCTAAAAATTACCATGTATTATTCAGAAAACATTAAATTCTGTTAAATAAACTGTTTAAGAAGACTGAGAAATATAGAGTACATTTTAGAAACATCTTACCGAACATGATGTAAATAAAAAAGTTTTGACATTTACAGGTAAGCTTTAGTTATCTGAAAAAATCACTTATTTAGAACAGTCAAGTGTCTGATAAATAAAATGTCAATATATTTTTCAATAACTAGAAAGAGAGAAACTGCAGGCTTTGTTATGGTAGCAGTTCTTAGGGTTTGGAGATTTGTATTGCTAAGGTTTTGGGGATTACGAAGTAAAACTTTTGAAGTAGATTTTTCCCAGTTTAGTATTGGTATAACATACAGGAAGGAACTAGTTGTGACACCCTCAATAAGTTACTTAACCTCTCCTAATCTTAGTTCCCCTTTCTGTAAAATGAGGATGACATGTAGCTGACAAGTCTATGTGGAAGATTAGACTTTTAGCACTGTGTCATATGAGGTACTCAATAAATGTCCCTTTCTTGGTGAAAATGTAAATTAGTATAACCATTGGAAAACTGTATGGCGGTTCTTCAAAAAAACTAAAAATAGAATTACCATATGATCCAGCAATCCAACTTCGGGGTATTTACCAAAAATATTTGAAATTTGTTTGTCAAAGAGAAATCGGCACTTTCATGTTCATTGCAGCACTATTCACAATGGCCAAGTTACAGAATCAACCTAAGTGTCCATGAACGAACAGATGAATGGATAAAGAAAATGCATATATACACTATGGAATACTACGTAGCCTTAAAAAGGAAGGAAATATGGTCATTTGTGACAACATGGGTGGAATTAGAGAATATTATGCTAAATGAAATAAGCCAAACACAGAAAGACAAATGCTGCATGTTCTCACTTACTTGTGGAATCAACAACAATTGAATTCATAGAAGCAGAGTAGAATGGTGGTTACAGAAGCTGGGGATGTTGGGAGAATGGGGAGATGATGGTCAAAGGATACCAAGTCTCAGGTAGGAGAAATAAACCGAATAATGGTTTTATTTTTTTGAGATCTATTTCACAGCATGGTGAATATAGTAAATAATAGTGTGTCATACATTTCAAAATTGCTAACAGAGCAAATTTCAAATGTTCCCACCCCAAAACATGGTAAGTATTTAAAGTGATGAATATGTTTATTAGTTTAATTATTTCACATTAATTCACAAATCATAACATCACTTTGTACCCCATAAATACATACAATTATGAATCGTCAATTTACATTACATTTTATAAAGAAGTTTTAAAAATTAAATAAATAAATGTCCCTTTCCCCAATCCCTTTTCAAATATCTTTTAAGCACCTACTGTGTGCTATGATTCATTCTAAGCACTGTGGACACAGCTGAGTAAAAATCCTCATTATCAAGGAGATCATATTCTAGTAAAGAAAGGTGATCGGTAGCCTGAGAGTTAATTATGATCATTTTCGGCGGCAATATGCGTTCATGGAGATTAAATGGACGGGGGCTGCTTTAGTTAAATCGGTGGTCAAGGAGCAGCTGTCTGGGTAGGTGGCAAGTACATTGAGATCTGAACAATGAAATTGAGGCAGTTAGTGGGGATTAATGAAGTGCTACAGCGAATTCTAAAAAGATCTAAGAGATTTGTTTTCACTTTAATCGCTGTTATCATGGGCCTAATTACAGTCACTGCAATGGCCACCACTGCCGGAATGGCATTACACCAATCCATTCAAACGGCTCATTTTGTTAATGATTGGCAAGCCAATTCCACCCAAATGTGGAATTCTCAACAAGGCATCGATCAAAAATTGGCAAATCAAATTAATGATTTAAGACAGTCTGTTATTTGGCTTGGAGATCGGGTAGTGAGTCTCGAGCATCGCATGCAAATGCAGTGCGATTGGAATACTTCAGATTTCTGCATCACCCCGTATTTCTATAATGAGAATGATCATTCATGGGAAATGGTCAAAAGACACCTTCTGGGTAGGGAAGATAATTTATCACTGGACGTAACTAAATTAAAGAAACAAATTTTTGAAGCCTCTCAAGCTCACTTATCCATTGTGCCTGGAGCTGAGGCGTTAGATCAGGTGGCAGAAAATCTTTATGGATTAAACCCCACGACTTGGATTAAGTCTATTGGGGGCTCCACCGTAGTAAATTTTAGAATTATATTTCTCTGTTTAATCGGCTTGCTTTTAGTGTGCCGGACCAGTCAAAGAATCCTGCGTCAAAATCAAGAGAATGAACAAGCCTTCATCGCCATGGCACATTTATATAAAAAGAAAGGGAGAGAAGTTGGGGGAAGTCAGGGACCCCAAACAGAGGGACTGGCTGAAGCCATGGCAGAAGAACGTGGATTGTGAAGATTTCATGGACATTTATTAGTTCCCCAAATTAATACTTTTATAATTTCTTATGCCTGTCTTTACTGCAATCTCTAAACAAAAATTGTGAAGATTTCATGGACACTTATCACCTCCCCAATCAATACCCTTGTGATTTCCTAGGCCTGTCTTTACTTTAATCTCTTAATCCTGTCATCTTATAAGCTAAGGAGGATGTATGTTGTCTCAGGACCATGTGATAATTGCGTTAACTGCACAAATTGTAGAGCATGTGTGTTTGAACAAATATGAAATCTGGGCACCTTGAAAAAAGAACAGGATAACAGCAATTGTTCAGGGAATAAGAGAGATAACCTTAAACTCTGACCGCCAGTGAGCCGGGCGGAACAGAGCCATATTTCTCTTCTTTCAAAAGCAAATGGGAGAAATATCGCTGAATTCTTTTTCTCAGCAAGGAACATCCCTGGGAAAGAGAAAACACACCTGGGGGTATAGGTCTATAGATGGCCCCCCCGGGTGTGGTCGTCTTTTATGGTCTGTAGACTGTAGGGGTGAAATAGATCCCAGTCTCCCATAGCACTCCCAGGCTTATTAGGAAGAGGAAATTCCCGCCTAATAAATTTTGGTCAGACCGGTTGCTCTCAAAACTCTGTCTCCTGATAAGATGTTATCAATGACAATGGGGCCCGAAACTTCATTAGCAATTTTAATTTCGCCCCGGTCCTGTGGTCCTGTGATCTTGCCCTGCCTCCATTTGCCTTGTGATAGTCTATTACCTTGTAAAGTACGTGATCTTTGTGACTGACACCTTATTCGTACACTCCCTCCCCTTTTGAAAATCCCTAATAAAAACTTGCTGGTTTTGTGGCTTGTGGGGCATCACAGAACCTACGGACATGTGATGTCTCCCCTGGATGACCAGCTTTAAAATTTCTCTCCTTTGTACTCTGTCCCTTTATTTCTCAAATGGGCTGATGCTTAGGGAAAACAGAAAAGAACCTACGTGACTATCGGGGTAGGTTCCCTGATAAGTATTCTTAGCAGAAGGCACAGCAAGAGCAAAGGCCCCCAGAGTGGAATGAACTCGGTTTGTGCGGAGACCTGAGAAGCCCTGGTGGCCAGCACACTTGGAACAAGGGGTGGGGCGGCTATGAGTAGATACGCCGCGGGGTCCTGGAGGGCTCCCAGGAGCACAGGCACGTCCTGGTGCAGAAGAGGCCTGCAGAGGGCTGCAGGCAGGGCAGATATATGTGATTTACACGTCAGGAAGATTCTTTCAGCTGGCTGCTCTGGGAAGGATAAATCAGACGGACAGGAGGGAGGCAGGAAGGCTGGCCAAGTGACCATTTATAGGGGGGACGTTGCATCTAGAGGTGTGGTCTTGGGAGCCAGTAAGCAGGAGTTGGATTCAGAATGGACTTTGGAGGGAGAGCTCACAGGATATACTATTGGATTACATGTAAGGGTGAGAAAAGGAGAGGGTTTTTTGTTATTCCTGATGAAAAATGTATTTCATACTCATTACAGAAAACCTATAAATCTTAGGACAGTGTCATCAGGCTACCTATTTTAATGTGTAAACTTAGCTTTTCCTTGAACAAGAATTCTACCATTACTGTTATTCTTTTGAAGATTTCAATGTGCCTTATGAGAGGTTTGGAGGATTATTGAAGTTTAAAACAACAAAAATTGGAGAGAAAAACCCATTTCACCCTGTTTAATATAGAATTTCCTAATTGCGTTGGATCTTAAAATCTTATTTGCTTATTTATTTTTTTGGATGGCTGTTTTGTATAACATCTATTACCATCCCTATCAATTACTACCAGAAAACATGATCTAATGCTGCATCGGATCTTTCCCCCTTGTTTCTCAATATTTTTCTTACAGGTCAAATTAGATCCGGAAGTTCCAAGCTCAGACTCATTTATGTGGTGCACCAACACAGTTCTCCATGAAAACTTTATGGGGATTTAACCTTGTGTTGGCTTTTATCCCTTTTCTTAACATTCTAAAAGGCAAATGTTGTCTGGTTCTTTGTTTCATAGGTTTTGTTTGTTTGTTTTTACTGTGTTCCTAATCTAGAGCTGTTCTATCTACCAACTATTCTGAAAAAAAGAGGCAGGGAACTTGTATAAAATTATGTTTAAAATTGGTATTGTCTCACAAATGTCTTTCTCTTCATGTAGAAAGTGATAGCCAGAGGATTATGACCTAAGCTGATAGCATTCCACTAGTACAGATAAGGAAAACTGAGTTTTAAAGCCAATAATGCACATCTAAGTGTACAGACAAACTCCTTAATTTAAATCTAAGCTTGTTTACTTAATTTGTAATTTGGGAGCAACAGAAGTGGGTATTTAGTGAGGGCCCAAATATCCCGGAGGGGTAGTAGGACAAATATATATTTTCTTTGTCCTTGTATGACTTGGAATCGTCTAAACTGTCAAGAAAAGAAAAAACAAAAACATATTGTTTTCAATATTTTGGTCAAATGTTGGTAATAATAATAATGAATTCTTTTATGCCCTGGCAGCAATTGGTGCTGTTTATATCATTAAGGTAGACAAAGTGTGCCTTACACTCAGCTTTAAGATTTTAATAAAGGAAAAAATCTGTTGGAAGTGTGGAGTATTATCACACTTAAAGAAGCCAATTAAATTAGTCTCCTGATACAGCCTACTTTATAAACTCATTTATCACACAAGTTAGCTGGGTCTGACCTTTCCACCCCTTCTTGGATAAGGATGGTACCAATTTCTCAGTGGCAAAATTATTGATTTTTTTGACACGGCTTCTTTTCCAGTTTGATTTTCCTTTTCCACATTTCTATTCTTGTGTCATCTCAAGCAGAGACTAGGGTCCCATTTACACATTGGCAAGAAAAATGATGTTTGGGAGGGTATGGGAAGCTATACCTTAATGTCCAAGCTAATTATCCACACCCACACCTCATAAATTAACCAGTTTCAACCCCGTGAGCTCTAATACCATTTTCCTGAATTTTAATACTGATTCCTACATGTTAAATGACAATACATTTGTTGCGTGCAATGTTGACTTAACACGTTTGCTAAGCTATTTGAGATTGTTTCCCTTTATCAACAATTTTTCCTGGTTTGGGAAAGGCATCTCTTTCCAAGGAATAATTAGAAAGTAACTACAGCCTTTTACCAGAGTTGAGAGATTTAAAGAAATTAACTATCTTATTGCAGAAACTTTATCTGAAGTCAGTATTTGTAAAAGATAAAGATTTTCCCAGAAAAATAAGAGGGAAAGGGGTCATAGACGGAAAGGAACTTACATTTATTGTGTACTCATTATAAGCCAGAAACTATGCTGGGAGTTCTATATACACTATCCCCTTTAACACCATGAGATGGTCTTTTATCTGCATTCCGTAGGTAGTGAACTGAAGCTCAGAGAGGCGAGAAACTCATGCAATTAGCTGATGGATGTTTGGCCTGGGCTCTAACACCAAGTCTATTGGACTAAATTCCATTCTCCTTCCTCTCCACTATGCGTTGCTGCTTCTGTTGGCATGATCAATACAGTCTCAACACTCTGAGGGTCGCAGCAACCCAGTGACCACAACTGCTTCAGATCTTCAGAGTTCCCTTGACTTCTTTCTCAGTACTGTTGATGGAATGGCAGGAGACTATTATCTGATGTAACTTGAATCTCTCACTCATGGTCAAAAGTAGGCAGTCTCCTAGTGTGAAGCTGGAACACCAAAAAACTCTGGGTGTTCTCACAAGGACAAGCAAGACTATCACCACTTCCTAACAATGGCGGGCTTTGTTTTTTCTTAGTAGCTGGGCTTTTGTTCTAAGGAAGGACATTATACATTTTCCTCTGTGCTATTCACGCTATTATTGGTAGCCACGTAGGCCAACTGCATGAATCACTGATAGGTTCAATACACTAGTATTCTAGACTATTATTCTTAGTTTTTACAAGACTGTTGGGATGTCTGGTTATCAGAAGCTAAGAAAGAACACTAGGGGTGGCATTCCTCTGCGTATATACACTTTTATAAACATCAATGCTAAGATGACATTCCTCATTTCTCTGGATTATGTTAAAGTTCCCTAAACATAGTCCATTTTTTCTCAGACCAAATTTCAAAGGACTATCAAGTTCTAAAACAAATTTGAAATATGTGTATATTAGGATTGAGAAGTAACAATTAGTCTCAGGGCCAGGCAAAGTGGCTCATATCTGTAATGCCAGCACTTTGGGAGGCCAAGGCGGGTGGATCACCTGAGGTCAGGAGTTTGAACCAGCCTGGCCTACATGGTGAAACCCCATCTCTACTAAAAATACAAAAAATAGCCAGGTTTGGTGGCACATGCACATGCCTGTAATTCCAGCTACTCAGGAGGCTAAGGCAGGAGAATTGCTTGAGCCCAGGAAGCAAAGGTTGCAGTGAGTGGAGATGCACCACTGCATTCCAGCCTGGGCGACAGAGCAGGAAAGAATCCATCTCAAAAAAAAAAAAAAAAAGAAAAAAGAAAGCAGGCAAAAGAATTAGTCTCAGGGTTTTTTGTTTGTTTGTTTTGATAAAATATAATGGCATTTCTCTTACTCCAATTCCTATGATTCACCCAGGTCAGAGTTAAAGTTGTCGGATAGCTTCTTCTAATAGAAGCAAAAAGGGATTCTATTTGAGTAATCAAGTTTATTATTTTCCAACAATTAAGGACATAGGGATGTAAAGAAATCTCAAATTTTAAAACTCACTTTTTTTTCTGACTACTAAGGTAATATCATTTTACTAAAATTTTTAGAAGATACACATAAGAAAAAAGAAAATTAAAATGATCTACTGACTTAATATACCAATAAAATCTTTCCACACCTAAATATAATAATTATTTTTATTTATTTATTTATTTTTTTGAGACAGAGTCTCACTCTGCCACCCAGGCTGGAGTATAGTGGTGCGATCTCGGGTCACTGTAACCTCCACTTTCCGACTCAAGCGATCCTCCTGCCTCAGCCTCCCAAGTAGCTAGGATCACAGGCACGTCTGGCTAACTTTTGTATTTTTAGTAGAGATGGAGTTTCACCACGTTGGCCTGGCTGGTCTCAAAACTGCTGACCTTAGGCGATCTGCCCGCCTCAGCCTCCCAAAGTGCTGGGATTACAGGTGTGAGTCACTGCACCTGGCCAAGATAATCATTATTAACATTTATGTAGACTAGGTGCAGTGGCTCATACCCGTAATCTCAGTGCTTTGGGAGGCCAAGGCGGGAGGATTGCTTGAGGCCAGGAGTTCAAGACCAGCCTGGGCAACATAGAGAGACCCTGTCTCTACAAAAATATTTTAAAATTAGCTGGGCATGGTGGCACGTGCGTGTAGTCCCAGCTATTTGGAAGGCTGAGGCGGAAAGGTAGCTTGAGCCCAGGAGTTTGAGGCTGCAGTGAGTTATGATTGTGCCACTACACTCCAGCCTGAGTGACAGAGCAAAAATCTGTCTCTTAAAAAAAAAAGTTCTTTTCTCTTAGCATTTTAAATAACATTGGTATATTAAGTCAGGAATCTTAATTGCAAGCAACATAATGAGCTGTCACTCCTTTAAGTAGAAAGGAATTTATTGAAGGTATTTGGTAGCTCAGAAATTCACAGGAAAGCCTGGGGAACCGGTGCTGAAAAAGAGTGGCTGTAGGAGTGACAAATGGGAGGTTGATAAGCCATGGCTAGAGGCTGGAGCGTGTGCCGTGGAATGATTCTGGCGTGGCTCCCATGCTGCTGTGATAAAGACCTTTGAAGCCTGCACCTTTGCCACTGCTGGCCTAGACACTGATACTGGCTCTGCCATCCCTCCTGCTTTGGAGACATCATTGCTTTCCCTGATGGGATGTGGTTTCCACTACCCTTTCGTCTGTGGGTCACTGATTCTTAATTCCAAGTCCAGGTGAGTCTGGGCATCTGATCAAGTCCAGGCTCCATGCCTGCCCCAGCTGTAAAGGAGCAGTGAGAGAAAGACTCCTAATTTCTTGCCTCTCTAAAGGTGAGGGGCCTTCACTGTGCATGAAGAAATCACGTGGTGGAAATTCTTCAAACCTGGGAAGGGAGTTCAGATGCTGAGCAGCCAAATCCCACATGATGTTTGCCACAGTGAGCTCATCCAGCTTTATATAGCTCTGCATCCTGCTTTCCCCTCAAACGTTAAATCATGACTATTTTCCTAAAACATAAAGTATTTTTCAAAATTAAGATTTTTGATAACTGTGTAATAAGAGTCTCAACTTGATCAGTAAATAGCATATGTCATATCAATTGTCCTAAATAAGGCTTGAAAATCGTAGGAGTTACAATGGTAGAAGCAGCAACCTCAGCATAGGCATTTGTGAATTCTTTTTCCAGCTTCAGTTAGTGCTCAACAGGGAGGAGGCCACCACCTCTTGAGCTCAAGCCGTCATGTCTTGGGGCACTGCCTAAGATGGCCTAGTTAATCTGAGTGAGGCAGGACAGCCTAGAAGGGCAGGCTCAGGTGCTATCTCTGCCTACTTGGCTGGGGCAGGCAGTGGGGGCACGAACCCAGCTGCAGGAGCTGAAAGGGAGTTCAGTCCAACAGCAAAGGAACTCAATATCTGACCAGGTTGCAGTGCAGTAGAGGCTGTCAGCCTTGGTGCATGATGACTCAGGAAGAATCCAGCACTGTGGACATTCAGGATTGAGAGTTCCAGCTTTTGGCCTGAGGTTTAAGAGCAGCCTAGGGACTAAAATATAAGAACAAGTTGGGCATTAGTTTTAGATGAACTCATATAATAAATGAATTACCAAGACAAGGACAAGAGATACAGCAGGGCTGCAGTTAAAAGATTGGTGAAAGCAGGTTTTGCAAGTCTGGGTATTGGAATTAAGGGACACGCTCTGCTAGCTGCCCAGGAGTGTGATATTGGATTTCAGGCTCAGTTTTTAAAAAGTTGTTCCTGACTGAGGTTTGGCCTGGGAAATTCAATTGTGGGAAGGGTTTGACAGTACAGCTTCAGAAGGAAGGATCCTTCTGAAGGATACCCCCGTGCGGACAGCTTCTGGGGCTGGAGGAAACAAGGCCATGGGAGAAAAGCTATGTTCACCAAGGTAATGCATCTGTGTGTCAGGAAGGCAGGCTGGAAACAATGCGTGCAGGTGCAGAGTGGGCTCGAGGAGCTCTACCTGACGGTGCTGCAGAAAGCTGTCCTCCTCCCTGTCTTGGCTTCTCTGAGGCAGTGGAAAGCTACCTCTTTTGTTCTCTCTGGGATGCCATGAAAAGGTCCGCTTCTCTTGTTCGGTTTGTATATGGTGTTCTGGCCCCTGTGGATTTCTTCAACATAAGAGTTTTCCAATATCCCAGCAACCATTTATAAAAACCACGGCTCAACTCCTTTGCCCTGGAGACTCATCTTTTAGATCATCTGCAACTTGTTGAATGCAGAAGGATCCAGCGAACCCACATAGAGCAAACACCACACATTGAGTTATAGCCCTCAGGTACAATGGAATTAACTGGAATAGAAATTGTCATTCTACTTCATGTAACTTTACGTTTTAATGCCATGGAATTTTAGCCACAGAACGTGTCAGCAGCATGTTTTGCACTGACGAAAAAGAGAGACTACTACGTCGGCCACAGTGTCATTACTCTTCCTTCTGCATAACTACGTCCATGCCAGACGTGTGGCGTCTGCAGAGGACTGGCTGTGAACCCAGCAGACCCACGTTACCATAAATGATCGTCATCATCCCTCAGGAGGCTGCACCACATTTGCCCACAACCATTGGATGGACCTACCTTTTAAAAATAGATGTGTTTTTGCACTCTTGAAACTACTTATTTTCTTACTCTTTGTCACAGCCAGCCTAGTTTAAGCTGATGGTAAAAAGAGGTTTTGGAGGTTTTCCACCACAAGGTTATTTAAAGTTCTTTGAGCTGCCGCCAGACCTTCATTTAGCATTTTAATAAACTTCCTGGGCCAAGGAGTAATTTTCCTGTATTCTCTTTGTCCTCAGCATGAAGTAATAGTACAAAAGAGGGTCATCATTTTTAGGCCAGTCATCTGCATCAATTATAAAATTATCCTCATGAATAACCAGATATAAGGTCTAGGATATAGAAAAAGGGGAGCAGGTTTCTTTCTGTGATTAACATTAAGGGGGGGTCATAGACACATCAAGGATTTAAGAAAGTGCCAACAGAAACATTTTTTACACAGACAGTTAGAAAGGACCTTTTAAAAATTGCACATACAGTCGAGTTATAGCAAGATAACTAGAATTAAATTGCCTAAACATTTGCTTACTTGAGGTGTCCTTATCTGAGCCTCTCTAAAAGCAGAAGTACCAATAGACTCACATGTTTACACAATGATATGGAAATCGACCTCCAAGACTGTTGTACGGATCCCCAGAGAATTTTTTGGAACCCGCATCTCTGGGTGCAGTGTGATGTCACTTTTCACTGTTTCTAGGCATTGGGCCAAAACTCAATTTCAGGAAAATAATTGCAAAAATGTTTAAATAATTTGCATGAGGTTTGTGAAAGCAAAGGAAAGGCTGCCTACTCCATTCCCAAAGGAGATTTCAAGACACAATCAATGTTAGGCCGCAAAACACTGTTTAGACAGAATAATTATCAGCCCTTTCCTTTCTCTTTCATTATTAAACTGAGGCCTATTCCCTCTGAGGGTTTCACCTGGCATATGGAAATACTGTTGTTGCTAAGTCTCCTTTATGGAGGTTCAAATAAGCTAAGTAAATTCAGTTTGCTGAATTGGCTCATTCATGGGCATTATTTGACATGAAGTTGTCTCTATGTCATGATTAACTTTTTTGTTTCTCTTCATGTTATAATCAAGTATGATGGAATTATATAGGATGGCTTCCAACTATGTGGAGAATTATTTGAAAATATATTCCAATGCTGCGTTAATTTCATTAAGTGTTGACTTCTTAAAACTGAACTCAAAGAACCCTAAACAACAAGATCTTTAAAACAATATAGAGAAGGATGCTATGGATTGAGATGGTATTAAGACAGAAGTGAAGCCATGCTTAAATTGCATTAAAGTTATCAATGTTCAAATTACAGTACAGTCGTTTCTTTAGGGGACTACTTAAAGTATTACTAGAATTGAATCAAAGTTATTTTTACAAAGATTCTTGAAGTGGCATTATCTAATTTAAAGAGACCTGGCTCCCTTTCATACTGTATTTTATTGATTTTGATAGCTCAGGAATGGAAACATTGAATAAGTGGCACTGTGAAAGTGCAAACAAATACAATTTCACTTCCCCATCACCACCACTTACCATACTCCCCCTTCATACCACATACCCCACACACACTGCCTGTTCAAACGCATTCTGTGAAACTAGTTTTTCCACTGTCTTTGGGCATAGGCTATCATATATGTGTATATATGTGTATATATATGTACACACACACACACACACACAGCTGACCCTTGAACAACATAGGTTTAAGCCATGTGGGTCCACATGTATGTGGATTTTCTTTTTCCTCTGGCACCCCTGACACAGCCAATCCAACCCCTCCTCTTCCTCTTGCCCCTCAGCCTACTCAACATGAAGACAATAAGAATGAAGACCTTTATGATGATCCACTTTCACTTAATGAATAATAAGCATATTTTCTCTGCCTTGTGATTTTCTGAATATCATTTTCTTTTTTCTAGCTTACTTTGTTGTAAGAATACACAATATATTACCTATACAAAATATATATTAATGGACTGTTTATGTCATCCGTAAGGCTTTTGGTCAACAGTAGGCTATTAGTAGTTAAGTTTTCAGGGAGTCAAAAGTTATATGGACTTTTGACTGCGTTGTTCAAGGGTCAACTGTATATACACACATACACACACAGGTAGATATAGATCTAGATATAGATTCTTAGCTAACAAAATATACTGTGGACACTTAATTATAAAAAGAGACTTATGCCAGTAAGTGTTTAGGTCTATGTAATAGTTAAAACTTGAGACATAGATTTTAAGTTAAAGTGTCTCTTCCTGCTTGGGCATGCAGTGGGAAGTGGAGAGAAGTTGGCTGCTTCTCTCTTTACCCTGCCTTCTCTTCCCTGCCACTCTCTGCAGGGAAGTGACTTCTAACCCATGTAGAGTCAGAAGGTGGGTGAGACTGGTGCTGGCATTCTTCAGATGAGGTGGAGTTTAAGTCTGATTTTTTCTGTCATGAGCATGTCTACATGGGCATGTTTATATATTTCTTTCTTTCTTTCTTTTTCCCTTTCTCTTCTTTCTTTCTTCTTCTTCCTTTTTTTTTTTTTTTTTTTTTTTTTTTAGATTCCCACATCATTGGAGATCTCTCACACAAAAGGTCCTTTGGAAAATAGAAATGTATCTTCTCCAGCTGGTCTTTTCTGATTCCTTTGGTAGCACCTGAGTATCTAGCGGAAAACTTTTACCTCTCTGTGCTGAGGTCTCCTCACCCTTTCAGATGAGGCAGCATCTTGGACAGCTCCAGCCTGACTTGCTCCTTCATGGCTCAGTCTGGTCCACAGAACACTGACCTGATGTCCCCTCTACTCTGTGACTATAAGTGGTTTGAACCATTATATATTTTTTCAGGTCTGTGTCAGACTCTAGCCCCCTTATCATATTATAAAGAACATGTAAGATACTTACTGGAAATGGTTCCCAAAGAGACCTTCTCACATTTGAGGTAGAGAAGAAGTGTCCCCCACCCTACCTCCTTTAAGGCAGTTAGGCTCTCAGCACAACTCTCTCCAAGGATATCCTCTATCTTGCCTCTCCAACCTTTTCTTAGAGTAGAGTTGTGTAGTTTTTACCAACTCTTTTGTAAGTCCTGCTTAGATGGCCTCATAACTCACTATGGAATGTCACTGAAGATGGAAACCAGGACCACCACAAATGATTATGCAGTGTGTACCCTATATAAAGATGCCAGGGTAAGGCGATGAAGGAATGCTGAATTCCAGCCCTTGCTCCCCTAGCAGCACATGGGGCCAGAAGAGGCACTTTATTGTAACTCATCTGCCCAGCAGAGGTACTTGTTTGCTAATTTATACAAAGGCACCTATTGCCCTGGAGCCCCCATTGAAACTGAGACAGAGTCTCATTTAAAATCTCATTTCAGTTAGATGAGTTGTAAGATTGGCAGTTTCTCTATAGGAAAGCCATCTACAACTATCAATGACACCTGTGACAACTGTTCAACATCATGTCAGAAAATTGCCAAGAGGCCAAAGCATGTCTATTGTCATCGTACCTCTTCTTATTAGAGCAAAGTATCAGATTTTTCAAAGGAGAGGTATCTTTTCAACAAAGGTGCGAAGACACTTCAGTGGTGAACGGATAGTCTTTTCAACAGAAGGTGTTTGTAGAACTGGATATTCACATGCAAAAGAATGGCCCCTATCTTATACCATGTACAAAAATTAACTCAAAATGGATTATAGACCCAAATGTAAGAGCTAAAACTATAAAAGTCTTAGAAGAAAAACTAGGAGCAAATTTCTGTGGCCTTGGATTAGGCAGTGGCTTCTTAGATATGTCAAGAAGCACAAGTGACCAAAGAAAAGGTAGATAAATTAAACTTAATAAAAATAAAAATTCTTGTCCTTCAAAAGACATCATCAAGAAAGTGAAAAGATGACTCACAGAATGGGAGAAAACATTAACAAATCAACTCTCTGATAAAAATATATATTCGATCCCAGGTTTTAGCACCAAAAAAAAAAAAAAAAAAAAAAAAAAAGAATATATAAAGAACTCTTAAAACAACAAAAAGATAACCTAACAAAAAGACAAAAAGACAACTGGCAAATAATCTGAATAGATATTTCTCCAAAGAAGGTATGCAAATGACCAACAAACACCTAAAAAGATGTTCAACATCATTGACCATCAGGAAATGCAATCAAAACCACAGTAAGACACCACTTCACACACTAACTAGGATGGTTGTAATTTTAAAAATTTATAGATATTAAATATTGATAAGGGTGTGGAGAAATTGGAATCTTCATACACTGCTGGTGGAAATGTAAAATGGTGTGTCCACTTTGGAAGACAGTTCAGCAGTTCTTCACAAAGTTAGGCATAGAATTACCATATGACCCAGAAATTTCATTCCTAGGTATAAACACAAAAGAATTGAAAATATGTGTCCACACAAAAATTTATACATGAATGTTCATAGCAGCAATATTCATAATGGTGAAAAAGTGGAAGCAACCCAAATGTCTATCAGCTGATGAATAGGTAGATACAATTCATGCAATGAATAAATATTACATTCATACAAGGTAGTATTATTCAGCAAAAAATGGAATGAAGAACTGATTCATGCTATGTCTTGGAAAAATCTTGAAAACACCAAGTCAAAGTCACAAAAGACCACATATATAATAGCTTCATTTATATGAAATGTCTGGAATAGGCAAATCCATAGAGGCAGAAAGTAGATATTGGTTGCCTAGGGCAATTTTATTTTATTTATTTTAAAATAAATAAATATATATATATAATTTTACATCCAAAATTAAATATTTTTTATGAATTAAATATTTATTTAAATATTTTTAAATGAAATATTTATTTTGAGACAGAGCTTCACTCCGACACCCAGGCTGGAGTGCAGCGGCGTGATCTTGGCTCACGGCAATTTCCGCCTCCCGAGTTCAAGCGATTCTTCTGCCTCAGCCTCCTGAGTAGCTGGGACTACAGACGCAGGCCACCACACCCAGCTAATTGTTTTGTATTTTTAGTAGAGACAGGGTTTCACCATGTTGGCCAGGGTGCTCTCGAATTCCTGACCTCAAATGATCCACTTGCCTCAACCTCCCACAGTGCTGGGATTACAGGTGTGAGCCACCGCACCCAGCTGTCAATTTTATTTTTGGATTGTTCATTGCTAATGTATAGACATGAAATTGATTTTTGTATAATTTATCTTGTATTCTGCAACCTTGCTGAACTTATTTATTAGTCTTTTAGTGTATTCCTTGGGATTTTCTGTATCTCATTTCATCTGCAAATAGAGATAATTTTACTTCTTCCTTTTCAATTGGAATGCCTTTTATTTTTATTTTTTCACTTTCCTTCACTGGCTAAAACTTCCAATCTTATGTTGAATAGAAGAGATGAGAGCAGACGTTCTTGCTTTATTCCCAGTTAGGGGAAAGGTGTTTAGTATTTCACCATACAGTATGTTCTTTGCTGTGGGTTTTTTGTAGATGGCCTTTGTCGGACTGAGGAAATTTTCTTCTATTCCAAGTTTGTTAAGTTTTTTTTAAGTCGTGAATGGATTTGGAAATTTTGTCAAATGCTTTTTCTGTGTCTATTGAGTTGATGTAGTTTTTGTCATTTATTCTCTATTCATATGGTGTATTTTGTTGAATGATTTTCATATGTTAAACTCACCTTTTATTCTTAGGTAAATTTCACTTGGTCGTGATGTAAATCATTTTTATATGTTGCTGGATTTGCTTTACTGATATGTTGCTGAGGATTTTTGCACCTACATTTATAAGCCCTTTTATTTTTTAGATACTTTATTTTGGTCTGTCTGTCCATTTAACTTTGTTCACTGTATCTTTAGCTGTACAAATGTTTCCAGTTTTTAGGTAAGCAAAGTGGTTAGCATTTTTCCCTATGTCTTCAAAGTATTTTTTCTTGTGGAGAAGGAACTTTCCTTCTGCCAAACCATGAAACTATTTGCCCATATTTTTATTTAATATGATCATTGCTTTTCTTTTATGTTTAGAGAGTTAATTGACAATTTACCTTTATCTAAGCTATATGGTGGAGATCCAATTACCTGCATTTCTGAATTCATTCAATAACTCGCCAATTTATTAAAATTCATTCAGTAAAATAATGAAACACCTGCTGAGTGCTCAGTATCTTTTTAAGTACTGTAAATACAACACTGTATTTAAAAAAATTAGACAAGGTCCTCGTTTTCCTATAGCTTACACAGAGGAGACATTCAACAAAAAATTAAACAAACAACGTAATTTTAGAGAGCTAGAAGTGTTATGAAGAAAATAAAATAGGATGATATTATGGCGAATAAGAAAAGTTTTGTTGGATATGATAACCAGTGAAAGCCCCTCTAAAGTGGCACATTGAGGTTGAGTCCATGATAATGAGGATTCAGCCATATGAAGAGCCAAGAAAAGAGTGTTCTAGGCAGAGGGGTGAGCATAAGCAAAGGCTCTGAGCTGGAGCAAGGTTGGTATATTCAAGCAACAGAATAAAGCCACTATGGGAGGAGTGAAGTTAGTTAGCAGGAGAATATTACCAGATGAGGTCAGAGAGTTGGGTAGGGCCAGTTCATGCAGGGACTTCCAGCCCATGCTAAAGAGGACAGAGGAAGTTATTAAGCAGGAGAGCATCTGTCTTAGTCTGTTCGTGTTGCTATAAAGGAATACTTGAGGCTGGGTAATTTATAAAGAAGAGAGGTTTATTTGGCTCACAGTTCTACAGGCTACACAAGAAGCATGGCACAGGCATCTGCATCTGGTATAGGCCTGAAACTCCTTCCACTCATGGTGGAAGGCAAAGGGGAGCTGGCTTGGGTAGATATCATAAGACAAGAGAGGAGGCAGGAGAGAGAGGGAAGGTGCCAGGCTCTTTTTAACAACCAGCTTTCAGAGGAACTTCTGTGGGAATGAATACAGCAAGAACTCACTTAGCCCCACTCCCTGGGGAGGGCACTAATCTATTCATGAAGGATCCACCCCCATGACCCAAACACCTCCCATTAAGCCTCTCCTCTAACATTAGAGATCACATTTCAACATGAGGTTTGAAAGGCTAAATATCCAAACTATAGTAGTATCCAATCCAAGTTACACTTTTAAAGAATCCCTTTGACTACTGTCTGAAGAATGAATAGTAGTGCAACAATAGAGAAAGTGGAGAGATCAGTTAGAAAGGAAGATGGTGAGTTGAACTATGGAGGTACATATGAATATGGAGAGAATTGGACAGATTTGAGATATATATTGGAAACAAAAATAATATCTGACATTTATTGAACACATAATATGTATCAACTATTGTTCCCATCTCTTAACAACACACTAATTCTCCCTGTTACCCTATGAATTAGAAAATAGCATTGCCTTTGTTTTACAGATGAGACAACTTGATCAAATGTAAGTAACTTGCCTGAGGTTACAGAGTTGGTAAATGGTAGAGCCAGTATCTGAACCCAGATAGTTTGATTCGAGGGCTCATGTTCTTAACCACTCACTTATTCTCTTTTCCATGGGCATACTGGTAGAGTGAATGTTGGAGGTTGAAGGAAATAGAGAAATTACTAAGAGATGACTTAGGTTTTTGGATAGAGGACCTTGGTAGACAGTTATTTACTAAGATAGAAAATTTTAAAGAGGCTACTAATCTCAGATGAGTGTATGGGTTTGGTGGTGAGGGGTGGTAGTGGAAGAAGAATTACTTGCTATATTCTAGAAATGTTAAATTTTAGATATCCCAAATGGAATGTCAAGTAGGCAGTTGAATGTATGAAGCTAGACTTTAGGAGTTAGATAAGGACTGGAGAGAGAAATTTAAGACCCACTAGTAAAGTTGGTATTAAAGCCAGAGTCCTAGATGAAGTCGATGTAGAAAAGAATAAGGCCCATGTTCAAGTTCTGGTGCACTTAGTTGGAGAAAGAGAAGCAAATAAATGAGGCAGAAAAAGAGCAGCCAGCAAGGTCAGGTTGCAGCTAGCAGAGTGTGCAGCTTGTGAATCATGAGGCAATGATTCCAAAACACAAATTATTGAACAACGATTCTTTTCCCCACCAATCTGAAATACCACCATTATCATATTTTCGCCATATTTATTCAGGTTTGTCTTCAGACACTTCCACTCTACTTGTCTAATCTCAGCAAATACAAGGTTCTGTACCAATCATTGCTTTACATTAGGTTGTACTTTTCAGTTTCTGGCTGTTCTTACATATTTTTTTTTATAGATCTGAACCAACTTGTCATATCAGAAATAATCCCATTGTATTGGGATTGAATTTATACAATTATTTGGGGGAATATTAACATCTTCATACCACTCAGTGTTTCTCACTAGGAAAATATTATGTTCCTCTTCCATTCAGGTTTTTTTCCTATGGCCTCAGCAAAGATTTATAGTTTTCTTCCTAAAGGTCTACCATGCTTGCTTGTAAGTTTATTCCCAGATACTTGATGGTTCTGATGGATAACGTATATCAGCTTCTTCTTATTGCACTTTTAATTGATTATTGCTGGGTTTATCAGAGTTCTTTGTTGTAACCCACAGATACTAACTCTGACCAACATAAGCTAGAAGGAAACTGAATGGAAACAAACGGGGGCATTGGTTCAATTAAAAGGAATTGAAGAATCAGACTCAGAATATGGACTACTTTTATAATAATAGGAAAAGCCAATCTAATAAATGAAAGTAAAGTACATTAGTTAGGAAATTTAAAATGGGAACACAGTAATATCCTTATTATATAAATAACTCCTACAATTGGTAAAATTGAAAAACACTATGATCCCAAAAGATAGGGACAAAGATAAACATTTTACAAAGTAGAAAAAATAATTAACAAATATATGCAAACTTATTCAGAATCACTAGTAAGGAAAGAAATGTCACATAATGAGATACTTGTTTTTCATCTGTCAAATTAACAAAGTTTTTCCTTTGTTTCTTTGTTTGTTTGTAAATGATCCATTCTGTCAAAGGCATAGGAAAATGTTATTCTTATTCACTGCAGGTAAAAAATGAAAATAATATATGAAGTGTCAAAAGCCTTGGAGGTATTCAGCAATTATACTCAGTAATTGACTTGGTAGTTATATATTTGAGGGCTCTAGTTTTTGAAGGTGATCCCAAATATAGAATAGGTTTTATGTGCAAATATATTCAGTGCTATTTTATTCATAAAATATATTAAAAAAAATTGGGGCCGGGCGTGGTGGCTCGCGCCTGTAATCCCAGCACTTCGGGAGGCTGAGGTGTGGATCACTTGAGGTCAGGAGTTCAAGACCAGCTTGGCCAACATGGTGGTACTACATGGTACTTCTATAATATAATAAAAATATGAAAAAAAATTCCAGTGGTGCCTGTGTCCATCCACTTTGAACTTATTGCATTTTAAATTATTATTTCCTAAAAGCAAGGACCTCAGACATGAATTTTCCCATTTCCCTACCCTCTGCCTCTAAACCCAGTCTCTCTGTGCCATTTTTGGTGTTATTTCCCTTTTCAAGGCTAGCCTGTCTTCTCTGGAATTCTGCTCTGTCAATTTCCCCCAGTCTCCGGCATCTTTAATTTCTTCCTCTTCACTGCCTTCTTCCCCTCAAGCAACAATATACACAGTTGTCATCTTTCTTGAAACAATCATTATTTGACCCTGTTGCTTTTAATGCTCCTGATCCTTTTTCTCACCTTTTTACCGACCAACTTCCTTTCTTTCATTATCATCGTTTTTTTTTCTTTCTCACCCTCTACTCAAAACATATCCTTGGAAGGTCACTAGCAACCTTCTAGTTTGTAGATATTAAAATGATGAAGCTAGCAGGTCCTTCTACACCAGGCAAGCCACCTCTTGGGACAGATTCTGGCACTGCCATTTATTGACTGTATCACTTTAGACTGTCCTTCACAGGTCTCTGTGCTTCAGTTTCCTTACCTGTAAAATGGGGATAATATTGGAATTCTATAATGAAGTTATTGCGGGAATAAGTGAGTTAATTGTACAGTGCTTATAGCAGTGCCTGGCATATAGAAACAGTCCATAAAACATGATTATTGTCTCCATAACAATTCTTATCACTGCCACAGATGAGAAAAAGCTTCCCCAAAGTAAGGTGCCTTGCCCAACGAGTGGTCACACCAAGACTCAGGACCTGATTACTCTCTTCCGGGTCAGTCTTCTTTGCACCACATTCCTTTAAATTATTTTCTAGGTTCTCTCTTCCTTGACCCTTCTGTAGCATTTGAGGTTATTGATTTTTTCCTCCTTGAAATCCTACTTAACTTATGATACTACTTCATATGTCTTTTGATAATAGAGTTTCTCTTCTGCCTCCTTACATTTTTCCCAAAGTGTGGTCCTAATCCTGTGCTCTTCTGGTTTGCTCTCAGATTTATTACATCTTGGCTTCATTTATTTCCTCCCTGTGATATTTCCCTGCCCTGACCAGGATTACAGCTTTGTACAGCTCCAGGGGATGCCTTTTACATTCTAGTCTATGTGAATGCCACCCCCTAGAGTTACGCAGTACACAGCCTGTGTGTCTGTCCACTCTGACTCTGGTCCTGACCTCCCTCCTGACTTTCTATCCAATGTGTCAGACTTCATGTTAGACAGACATTTGGATGTCCTGTTAATACCCTCTAATTTGTGTGAAAAGTGATTGCCTCACCTTACCTCTCAGACTAGTGGCTTTTTCTTACTTCCATATAGAAAACTCCATTCCCCTAATCCTGAACCCCAGGATGATATCCTCCCTCCTAATGTCTTATCACTCATGCTTGAACAATGTGAGGCAATCAAGGTCTATTTTTTTTAAAAGTTCAAATTCATTATTATTATTTTATTTCAATAGCTTTTGGAGTACAAGTGGTTTTTGGTTACATGGATGAATTCTATAGTTGTGAATTCTGAGATTTTAGTGCACCCATCACCTGAGTAGTGTACACTGTACCCAATATGTAGTCTTTTATCCCTCACTCCCCCTCCCAACCT
The DNA here is from genome assembly GCF_000001405.40 of Homo sapiens. Classification (NCBI taxonomy): domain Eukaryota; kingdom Metazoa; phylum Chordata; class Mammalia; order Primates; family Hominidae; genus Homo; species Homo sapiens. The sequence continues at coordinate 81,919,320 of NC_000005.10, forward strand.
CCACCTCCTAAAGTTCATTATATCACTCTGTATGTCTTTGCGTCCTTGTAGCTTAGCTCCCACTTATAAGTGAGAACATACAGTATTTCATTTTTCATTCCTGAGTTACTTCACTTAGAATAGCAGCCTCCAGCTCCATTCAAATTGCTGCAAAAGACATTATTTTGTTCCTTTTTATGACTGAGTAGTATTCCATGGTGTGTGTGTGTGTGTGTGTGTGTGTGTATACACATATATATACACATATATGTGTGTGTGTGTGTGTGTGTGTGTGTATATATATCACATTTTATTTACCTACTTAGCCAATGGGCACTTAGGTTGGTTTTTATCTTTGCAATTGCAAATTTTTCTGCTATAAACACATGTGTGCATGTATCTTTTCATATAATGACTTCTTTTCTTTTGGGTAGATACCCAGTAGTGGGATTGCTGGATTGAATAGTAGGTCTACTTTTAGTTCTTTTAAGGAATCTCCATACTGCATATTGTTTTCCATAGAGGTTGTACTCATTTATATTCCCACCAGCAGTGTAACAGTTTCCCTTTTCACCACATCCATACCAACAGCTATTGTTTTTTGACTTTTTAATTATAGCCATTCTTGCAAGAGTAAAGTGGTATCTCATCGTGCTTTTGATTTGCAACATCCTGATTAGTGATGTTGAACATTTTTTCACATGTTTGTTGGCTGTTTGTATATCTTCTTTTGAGAAATGTCTGTACATATCTTTTGGTCAATTTTGATGGGATTATTTGTCTTTTTCTTGCTGATTTGTTTGAGTTGCTTGTAGATTACGGATACTAGTTATTTGTCAGATGCATAGTTTGTGTATATTTTCTCCCACTCTGTGCATTGTCTGTTTACTCTGCTGATTATTTCTTTTGCTGTGTGGCTTTTTAAATTAAATCCCATTTACTTATTTTTGTTTTTGTTGCATTTGCTTTGGGGTCTTAGCCATGAATTATCTGCCTAGGCCAATGTCCAAAAGACTTTTCCAATGTTATCTTCTAGAATTTTTATTGTTTCAGGTCTTAGATTTAAGTCTTTAATCCATCTTAAGTTGATTTTTTATAAGGTGAGAAATGGGGATCCAGTTTCATTCTTCTACATGTGACTTGCCAGTTTTCCCAGCACCATTTATTAAATAGGGTGTCCTTTCCCCAATTTACGTTTTTGTATGCTTTGTCAAAGATCAATTGGCAATGAGTATTTGGCTTTATTTCTATTGGATCTCTATTCCGTTCCATTGCTCTAAGTGCCTATTTTTATACCAGTACCATGCTGTTTTGGTAACTATAGCCTTGTAATATAATTTGAAGTCCAGTAATGTGATGCCTCCACATTTGTTCTTTTTTTGTTTGTTTGTTTTTGTTGTTTTTTTTGAGACGGAGTCTTTCTCTGTCACCCAGGCTGGAGTGCCATGGCACGATCTCGGCTCACTGCAAGCTCCGCCTCCCAGATTCACGCCATTCTCCTGCCTCAGCCTCCCCAGTAGCTGGGACTACAGGCGCCCACCATCTCGCCTGGCTAATTTTTTTGTATTTTTAGTAGAGACGGGGTTTCATCATGTTAACCAGGATGGTCTCGATCTCCTGACCTCGTGATCCGCCCACCTCAGCCTCCCAAAGTGCTGGGATTACAGGCGTGAGCCACCGCGCCCGGCCCTTGTTTTGTTTTTGTTTTTGTTTTTGTTTTTGAGATGGAGTCTCACTCTTGTTGCCCAGGCTGGAATACAGTGGCGTGATATCAGCTCACTGCAACCTCCGCCTCCCAGGTTCAAGCGATTCTCCTGCCTCAGCCTCCTGAGGAGCTGGGATTACAGGCGCCTGCCACCATGTCTGGCTAATTTTTGTACTTTTAGTTGAGACTGTGTTTTGCCATGTTGGCCAGGCTACTCTCGAACTCCTGAGCCCAGGTGATCCACCCACCTTGGCCTCCCAAAGTTCTGGGATTACAGCGGTGAGCCACCGCGCCTGGCCCCTTTGTTCTTTTTGCTTAATATTGCTTTGGCTGTGCGGGCTCTTTTTTGGTTCCATATGAATTTTAGGATTGTTTTCTCTAGTTCTGTGAAAAATGATGGTGGTATTTTGATGGGAATTGTATTGAATCTATAGATTGCTTTTGGCAGTGTGGTCATTTTCACAATATTGATTCTTCCCATCCCTGAGTATGGGATGTGTTTCCATTTGTTTGTGTCATCTGTGATTTCTTTCAGCAGTGTTATGTAGTTTTCCTTCTGGATATCTTTCACTTCCATGGTTACGTATATTCCTAGGTACTTAATTTTTTTCTGCAGCTGTTGTACAAGGGATTGAGTTCTTTATTTGATTCTAAGTGTGGTCATTGTTGGTATATAGCAGTGTTACCGATTTGTGTACATTGATTTTTGTAAACTGAGACTTCACTGAATTAGTTTATTAGATCTAGGAGCTTTTTGGATGAGTCTTTAGGGTTTTCTATGTATACGATCATATCATCAGCAAACAGCAATAGTTTGACATCCTCTTTTCCAGTTTCATTCTGTTTTTGAAGCCAGTACAAACCTAGAGAGAATGCTAGTTAAAGTCACCTGAGCTGCGGCTGGGGTCCGGGAACAGATGCTTGACTGGGTGAGACAAGCATCATAGTCAAGGGGACAAGGCGAACTGTAGTGACAGAGAAAGTCAGAGGTCAGAACCAGAGCCGCAGCGTCAGGGTCAAATCCAAGGCGTGAAGAAGAGGTATATGAAGATAGTGAGGCAAGGGATTGGTACAGGAACAGATGAGAAAATGGTAAAACTTACTGAAATCTCAGGCTGTGACAGAGTTGGGGTCTAATCATGAAAGATGCTGCTTATGTGGCATGAGGACTCATCCCTGGGTCTTCCTTTAAAATGTGCCTTACATTTGTCCCTACCCATTCCCACTGCCATTACCTTAATTCATTGCCTGGTGCATTTGCTTCCTTTCATGTCTCCTTGTCTCTAATTACATCCCTCCCCACCTCCATTAGATTAATTTTCTGAATTCCCTGCTTTGAGCATCCAGTTGTTACATCCTGGAGCAAAGAAACCCAAAAGAAATGGGGTCTGCGATATGGACTGGGGTAGTGTGTTTTTCCACTTTAGGGTTTGTTCGGGTGGCAGCAGCCTGGGCAGGCAGTGGGGCCCCCCGTGGGTGTTTAAATAAAAAGGACTGCCAAGGCATCACAGATGGGGGTCTTAAAGGGGAAACTAAGTAAGGAACCAGAGGCTTTATTCAAGGAGAAGACAGAAGACCCAATATCTCTAATGAGAACAGTGTGTAAGCAAAAGTGGAAGGGAGAGGGAGGGAGGAGATTCAGACACTGGGGTGATGAGGGATTCCAGGAGCATTCCTCTGTCTCAGCTGGCTTGTGTGGACACTGTCAGGCACGCATGACCTTCAGCATGAATGGCACCTGTGATGGGGAATTTTATGTATAAACTTAACTGGGCTAAGGGATGCCCAGACAGCTGGTAAAACATTATTTCTGGATGTGTCTAGAGGGTGTTTCCAGAAGAGGTTAGCATTTGAATCATACTATTTGTTTTGTTCTTCTACAAAACCCTGAGTAATACATCACCTAAATCGATACTGCGCTGTAAACCAAGGCTTAGAAACACCTGGCTTTGGGGCTTTTCACACTGGGCTCTAAGTCACTTTTTTTCAAAAGCAGAATGTACCAATATCAATACCCGCATGCCACAGGATGAATGCTCATGGAGGTCAGGTGTGAATCTCATAAGTAATCATGAGGCATATGGAAGAAGCAGTGTCATGACTGTACAGATGATGCTTTGCCATGCACTGTTTTTTCATTAGGTCCCTACAGTGCAGTTTCCTGCCTTGGACAGTTCCTGGTCAAACTGGGGACTTGGATGGATGCCAGGCAGCTGAGGGTACGTCTAGATAAGATGGAAGGTGATGGTACTCAAGGGAAAACAGCTGGCTAATGTTATTTAATTCATCTTGGCTCCCCTACCTGCATAAAAATACATAATTTTCCACTTTCATAAAACTTCAATATCTGAGTTTTTAATATCTGGGATTGCTTTTGAAGTCTCAAATGATTGTTCAACAAGCTAAGAAAGCAATGTCATGATGTATAGGAATATATATGGACAACTGTGTGTATTTCAGGCCACCAAACCTTAAAAAAGACAACCTGGGTAAAAAACAACAACAACAACAAAACAAACAAACGACAACAAAACAAAACAAAAACTGATTCTTGCAAGGACATCTAAGGTGACTAAAAGGCATGGCAGTTTTCGTTATGAGAACCGACTGAAAAGATTAGAGCTCTTCATCCTGAAAGGGACTCAGACTGCAGCCTATGAATCAAGAAGCAATGTGAAGGCTGGGGTAAGCACTCTTTGTCCAACAGACCCCTTGGTGAGGCTGCTGAAAGTGCCATTTGATGCTCGACAAAGCTCCTTTCAGAACACGGAAAGGTAGATGACAATTTACCCATTAGGTAATAAACAAGAACTGTTTTATTTCATGGATTGTGCAGACTGAAAATATAAATATGCTTGATAAGAGTTTGCAAACACTGATCAATGGTCCATAATGGGCACATTAGGGGAGTTTGGAAAATACTCCTGGTGTAGACTCTTGAGATCATGGAGATGGATTAATCTGACATTCTGGGTTGGGCAGATCAAACAGGTGACCTAGTGTGGCATTTCCTACATAATGTTGAGGCATCTCTTTGTATCTCTGGCATGGAAGTTGTAACCTCACTTCTTACCCTCTACATCTGCATTTTTATTCCGACACTTTTATTCTAAAATGAAAAGTCATTTAGGAATTGGGGTGCTGCTTTTTTTAATAGTAAAGTGGTTTAAAATATATATACTTCTTTATGCCTTTATGCTTGGTTGAGGGAAGATGAAGCCATCTTCCAAGTAATTGAAAAATTATGTTTAAATAGAATATAAGAATTGCCCGGTGAAAGTTTATTAAATATGCAGAGTCCAAGATCTGCCTCCATATCCTGAGATCCAGAACTCTATATTTTTGAGACAGCTCCCAAAGCATGCTAACACAGTTAATCCCAAGACCATGGTTTAAGAATCACTGAAAACAGAGGATTTCCTTCAGCATTGTTGCTAGCCCATACAGTGCCTTAGTGCAAATCAGAAAAAGGCACCCTTTCCTCAAGAAACTTGATTTCCGTCTGCCAGAAATTAACTACACAAATCCACGGAGGTGAACAGCCCTCCAGAGCTGGGCAGTGCACAGCCTGCACGCATGTATGCACCCTTGTTTTCTTTCAAGCTTTCTGTTGAAAGCTTAAGCGTCCTTTGTGCACAAGAAGCACCAGAGAGCAAGTGCATCTGTCCCTGGCAGGAGGCCCTGGCAAGAGGCTTCTTATTCCCTTTTCACCCTTGTTATCATAATTGACTTGTGGCCAAAGCATGGACATGAGCAGAGACACCTAGACAAAGAAATGGATAGGGGAACTGAGAGGAAGCTGTAGTTTTTTTAATTTAAAAGGTAATATGTCCATTAATAATAACTTATACTAATAATTTAAAAATAAAATAGTACCAAGATTGTAAGCATAGTGTTTACTTTTTAAATAATACCAATAATAAACCCCAAGTGTTACTTGAAAAATAAGTTGCCACTTTGACTTGACATTTTGGGATATTGTCCTTTTCTTGTTTTCCATCTACAAAATGGCAGCTTTCAGGGCAATTTAAAATACTTTATACTGTAAGTTCTATACACACAGTGGCAGTTTACATTTCTGGATGTGACTCTCTTTTCTTACCATGCAAGTTCCATTATGATTCTCTCATCTACTTTCCGTCTGTCCTGCCTTATTTCCTTCTCTTTCCCTGTGCTTTTCTCCTTTCTCACTAGTGACACACGTGATAAGCCATGTGGCAGTTTCAAAAACTGTCACTCAGTTTCATCTACTTTTCTCCATCCCTTCGGTTGTCACCTCAGCCATCTGCCATAATCCTATGCTTGGATTACTGTGTTCGGCTCTTCTTGGTGTCTCTGCCTCTAGTTGTTTCTTCTAGGCTATTCTGGACATCACAGAAAAAATTGTGTCCTAAAATAATGTTTTCAGAGTGTTCTTTTCTTGTTCAAAAGTTAATTGACCCAACCTATTGGCCCCGCCTTACCTGTCCAGCTTTTCTTTTACTGCCTCCTATTCTGTTGATTTTAGCAACATTCACCAAGTAAGTGATTTTATTTCTAGCTCAGTTCCTTTGCTCAAGTGGCTCTCCTTCTGAAAACAGCTCAGGGCAAAGATGTTTATATATATATATATAAACATATATATATATAAACATATAAACATATATATATGTGTATATATATATATATATATATATATGCACCATTCAATGGTGGCTGCCTAACTTGGCTTTGCATCAGAATTGCTGGGAGAAATTTTTTAAAACACACTACTGTTCACCTGCCCTAGGGATTCTAATGGGGTAGATCTGGGTGGGGCCAAGTCTCAGGAACTATTTATTAACTCCCCAGGTGATTCTGCTGAGCAGTTTCAGCCAGTGCTGGACTTGCAGCAAGTGTTTGGTAATTTCTCAGGAAATGAATGAATGTCACTCCCTCCCCGAAAATCTGCCAATGGCTCCCCATAGTTCCTAGGACATATATCAAACCCCTTGGCTTAGCACAAAACACCGGTCATGATCTGACCCTCGCCTATCTTTCTTGCTCTGTCTTATGCTTCTTCCCCACATTCAGCCTTTGCTGCATTCATTCTGGAGGTTCACTCCCCTGAATTCCCACAGCGTCCAAGTTTTTCTTATGGCATATCACTTCTCTTTTGCATCAGTCATCTGTGCCCAGGCCTTTTATCTCTTGCTAGGCTGTGAGCCTCGTGAGGACAGAGCTCTCTTTGATGCATCCGTCTCTCCCATGGTGCTAGCACACACACGCACACACACCACACACACACACACACACCACATATATATATTTGTTGCCTAAATGGATGCATTTCACTAATGTTGTCACTAATATATACTTGTTGGATGAATGAACACATTTCCCTTTCCTTTTATTGTCGATTTTCATTTTAGATCAAACCTTATTGTAGAATGCAAACGTTCTTTGCAGTTTTAAAAAAATGCCCCTTTTGATGGAATGTTGACATGCTTTTTAGCACATACTTTGTGTGTGAAACAGTAAATGAAGTAAACACATATACATTTTTCATTAAAATTGCCATTGTTGAATATATAACTGAGAGTGAAAAAATGGGAGCCTATATACATTTCATGGTATAATTATACCCATGGTAAGCATCCTGACAACATTAGGTATGTTTCCATTTGAATTCAGAATAAATTGTTCTTCAAATTTGCTTGAAACCTAGAATAGTGTTTCTCAAATTGTGATCTACATCAGGATCCCTTGGAGTGTATTTTAAAAACAAAAAATCTGGCCCCACCCCAGATGCCTCCCCAGTCAAAACCCCTGAAGGTGGGAATCCAGAATTTGTATTTTTAACAAGTTCCATACATGAGTATTAGTGCCAGGAAAGTTTGATACCCACCTGTCTAGAATTAGAGTAAATGCTTCACTGCATTAATTTAGTATAGATAATAGTCCAGATTTTAGAGTATTATCTTATTAATGAGAAATACTTATGTGAAGTTGTATTAAATTAAGGGCTAGCTTGAGTCTAAGATAAAGTAACAAGATAAAAAATCTTTTTGGTTTTCATTAGAATGACATCTACAGCTAAGTTTTTTATGCTTCTCTTGAAATATGAGGTACTTCCTTAGTAAGAAAAATTTTGGAAAGGTCCCATGAAACACACATCTCAGCAGTCTTTTCACAGCAGTTTAAGATTTTCAAAATATATCTGCTCAGGGATGGAAAATTTAAAATTCTTGAGACTTCAACTGTGTTTCTGACTTATTTAGTAGGTTTGTGTCACTGTTAAGGCATGAGGACACATTCTCCATTATGTGTTGTCACACCAGTAACAAAGGAAGGTGGTTAAAAACCCACGAAAGTGGTTTTGTAAACTCTCTATGGAATCCCCTTTAAGAGTTATATTAGTCTTCTTTTGGCCAGCTGTGGTGGCTAATGCCTGTAATCCCAGCACTTTGGGAGGCCAAGGCGGGCAGATCACTTGAGGTCAGGGGTTCAAGACCAGCCTGGCTAACATGGTGAAACCCCATCTCTATTAAAAATATAAAAATTAGCTGGATGTGGTGGCACAGGCTTGTAGTACCAGCTACTCAAGAGGCTGTCACAAGAATCGCTTGAACCCAGGAGGCAGAGATTGCAGTGAACCAAGATTGCGCCACTGCACTCCAGCCTGGGTGACAGAGTGAGACTCCATCTGAAAAAAAAAAAAAAAAAAAAAAAAAAAAAGAGTTATATTTGCCTTCCCTGGGCTGCCATAACAAAATACCACAAGCTGGATGACTTAAACAACAGAGATTTACTTTCTCATGGTTCTGGGGGCTAGAGGTCCACAATCAAGGTGTTGGCAAAATAAGTTTCTGGTGAGGGCTCTCTTCCTGGTTTGCAGATGGCTACATTCTTGCTGCATCCTCACATGGCCTTTCCTTTGTGCTTGCATGGAGCGAGAGAGATGTTTTGTGTTGCTGCTGCTTCTTATAAGGGCACCAATCTTATCAGATTAGGACCCCATCCTTGT